>NC_000002.12:152338102-152641133 GCF_000001405.40 Homo sapiens
ACCATTTAATTGTGGACATCAATCTTGAAGGACAAGTTTTAAGTGGCAGATTTTTAAGTATGTATGTGGAGGGCAATGGAAATTGTGTTGGCATTATTGATACCAGTTCAACTTTCTTGTATAATAAAGATCATACGGGTGTTTTGGGAGGAAAACCAGATAGTAATACCGTATAGAAAAGTGTCTAAGCACCTCATTGTAAGTATGGCTAACATCAATAATTAACAGACTGTTTCAAGCTAGGAGAACAGTTCCTCCCAACTTCCAGCTCTAGAATATTTAAGGCCTCAGAGAGAAGTAAACAAAAATTAAAATGACAAAAGTCCATTTTATTTCTTGTTAGGAAAGCCTTAAGAGAGAACAAATCTATTCAATGACTATACCCTCCCTCCCCATCAGTTTATATGGGTTAAATTGTGCGAATATAAAAAATTAGTGGGTATGAATGGAAATGAGAGAATAAAAGACTAATGAATTAAGACTAGAGGGGTGAACTTTGAAAAGTAATCTTTTTAATAGAAAAAAATGGAGTTAGTGACTAGCAAAAATTGGATCCCAGTGTTAGGAGTTTAATCCTCCCAAGGATAGGTATCTTCAGTATCATTATAGTAATAGTTATAAAACTTACATTTAAGGGAAAAAATTACTGTCTTAGTGTATACATTTAAACCATTTGCTTCCCTGTATTGACCTTTCAGGTACAGCTGGAAGGTGAGATACACACACACACACACACACACACACACACACATATATGCATATGCCTTTGTGTGTGTGTATGTGCAATGTTTCTGTTATACTCTAACCTATGTATAATTTATATGGAAGTGTTTCATAAATTATAAAGTCAGCCACGTACTTCAATCTTTGTTCTTTTAGGATGTAAGGATGTATATATTTCATAGGTAATATTAGCCTGTGTTTTTTGGGGGTTCTTCATATCTGTAATAGCCATGTGGCCCTCCATTGTATTTATTAACCATTGTCTAATTTTGGGGGTTACATCAAGCTTGTCAACCACTGCCTGTGGGCCTCATGGGCCCAACGCAAATTCATAAACTTTCTTAAAACATTATGAGATTTATTTCATGATTTTTTTTTAAGCTCATCGGCTATCGTTAGTTTTTGTGTATTTTATGTGTGGCCCAAGACAATTCTTCTTCTTCCAAGTGTGGCCCAGGGAAGCCAAAAGATTGGACATCCTGGGTTACATACACACATCCACAAATACTCCCATGTCTTTTATTTTTAAAGATGATGATAAGAAGGTGGTTCTGGGTGGATGTGGTGAACAACTGATGGTTTTTGTCCGAGAATACCTGTTTCTACATTAGACACTGCATAATATTATTCACTCATTTTTGGCTTGCAGTCACTGTTTACAACTTAAAAGGCACACCCTTGGATGCCTTTGTTGAAGAGCTATCCTTAAAATTCTTTTGTTGAGTTTCAGAGGAAAGGACAATTTTAAGTCTGTGTCTTAGCTGCTGTATCTTGTGCAATATCAGGTGTCAGGCAGCACTGCAAACAGATTTAAAATTATTAGGAAGTAATGGTTTAGGGCAGTATTATATTTGGTATCAGGAACTGCTTTGGTATCTGATTAATTTGAGTCCATTTCCTTCTCATTTTTTTTCTGCATGTCCTGAGATTGAATGTGGTCATTTTGTTTTAGGAAGGAGTGGGAACATTTTCTGAGTATCTACTATGAGTAGGCCTTTTACATGTTCTCATTTAATGCTCACAGTAACTAATGCTATCAGCAATACTATAGATGCATAAGTAATGATTATTTAGGCTGGGCACAGTGGCTCACCCCTATAATCCCAGCACTTTGGGAGGCTGAGGTGAGAGGATCACTTGAGCCCAGGAATTCGAGACCAGCCTGGGCAACATAGTGAGATCCTGTCTCTATGAAAAAAGAAAAAAAAAGATTAGCCAGGTGTGGTGGCTTGCACCTGTAGTCCCACCTACACAAGAGGCTGAGGTGGGAGGATCATTTGAGTCCTGGAGGTCGAGGCTGAAGTGAGCTGTGTTCATACCATTGCATTCCAGCCTGGGTGACAAAGTAAGACCAGGTCTCAAAAAAGAAAAAGATATCTAAGTTGCCTAAAATTATACAGTTATTAAATAACCAATCTAGTCTTTCAGCAGAGATTTGGATCTGTTCCCTACTCCCCCTGGCCTTTCTTTTATATTATGCTTCCATAGGCTTAGAACTGGGAAGAAAAAAAGGGCCTGCGACTAGCAGTAAAAAATTCCTGTCTGGTTAGTGCAAATTTCAGACTGGATAAAGTTGGCAGAAATTCTTCAGAAGTGACTGAAGTGAGGTGCATTTGAAGTTTCTTCTCTTTAGATGTCAAGCCTTTTGGCATCTTCACTGTGCTCTTCTATTTTCAAGCATGGAGTTAAAAATTGATCTGGTCCAAAAAGGTGCTCTTCAGTTTTTCTTTTCAAGGCAGATTTGAAATACCTTGGCTGAAAAGTTTGTTCTCCAAATCAGAAGGAATAGGCAACCTGTCAGTGCAACGCATATACTCCAAATGCGAAACCTGTGAAAAGGAAAGGAAGGTCAAGTTGTTGTTTTTTTTGTTTGTTTTTCTTTTTGAGATGGAGTCTTGCTCTGTCGCCCAGGCTGGAGTGCAGTGGTGCAATATTGGCTCACTGCAACCTCTGCTACCCGGGTTCAAGTGATTCTCCTGCCTCAGCCTCCTGAGTAGCTGGGATTACAGGTGTGTGCCACCATGCCCGGCTGATTTTTGTATTTTTAGTAGAGATGGGGTTTCAGCATCTTGGCCAGGCTGGTCTTGAACTCCTGACCTCGTGATCCACCTGCCTCAGCCTCCCAGAGTGCTGGGATTACAGGTGTGAACCACTGTGCCCGGCCGGAAGGTCAAGTTTTAACATTTAAGTTTACTTCCCACTGCAAGGTGTTGCTCCCTTTCAGCCACTTCCAAGGAAAGCACTTGCCATAAAGTCTGTTAAGCAGATGGGCGGGTGGGAGTGTAGTGAGGCCATCAGATGCTGCTGATTTGTATTCTCACATTCTTTCTCCTGTTGTGAGGGGAAGAGAGTGTGGAAGAGGGGTGGTGGAGTGTTGGCACTTTGAACCATTACAGTTTCACCCTAGGCAGTAACTCCCTGAGCTGTTTTATTCTCCAAAGTGGGAATATATGGTTAGGGCTGTTATCATTATCAGGATGCATTTTTTCCTCCTAATAATACCAGTAAAAACTGTGACAATATATTGGGGTATCTAGGATAGAAGTTGATCAAATGCAAATGTTTGGCTCCAGGAAGAGACTGGCAACAGTGTAAAGTGATGAAATTTGGGGAGAGATGGTATGCGTGGCCTTAAATCCGTAAGTGATAAGAAGTACTTTGGCTTGTGGCCTGTCATTTAGCATTGGCCTGGGAGGCAGGAGACCTAGTTTCTAGAATCATATTTGCTGCACCAACTTGGACAAGTGAAACTCTTTCCTCTGGCCCTTGGTTTTCCTCCTTTGTGAATGGGAATAAAATTTGGCACAATTGTTAACATAGTCGTGAGATGATGGAAATCATACCACTTGAAAACAAAATTTCCAGAACATAATACATTGTGATTCATTAGTTGACATTGGCTTTTGAAGAGCTTTCAGGTGGAAATGTGTGTAGGGGTGTTCTGTGTGGTCTAAAGAGTAGAATTCCCCAGGGTCAGTGACTGAAAGTCATATGAGCATAGGGAAAAATATTCTAACATGTAGAGTTGTTGAAAATGGATGGTGAGTTCTCCGTTAAAGTTATTCAGATAATCTGTGTGACAAACACTGGTGATTGGAAGGCCCTTTGCAGCCCAAGAAGATAGGAAGTACATTATTGGCTCGAAAGTTGCCCTCTTTGAGGTGAGTCTGCAACTTGCAGGTTCTAGACATAGAATTATAACACCTGAGAGTGGGGAAAGATCTCCTGGTAGGTGCTTCCTGGGCTTAAAGAAGAAAAAGATACGTATGGGCTGATGTTTGTTCTGGAAATTCATTTGACTTTATAAGAACTGTTGCTTAAAGGGTTTGGTCTTAATGAACAGTGCTCTTCTTTTTCATATTTAGAGCTTGGGGAATAGGGACAAGGTAAAGTGGGCTCTCCAGCCCTCAGGTTTAAGCAAGTAATAGATGTCAAAAAAGTAGCTAATACAAGAAGCACTGATTATAGATGATTGCCCCTCCTTTGCAAGAGGACGCTGTAACTGGAGTACTTTTAGGAACAAAGCATTGAATCCTTATAAAAGAAGGAACAGCCTAGAGGAACTTAGGAGGGAAGGTGAGTTACAAGCTATACAGTTGCTTGGCAGATCTCATCTTGTAGAGCGGCTCTTTATGGAGTGCCACTGCCATCCCTGCAAATAAGAAGTGTGTCCCTAGGCTTTGGAGTCATGGTTCCTTAGAGAGCCTTCATGTACCTTCTTAGTTCTCACCTACTTGAACACTGGGGACAGAGATAGCTCATTGCTTGTCTTCCCTTTAGAATTCCATCTGTTCATACTGCAGGGTGATCTTCCTCCCTCCTCCCCAGTGACCCCTTCCTCCTTTCCAGAAACCTGTCTTTCAACATAAATGCCAAGGACTATGCAGTTTCCAACTGATAGCATATAATTTGGAAGCAATGTCTAAGGGAAGAGCTGTTAGGTTGGAGAGCTGCCTCTTGAACTGTGATCTCAACCAAGGCCCGGAGATGTGGACCAGACGGGCTTGGAATTCTGAAATTGGGCAACATTCAGCCCTATTTACCAGGTATGATGGTATTTGATGTTGACAGATAAAAATGTACATTCTTTTCACTCTCTGAAAAAACAAACAGAAAAACATGACCATCAGTGTTCACTGGTAGGCAATTATCACAAACTCTCTATGATTTCTAGTCTTGTATAGTTTCTAGGACAAACTTCATATAGTTTCTGTGATTCCATGATCTTCAGTGTTCTTGTTTAGCCTGTAATTGACTTTGGTGACTCTCATTTCACATGTAACCTTAGTCTCCTTTTTTCTTTGCAGAAGTTCTGATGCATTTGTAAGCCCCTGTAACCATTGCCACAGAAGCTGAAAGCCTTGAGGTGTTTAGACCCTGCTATCCCCAGAAGTAATCTCACTTGACTGACTTCTGTGCATAGAAGATGCCCATGGCTTGGTTTTGGGAATGATGTCAAATATCAAATAGTTCATATTTTTTTGTTTTGAGATGGATTCTCCTTCTGTCATCTGGGCTGGCGTACAGTGGCGTGATCTCAGCTCACTGCAACCTCTGCCTCCTGGGTTCAAGCGATCCTCCTGCCTCAGCCTCCTGAGTAGCTGGGATTACAGGCACGCACCACCACACCCAGCTAGTTTTTGTACTTTTAGTAGAGACAAGGTTTCACCACATTGGCCAGGCTGGTCTTGAACTCCTGACCTCAAGTGATCCACCAGTCTTGACATCTCAAAGTGCTGGGATTACAGGCATAAGCCACCACACCCGGCTTAAATAGTTCACATTTTTGACCATGTGCCTGGTGCTGGGACACTAACGTGTGACTGATGGTGCTTTTAAATAACACATCTCACTAGTCTCAAGACCTGTCTTGGTTGAGGGTTTGCTCAGGAACCTGACTTCCCTTCCTTGTTTTTTTTCTCTCCGTGGAAGTTTGGCAGAACACCTTATTTAAGCTAGAATAAGGGTATTGGTAAGTTAAAGTAGTGGTTCTCAAACTTGGTTGTGCATTGACATCACTTGGCGATCCTCAGAAAGTACAAGTGGGCCAGGTACAGTGGCTCACGCCTGTAATCCCAGCACTTTGGGAGGCCAAGACAGGAGGATCACTTGAGGCCAGGAGTCCTAGACCAGTGTGGAGCAACATAGGGAGACCTCATTTCTACTACTAATGAAAATTAGCAGATGTGGTGGTGCATGCCTGTAGTCACAGCTTACCTGGGAGGCTGAGGCAGGAGGATTGCTTGAGCCCAGAAGTTTGAGGTTGCAGTGAGCTATGATCATGCCACTGCACTCTAGTCTGGGCAACAGAGCAAGACTATCTCTAAAACAAAAACAAAAACAAAAACAGAAACCCACAAATGCCTGGGTTCCACTCCCAGAAATTCTGATAAATTTGTCTGGAATGTGACCTGGGCATCAGGATTTTTAAAAGCTCCCTAGAAGGTTTGAATGTGCAGCCAAGGTTGACAGCCACTGTGCTAGATGTTTTCCCCCTTTTTCTTCCTACCCCAAAGACCAAGCCAATTTGCCTATGAGTTAAAACCAGCAGAAAACAAGATAATGAGTGTAATAGAAAAGGGATTGTTTAAGAAGTTAAACAAAATTTTGGATAGATTAGGCAAAATTGAGAAGGTTGAGAAGAGTTAAAAAAATGAAAGATATTTGATTCAACTAAAAGCAACAAGATGAAAAAATACAGAAGAAAAGGATAAATCCTGTTGAATGGTAGAGAGACTTTATTTAACTATTTAAGAAATGACCACCAAATTATCATAATGAAAATTTGTGAGAAAATTCTATACATATGGTGTAAGATTAAGCAATGACCCAGAAGTATACTTCTGGAGTAGAACAATCAATAAATCAATTGCATTTTTGCTTAGGCCTCCATTCTGTAGCCTAATTGTTTGTTGGTTCAATGCAGCCCTTTTGCTTTGATCTCTGGTTTTACCATTTACAAAGACTTGATGAGCTTGGCTTCCTGTAGTGAAATTCAAATATACTTGTGAAATGTAAACAACATTCATTTATTAAGAATCCTATAATCAAGGCAAATTGGCATGCTTATATAAGCAATTAGCCTTGAGAATAGAAAGATAAATAGGATGCTAGGTCAAGAATGAGCTGATTGTTCTCAATGCAAGACTCTAGTTATTTCTTTATTCATTATAATGTAAGCAAATAGACATTCCTCTTATTCATAATTTTTAGCATTTGTGGTTTGGGGTTTGAGGACAGCATATGTGGTTTTCTGGAACTGAGAGGATAGTAGCAATTATTGTTTCATTTTGATTTAGAAATATAAATCAATCTTATAAGGAACTGTAGGTAGTTGATTTATGACTAGATAAAACTTTCTAATAATAGGGAACAGGGCAAGAGAGGGTATGGATTTAAATGGGAATAGTAAAGGATAATAATAGTTTTATTTTGGTGGGGAAGGTAAAGAAGATGACAATTTTACAGTGGCAGAAAGATTGAAAATAGTCTCATCTGCCCTCATTGAATAAATTGAATAAAAAAGGAATAACATTCTTTTTTTTATTGGCATAGAAGGAAGCATTATGATAACTAATAGCAGGAGAAGTTGGATATGTCATGATCAGATTTGCACCATGGCAACACTCAGTTTTGCCCAGTGAGTTCAGTACTGCTAAATGTCTTATTTGTGAAAGCTAGAGAACCTAAAATGCAAAGGCAGTGAATTGGGTGAATAGCTTTGTTAGGTTCAGTTCTGGCCCTTTCATTCCCTGATATGGTCACCTTTGTTGTTCTTCCAAAGAAATTTTCTCTTTGGTGACAATGGAGTATCTTGACTAATCAGGGTTCTTTATTCCCAAGGACTTCTGCCTGGTGAACCTAGGAAGCCAAATGTTTTGGGACCAGGATGCCATAAACTTGGATTCCCAGGGCCTTACCATAAAGTCACTCTACACCAACTAATTTGGCCATCCAGATGCGAACCTGGAGAAGCCATTTAGAACTCTGTGGCCTCCTGGGCTTGTGCAGCCCTTCCTCTTGCCAGTGTTTACACCCTCCAGTGGCCTTTTATAGCAGAATGTTTGGTTTGGTTCTCAGGGTCCACTTTTTGGAAAGCATTGTTTGGCTTAGAAATCTCCAGATCATTTGTGAATTTACCAGGTCTCATTTCTCATTTAATTAAACAAGTCTTTAACATTAAACACCTATAGTTTTTTTTTTCTTTTTCTTCTTTTTAGATGGAGTCTCACTCTGTTGCCCACGCTGGAGTGCAGTGGCACAATCTTGGCTCACTGCAACCTCCACCTCCTGGGTTCAAGCGATTCTCCTGCCTCAGCCTCCAGAGTGGCTGGGATTACAGGTGCATGCCTCTGTGCCCGGCTAATTTTTGTATTTGTAGTAGAGACGGGGTTTCATCATGTTGCCCAAGCTGCTCTTGAACTCCCAACCTCAGGTGATCCGCCCACCCCAGCCTCCCAAAGTGCTGGGATTACAGGTGTGAGCCACTGCACCTGGCCTATACTTTTATTATTTCACCAGTAATTATCAGAAGTTCTGGCAGGGTGTGGTGGCTCACATCTGTAATTCCAGTGCTTTGGGAGGCTGAGGTGGGAGAACTGCTTGAGGCCTGGAGTTTGAGACCAGCCTGGGCAACAGCAAGATCCTGTGCCTGTGAAAATTAAAAAAAGAAACCACACACAAAAAAACTGGCTTAGTGGCACACTCCCTGTAGTCCTAGCTACTTGGGAGGCTGAGGTGGGAGAATTGCTTGAGCCCAGCAGTTCGAGGCTGAAGTGAGCTGTAATCATGCCACTGTACTACGGCCTGGGTGACAAAGTAAGATACCCTATCTCTAACAACAAAAAAAGTTCCACGATTGATTTCCTCTGATGTTTCTAATGATAATGGAGAAATTTAAAAATTCTTTCTTGGTCATTTTTTAGAATGATATTACCTGATCCTCTTTTAAAAAAATCTTTTCATGGCCAGGCACGGTGGCTCAGACTGGGTGCCATGGCTCATGCCTATAATCCCAGCACTTTGGGAGGCCGAGGTGGGCAGATCACGAGGTCAGGAGTTCGAGACCAGCCTGGCCAACATGGTGAAACCCCGTATCTACTAAAGATACAAAAAATTAGCTGGGCATAGTGGCACACACCTGTAGTCCCAGCTACTTGGGAGGCTGAGGCAGGAGAATCGCTTGAACCTGGGAAGCGGAGGTTGCAGTGAGCCGAGATCCTGCCACAGCACTCCAGTCTGGGTGACAGGGCGATATTCCGTCTCAAAAAAAAAAAATTTTTTTTTCACAAACCAGACACAGTTGCAACCAACTCCCAGATCAGGAATCAGAATCCCTCCCTCCCTCTTGTTCTTCAGGAGTGGTGAGACTTGGCTTCTGGTCTCCCAGCCACAGTTATTGCTCACCTGAACTTACTTTCTCAGCGGTCACACTTCATGTGGAAGAGAGTAGGCCACAGGATTGTGCCTTGTGGTCTGACTCCAAGTGACTCTAACCATGAGGTTTCCACCACTTCCTTTGAGAGCATTCCTAGTCCAAGTAGGCCTGAGCATTAGGAAATATTGACACTGCAGCATTTTCTTGTTGCTTTTAGTTATATCATCATTGATCACCTTAATGGTATTTTTGTTTGTGTGTATAGTATCCCTGCTTTTCATAATACTGAGAAGAGGATATTTTGATTTGTGTTCCCAAAGTAAAGCATGAATGGGGAGGGATGGCCACAGAGAAAATGAGCATTTGAAATTTTGGGCATTAATACTTGGAATTACGGATATGTAGGTACAAAATTTATGTGCTCCTTCTCAAGTGTAAGTTCTGACCTTTAGCTTTTGTTATCTTTCTTGATGACTCTTGAAATATTAAAAGGTATAAGACTGTGAATTTCATGTTCTGGTTCAATTTCCCATCACAGCCCTATTGTGTTATTCCAGACATTATTAATAGATAAAATTTGAGGGGCTCATGGCCACGTTTGTTGGTCTCTCTTCTTTTCTCTGCTTTGTAACTCCTGTATCCCTCACAGCCTTCTTCCTGAAGCCAGCTACGACTTGGCCAGACCCATCTCCTCTTCTGTTTCTTTACAAGTCCCTAACTTGGAAGTTTTTTTTTTTTCTTTTTCGTTTTTTAATCCCTGTCCCCAGATTAGGCCTGTGCTTTCTCTCCTTCGTATTTTTTTCCCCCGGTGATTCCCCTGCATAGGATGGGCTCTCTTCGCTTCTCTGCTTACTGAAACTATACCAGCCTTCAAAGTTTTCTACAGTCCCACTTTTTCCGAGGGTCCTTACAGACCCACGTCAGCATGGGGGTGATGAGAAAAACAACTCTCCTTACTTTGATCGCTTTGTGGTATGAATTATCTCTTACTCATGAGGCACTTGATTAAATATCACTTTGTATAACTTCTGATTGTAAAATAGGGAGATGCTTTCATATGTAGCTTTGTAGTTGCTCATTACATTCTTAGCCATTTGTTTGTGTCTTTGTTTCACCTGCCAGTTCACACTGTGGGCTCCTGAAAGGCAAGGATCATGTCTTACGGGGTCTGACAGCTTTTACTTGGCTTAGCCTTGGGAAGGGTCCCAGCAAATGATTGCTGACTTGATAAGGGAACGGTGCCCACTGAAAGAGGACTGGGAATTGGAGTGGCTGCTCTGGATACCTATTTAACTGACCACACTAGGCTGACTATTAATTGCACATAACTTGCCTTTGTGTTGAAATGACACTTGGTCATAGATTCTTATTCATCTTGGTATTCCCCTTATCACTTGACTGTGGTAGGTGTCCAAGAATACGAAACATTCAGAGACAACAAGTTGGCATCATGCTTCCCTGACTCCTTGTGAATTAGCAGAAGAGGAGGAGGGCAGTTTATATTTTCTTTTTTGTTGGAGTGAGGTAAGTTTAAATGGGCAGCGTTCTTTGTTTTGGCATGTTAGTGCTTTGCTGTTTGCAGAGTGCTCTCCAATTGTCTTCTGTGCTTCTAAGGGTTTTTTTTTTTTTTTTTTTTTTTTTTTGAGACGGAGTCTCGCTCTGTCGCCCAGGCCGGACTGTGGACTGCAGTGGCACAATCTCGGCTCACTGCAAGCTCCGCTTCCCGGGTTCACGCCATTCTCCTGCCTCAGCCTCCCCAGTAGCTGGGACTACAGGTGCCCGCCACCGCGCCCGGCTAATTTTTTGTATTTTTTAGTAGAGACGGGGTTTCACCTTGTTAGCCAGGATGGTCTCGATCTCCTGACCTCATGATCCACCCGCCTCGGCCTCCCAAAGTGCTGGGATTACAGGCGTGAGCCACCGCGCCCGGCCACTTCTAAGGGTTTTAAATAAATGAGACAAATAGGGCATGAGACTGGATGGCTTGAAGTTATATAAGAAGGTGGTGAAGTTTGTGATCCAGTCCTAGGTCTTCATACTAAAACTCCGGGGTGCATTCCACTGTAAACTAATGATGTTTATGAATTCTCTCGAGTTCTGTTAGGTGCTTTATATGCATTATCGTTGATGCTCATGACAACTTTTCCAGGGAGGTATTGTCTTCCTTTTACTAATGAGACAATGGGCTGAGGGTGTTAACGTGGCCACTACCCAATCCTGGGGGCAGAGTTTGAATCCAGGCCTGCCTGAGACAGCCTGCTTCTTTCTACTGCACTACACTATTATGTTTTCTGAGTTAGCTCTAAGATGTCATTAAATGTATGCTTCTTGTTCGTTCTTCACATACCCTCTGTACTAAACTCATTATTTCATACAATAGCTGCTTTGAATGAGTCCAACTTGTGTTATATGCTGCAAAATCTGACCTTAATCTCAAGGGACTCAGGATGTAGCTGGGGAAACAAGCAACAATAAGCAACCCAGAGAGCTTCATAATCAGTGTAGATGTAGATATGCTAAGGGTTTGGAGGGAAGGTGCCTTTTCTGAATTCTGAGTGTTCAGAAAATGTTTCCTTGGAATAGGAAGTAGGTGAGATTCTAGCTCAGTCCCAACCACTGCTGGGCTGCACTTTTCATTCTACATTGTGCATTTTTGCTCCTTTGGTGCTTATATGCTTTATTCAGACAGTCCAAAAAATATTTCTTGAGCGTTTACTGTGTGCCAGGCAGTGTTGTAGGCACTGGAGGATGCTGTACTGAGGTGGGATCGATTGAACGTCTGCTCCCAAGGAATTTACATTTTAATGGGAGGGCGTAGAGGGGGAAGCCAGACCTGAAGGGGATGCACAGGTACAGAAATGGAGCGTTTAGATGGTGGAAAGTGCCATGAGGAGAATAAAATGGGATATGTGAAGTGGTGTCATCCCGATAAGGTCTGAGTGAGGAGGAGCAGGCAGCTAGTGTGATCAGGTAAGAGCCCTCGGGAGGGAGGAGTAGCCAGAGTACGATTTGTTTCTCCGTTTGCTGGTTCAGGAGCAGTTTCCAGGGACCCTGGAGCAAGTGAAGGGTCATTCCACAGCATATGGGATATACTCAGCCCAGACAGCTTCAGACCTTGCCCATGGGACAGCCTCAAGGTGGAGGCTCAGGAGTCTGTCCCCTCACTCTGTTGTCGGTAACAGAGCCATTTCTTATAGGTGGTTTTGTGTAGTCAGAGTTCTGCCTCTTGTTAAATTCAGGTGATTTTCAAAGAAATGAGTATTTCAGAATTGCCATTGTTCTAGACCCATGGGACAGACTGTTTGAGAATGGACTGTTTGATCAGTGTGAGCTGTGCCCTAAATGCAGGCACTCTGAAGGCCAGTACTTAGAATGGCTTTCTTTGTCTGCTTGAAGCTATAGGTTGACCTGGGACAGGCAAGGTATTACGGAAGAGAATTACTTTATTGCTGTTAACTTGCTACTAGCTTGTAGCTCAGATTCTTTCCCTCTTTTTCTTTTTTATATTTCCTTTACAAAATTATTGTATTTTAAGGGGCATACAAGAATTTTACAAAGAAGGCTGGGCACGGTGGCTCACGCCTGTAATCCCATCACTTTGAGAGGCCGAGGTGG
Organism: Homo sapiens; assembly: GCF_000001405.40. Classification (NCBI taxonomy): domain Eukaryota; kingdom Metazoa; phylum Chordata; class Mammalia; order Primates; family Hominidae; genus Homo; species Homo sapiens. The sequence goes on from NC_000002.12 coordinate 152,350,818, forward strand.
GCAGATCACTTGAGGTCAGGACTTCGAGACCCACCTGGCCAACACGGTGAAGCCCTGTCTCTATTATAAATACAAAAATCGGCCGGGTATGGTGGCGCGCACTTGTAGTCCCAGCTACTTGGGAGGCTGAGGCAGGAGAATCGCTTGAACCTGGGAGGCGGAGGCTGCAGTGAGCTGAGATCACACCACTGCACTCCAGCCTGGGTAACAGAGTGAGACTCTTTCTCAAAAAGAATTTTATAAAGAGGTGCAATTCTTAAGATAAAAATAAAGTGAAAGTTGTGTATAGTTAAAATTATCCCAAAAATACCTGAAGTTGCCCATGAAAGTACATGTTCAATTCTGTAGTGAAACAACCCTAGAAAGCAATTATTATTTCTTTTAAATTTTACTTTAAGTTCTGAGATACATGTGCAGAACGTGCAGGTTTGTTACATAGGTATACATGCCATGGTTTGCTGTACCTATCAACCTGTCATCTAGGTTTTAAGCCCTGCATACGTTAGGTATTTGTCCTAATGCTCTCCCTCCCCTTTCCCACCAATCCCAGCAGGTTCCATTGTGTGACGTTCCCCTCCCGGTGTCCATGTGTTCTCATTGTTCAACCCCCACTTATGAGTGAGAACTTGTGGCATTTGGTTTTCTGTTCCTGTGTTAGTTTGCTGAGAATGATGGTTTTCAGCTTCATCCATGTCCCTGCAAAGGCCATGAACTCATCCTTTTTTATGGCTGCATAGTATTCCATGGTGTATATGTGCCACATTTTCTTTATCCAGTCTATCATTGATGGGCATTTGGGTTGGTTCCAAGTCTTTGCTATTGTAAATAGTGTTGCAGTAGACATACGTGTGCATGTGTCTTTATAGTAGAATAATTTATAATCTTTTGGGTATATACCCATAATGGGATTGCTGGGTCAAATGGTATTTCTGGTTCTAGATCCTGGAGGAATCACCACACTGTCTTCCACAATGGTGGAACTAATTTACACTCCCACCAACAGTGTAAAAGCATTCCTATTTCTCCACAGCCTCACCAGCACCTGTTGTTTCCTGACTTTAATAATCACCATTCTAACTGGCATGAGGTGGTATCTCATCGTGGTTTTGATTTGCATTTCTCTAATGACTAGTGATGATGAGCTCCTAGAAAGCAATTCTTATGCGTGTTAAAGTTTGAGAACCTTTAAGCATGATTAAAAGAGAAGCCACAAAAGAAAAGTGGGCAATTCTGACTTAGAACTCTCAGACCTCTAGCAGTGACTGGAGGATGGGTGGGAATTTTGGTATCTTCCTGCTTGCCAGTAGGTTTACACAATTCGATATCAGAATAAGTCTTTAAATACATATTAGTGGCTTTGTTTATTGTGAGGATTTTAAGGTAGCCCTAATGTGGGTTTAAATGTGGATTTCATGCATGTTCAGTAATAATACAATATAGGTCACTTGTGTATTTCTTTAATCGTTTCAGTAAACATGAATGGTAGCTCAGGAAACCTGAAAGGTAGGTATATCCCTGTCTCATATATGAGAAACTCAGGATTAGGGAAGTTAAAAATCTTACCTGAGAACACATATTTCTAGTAGGTAATAAAGCTGAAAATCAAATTTCTCGACTCAAAAGCCGTGCTCCTAACATTCTGTTTTGACTCCCAATGCAAAAATATTATGTAAATATAAGCTATATGTAGAATAAATATAAATGTTTCAAAGTAAATTGACAGCCTTGTGATGGCAAGCTCATCATCTTTTCAGTCTGTGTTCATTTTGTTATATACCCAGAACCAACAGTAACTACATATCCTTCAGAAAAATTACAGATAAAATGAGAACTGGATGAATAAAGCCACTGTTCACTATTGAAATAGTAAAGGCCAAATAAGCTTGTGATCAAATCTTTTTTTTTTTTTTCTAGTAACAGTTGTCCTCTGAAGGCTTTCTGAAGGCTCTCTTTCAGACAACTGTCTCTGAACCTTTGTTTTTTTAAATGCCCCTAGTAAAATGGCTGTGTTGTTACAGCTTGAAGGCTGTGTGGTAAGCCTTTGCTCAGCCCTCAGTGATAACCCATAGACTTGGACTTCCATGTGAGAAGAACAACCATTATTATATTGTGTTAGTAGGCCTTGTGTTGGAGATTGCTTATTTTTAAAAAAACAAATGCCATGTGATCTTATTTCTATTTAACCAATGTTTTGCTTGAGTGTACCAAGCAAGGCCTCTTGAGATGCTGGGACACAAAGGTGAATTTTATTTTCCCTTTTGCCTTTGAGTAGTTAACTGCCTAGTAGATGAGATACTGGAGGTAAGAGAATGAAGATTATAGGATATTTAAAGGCATTTATCATACATATATGTGTTATGTTTATAATGTGCTATAGAAGGACATATTAAAGTTGAAGTTTCTAATATTTTAGATTAAGCTGATAAATCTAGACAACTTACTTTGGCTGAAGGTTATAATACATAATTGCATGAATTCTGCTCTGTGCCTGAATGCTTAGAGATTTGAGTGTGTGTCTAGGTATATCTGTGCAAACAACTTGGAAGAATCTGGTAAAAAGTATTAATACCAGGATCAGCCTTTTAGGTGGTAAGAGAATCTACCCCAAAGGCAGTCGACTCTAAGCCTTACTTCTCTAGGTTGCAAGCATCAGAAAGTAAGTATATGTCCCTATACTCACTTTGTTAGAAAGCCCACAGTCTTTTCTGCAAAGTCTATTTAACAAAGCTTGTTTATGATCTTGGACTTTGGACTAAACCTGAGTTTGAATCAGGATTTTGCTGCTTACTAATTGATTGACCTTTCTAAGCCTTGGTAGCCACATCCGTCATGAGCTCAAGAGCTACCTTTTTGACTTGTTATGGATATTAAGTGATATTGCTTAGTACAGTCAAGTTGTGGCAGTCAGGTAAGCACCTCACAAGAAGTGGTTGTTCTGATTATTTTGTACTCTTTTAAAATTTGACTTTATTAAAGCACTGGCTTTAGGGTCCAAGCTGTGGACTTTAACTGGATTCTAGTATATTTTACAGGTAACTTTAGTTAAATCATCATCAACCTCAAATGTGAAGAACAAGTGAAGCAGGGCCCCCAGAACGCCCAGAATTGAACTAATGGTGGCTTGTATTTGCTACTCTTGCCATAAGATTGTACCTACTGACCTTCTGTGATACATCAGTGTTTTCAAAGTTCTGGTCCATGCATGCAGCCCCACTTGGATTTATGTTGACTCTTGTATATTTTGTTCTTTCTAGAAAAAGAGACCCAGGTGTTTCAGGGCATTGGGCTATTCCATTTCAGAGCCTAATGGAAGTGCTAGTGTTTTCATAATTGGAACAGACAACTGCCATGCTACATATGGTGCTGTGACCACTGAGCAGCTTGTTCACAATGAGAAAATACATTGAAGTTGTGACCATTTGAGCCTTGAAGAAACTGCTGTTGAAGTTTTGTTTGGCTCCAGCTCCATCCTGGAATGGATGGAGTCATTTGGAATTATTCTGAATTCCAGTAGTGGCAAAAAAAAAAATTGTGTAACTTGTATATAGATGGTTTTCTGTTTGATTAACAGCATTGTTCAATAAAAGATGCATTGTTTTAAATCAAGAATACGGTGCCATCTGACTTGATCTAGGAGGCACAGAAAGAAGACATTACAGATTACATTCCCCAGTAAACCCCTGCGTTATTTTTTCCAGAAGGTTCTATATTAATCTGTTTGGGTTGCGTCCTACGTGATCTTGCTGAGTCAGACAGAGCTAAGCTTATGAAACAAAGGCTAGTCCCAAATCAAATAAAAACACACCACCATCCAGAAATGAGAGCCTAGAATTTTCTAAAGATGCACACATCTTTCTTACTATCTGGTGAGGAAAATTGCTCATTTTTCTCTCAGCTGATAAATATCACTTTTGCCCTAAATTTTTGTAGTGGCAATCTACTTTTTTAAGTTGGTGAGATAAAAGAATATTTGATAGCACTGTCAGACTAGTCTGAGATAAAATTCTCTGTGTTCTCAGACCCTTAAGGGTTCTTAAATTGCATGGGCGGAAGCTGTGTGCATGTTTTTCTTGGTGCCCTATTTCCATATCAAATAGCCTTAATTTTTGTATTTTAGTAATGAAGGTATGAACCCATTCTGTCAGGCTTCTTATGCCGTTTATTGTAGCCTTTAGTCAGCTTAGAATAGCATGAAAGGAAGTAATAAGCCAACTCTAAGAAGGTCCAGATGAAAAGGATTATAATATGGTACAAAAATAATAGCATGCCTGGCCTAGCCATGTGACTCATTTCTTTTGGAGTATTCCTTTTGACAGCTTTTTTGAATCACACATCAATCACAATGCTGGTATTTTTGGCGGGGTGCTAGACGTTACTCTAATGCTCATGATGGTAACTGCCAAAAGTGAACAAAGAGGAGAATTATAAATGAAACCTAACAGCATCACAAACATTTATTTTTTCTTGAGCAGAAACAAAATTGGGAGTTAGATGATATCTTTTTCATTGCCCCAAGAAAACCACTGCTTTATTCCATTGAAAATAAGACCTTGATGGGTCATCCCCGGTCTTTGGCAGTAGAAACTATTCGTCTTGTCTTGGTTTCCATTCAGGAGCTTTCCTTCCCAAACCTTGTCCCCTGCTTTAGGAGTAATTTTTTTAGGGCTTTAGGTTTTTCTCATGTCCCAGTGACTAAGCTTGCTTTTGGGTGGTTCTCTGTGCTGCATGTAGTCCTTCTGGGAAGAAACTCCCATGAAGTTCAAAGGAGCAGCAGATATGCAGGGTGCATCTAGAAATGAAAATCTGACCCTTTGTCCCTCTCCTTTTCATCTCTCTTTTGTACAGGCCTTCTTTCCTTCTGTGCAAACAGACCCTTGTCATAGTCATAGTCCATCACGCTGTTAAATGATTTCCAGCACTGCTCTATGATGTGCTGTAATTTCAGGGAGTAGTTTTATTTTCTACAACATGTTGCTCTGTAGCACGTGTATTTCACTACTGAGTGGTAGTTCTAATGGACATATTCTTAACAAAATAGTCCCAGCATTACAGAATACTAGGTTAGAATACATACCCAAATAAATAAAATGTTACAGACACAGTCCAAGCTCGTTCTCTCCTGACTTCCTTTCTCCCGCTACAGAGGAAAATTACCCCGAATTGGCACATCTCATTCCTATGCACTCTTGTTAAAAATAACTTATAGTTTGCTTCTGAATTTATAGAAATGGCACTATAATCCATATGTACTTTTGAATCTTTATACATTTGATTTGAGAAGTATTTATGTTGATGCATGTGGCTTTAGGTCATTTATTTTATTTTGTTTATTTTTTTGAGATGAAGTCTCGCTCTGTCACCCAGGCTGGAGTGCAATGGCACATGGCAACCTCTGCCTCCTGGGTTCAAGCAATTCTGTCTCAGCCTTCCGAGTAGCTGGGATTACAGGTGTGCGCCACCACGCCTGGCTAATGTTTTTGTATTTTTGTGTAGACAGGGTTTCACCATGTTGGTGAGGCTGGTCTCGAACTCCTGACCTCAAGTGATCCACCCACCTCAGCCTCCCAAAGTGCTGGGATTACAGGCGTGAGCCACCACACCCAGCCTGGCTAGAGGTCATTTAATTTTTGAATTATGTTCATTGAATAAATGTGCCATAAATTACAGTTGATCCTCATTATATGTGAATTCTGGATTTGCAAATTTGCCTATTTGATAAAAATGTATCTGTAACCCCAAAGTTAATACAGTGCTTTTATGGTCACTCACAGACCACAAAGTGGTGAAAAATTTGTCACCAGATGTGCAGATTCTCAGCTGAGGTTGAACAAGGTGACTCTGCTTTTTTGTTTCAGCATGCATACTGTACACGTGTATCCTTTTTGCTTTCTATTTAGTGCCACACTTTTTGCACTTTTGTGCTTTTTTTTTTTTGGTGATTTTGCTATTTAAAACAGACTTCAAGCATAATGCTGAAGTGCTGTCCAGTGTTAACTAAGTGCAGGAAGGCTGAGATGTGCCTTATGGAGAAGATATGTATATTGGTAAGCTTCTTTCATGCATGAATTTAGAGAGCTGTTGGCTGTGAGGCTGTGAGTTCAGTGTTAATGAATCAATAATATATATTAAGTAATATATATAACGATAAATATTAAATAAGTTTAATATATAACGATAAATATTAAATAAGTTTAATATATAATGATAAATATTACATAAGTTTAATATATCACGATAAATATTACATAAGTTTAATATATCACGATAAATATTACATAAGTTTAATGTATCACGATAAATATTACATCAGTTTAATGTATCACGATAAATATTACATCAGTTTAATGTATCACGATAAATATTAAATCAGTTTAATGTATCACGATAAATATTAAATCAGTTTAATGTATCACGATAAATATTAAATCAGTTTAATGTATCACGATAAATATTAAATCAGTTTAATGTATCACGATAAATATTAAATCAGTTTAATGTATCACGATAAATATTAAATCAGTTTAATGTATCACGATAAATATTAAATCAGTTTAATGTATAACGATAAATATTAAATCAGTTTAATGTATAACGATAAATATTAAATCAGTTTAATGTATAACGATAAATATTAAATCAGTTTAATGTATAACGATAAATATTAAATCAGTTTAATGTATAACGATAAATATTAAATCAGTTTAATGTATAACGATAAATATTAAATCAGTTTAATGTATAACGATAAATATTAAATCAGTTTAATGTATAACGATAAATATTAAATCAGTTTAATGTATAACGATAAATATTAAATCAGTTTAATGTATAACGATAAATATTAAATCAGTTTAATGTATAACTATATATTAAATCAGTTTAATATATAAAAATAAATAAGAAACATACATAGCACAGTTTTATGTATTGATCAGTTGACAAAAATGTTGCAACCAGAGGCTCTGGGGAGCCTAACCGTGTATTTCCGCTAGAACTAATGGTTCAATGGTCAATAATTCAGTGTCCATGGTGACTTTATAGACCATAACTGTGATGGTTAATATCGAGTGTCAACTTGATTGGATTGAAGGATGCAAAGTGTTGTTTCTAGGTGAGTCTGTGAGGGTGCTGCCAAAGGAGATTAACATTTGAGTCAGTCAACTGGGAGAGGCAGATCCACCCTCAATCTGGGTGGGCACCATCCAATCAGCTGCCAGTGTGGCTAGAATAAAGCAGACAGAAGAAGATGGAAGAGCTGATTCACTGAGTCTGCTGAGTCTGCCGAGTCTGCCAGCCTTCATCTTTCTCTTGTGCCCAATGCTTCCTGCCCTCGAACATCAGACTCCAAGTTCTTCAGCTTTTGGACTCTTAGATTTACACCAGTGATTTGCCAGGGGCTCTCGGGCATTTGGCCACAGACTGAGGCCTGCACTATCAGCTTCCCTACTTTAGAGGTTTTGGGACTGGGACTGGCTTCCTTGCTCCTCAGTTTGCAGATGGCCTATTGTTGGACTTCACCTTGTGATCCTGTGAGTCAATTCTGCTAATAAGGCCAGGCGTGGTGGCTCACACCTGTAATCCCAGCACTTTGGGAGGCTGAGGCGGGTGGATCACCTGAGGTCAGGAGTTTGAGACCACCCTGGCCAACATGGTGAAAAACCCCTGTCTACTAAAAGTACAAAAATTAGCTGGGCATGGTGGTGCACACCTGTAGTCCCAGCTACTTGGGAGGCTGAGGCAGAAGAATTGCTTGAACCTGCAAGGTGGAGGTTGCAGTAAGCCGAGATTGTGCCTGGGTGACAGAGCAAGACTGCATCTCAAAAAAAAAAAAAATTCTGTGAATAAACTTCCTTCATGTATACATATATCCTATTAGTTCTGTTCCTTTAGAGAACCCTGATGAATACAATAACTACTGCAAATAATGGGAGTCAACTATCTCTTGTCATATTGATGGACATATGAGGTTATTACAAGTAACGTTACAATCAAAATCCTTGTCTATGTCACCTGATGCACAGGTATAAATTTCTTAAGGTTATATATTAACACTTAGAAGTACAATTGTTGGGTCTTGGGCATATTCAACTTAAGTGATTAGTGTTGAAGTGCTTTCTAAAGTGGCTATATTTCCTTGATGAAGTTGGTGTTAGAGAAATTCATCCCCACAGTGTACACAGATTGTACCTACATATTATGAAATTAGCAAAAAATTTTTAGTACCTACATGGCACTAGATGTGAGTACTAACAGTGAGCTGCCATCTAGGAGCTTACAGTGTATTTCCAGTGATAAGTTTTACAAACATAAATAAAATTATTAATAGTTGCCATCCATTTTAAACTTTACCTTTGAGATGAATATAGATTCGGATTGTTTGTGGAAAGCTTAATATAATAGCAGCTAATATTTATAGAGTCTTTTTTTGTGCTTTTAATGTATTTAATCTTAACAACAACCCAAGGAGATAACTGTAATTAATTCCATGTAACCTAAGAGGAAATTTAGGTGCAGAGTTTGAGCAACTTGCCTAAAGTCACACAATAAATGACAGAGTCAGGATTTGAATTTGAGTCCCCTGGCTCCTAAGTGCCCAATCTTAATTGTTGTGCTATATATTCATCATTTAATTTCACAGTTGTAGCCGTTATCTAAGAGGTAGCCTTTTTTTTTTTTTCACATAACAGGTAAAAACAACTAAAGGAACTAGGGAGAGTCAGGCATTAGGAAGTTAAGTGTGGAGTTGATTTTTTTAAGCTGGGGCAGTGGTGAGACAGAACATACAGAGGATCATCTTGGCTTCTATACTGATTATTCAATCTGTCTTTGATCTTTTGGTGGGAGAGATTCTTAGTATCCCTGTGTTTTTCACCACCCTTTACAAAGCCATTGAGCAATTTTGGAAGAAGGGGAAAATTTGTGTATTCTGTTTGTCCTGGTTTATTTGCTCAAATGGGGGTTTCTCTACTTCTACAAGAGTTGTTTTAATCTTCACTACTTTTTGAGGGCTTTTACTGTGCGATGTTTCATGTGTATTTCTCAGAACAATCCTACGGTATTTAGTATTTACTTAGCAAGTAGTTGAGGGATTTTGGCTGGCCACTCTGACGTCATTTGAACTAGGCACACATTCAACTACTCTGTCCTCTTTTGTCGAAGATAGTGAGAGTGGAGGGCCTGGAGTAGATACAAGTTGGGAAAGTGACATCCTTCAATAACAAGCTTGTAGGCTGTAAACCACAAAGGATGGCTTATTGAAATGGAATATCACTATTAGTTTCTCATTATCCTGTCAGAAAAGAGAAATTGCAACTAAAGCATAATAAAGGGGGTTTTCGAAGCCACAAACCGCATCTTTGCTCTTCAGATGTATCTTACTTGTTGAATAGTAAGTGAATGAGATTTATGAAATGTTCATAGTAAGATGACTGAGAACAATTGTTTCTCCATTTTTTAGAATCAGTTGCTTCTTTTTCTTTTTTCCTCTCTTTTTCTTTCTTCTTTTCCTCTTCTCTTCTCTTCTTTTTCTTTTTTGACAGAGTCTCACTCTGTTGCCCAGGCTGGAGTGCAGTGGTGGAATTATAGCTCACTGCAGCCTCTACCTCCTGGCTTATGTGGTCTTCCCACCTCCGCCTCCTGAGTAGCTGGGACTACAGGTACCCACCACCATGACCAGCTACGCTTTTTTTTGTTTGTTTGTTTCCCTATTAACAGATGGTCTGTATGCTGTCTTCTGAAAGTAAATACTCATGGCCTACTCTGAAGGAATTAAGATTATTCTTTGAATAATTGACAGCGACTGGTGCTAAAATATATTTTACATTTATGGCCCAGTATATATAAGTTCTGTATATTCAAAGGAAATCAAAACAAGCTTCATAAAACAATTCTTATCTTTATATGTGAATGGTATTGCATTTTCTATACCATTCTATTCTTTTAAAACATGTTGGTCTGACTTATTTTAGGTGGAAAAGATGTACTACATGATAATTAAATTCCAGAATTTATTTGTAATACAATATTGAAGCAACCTGGTCAGATATAATTTAAACTCTTTGCTCATAAAGCTCACACTGAAGAAAGGGTTTACTCTTTGGATTTGTTTATAAGACTTCTTAAGTCTTGCTGAGTTGCCAATATCTATTCCTTGTAGTAATTGCTAAGATTGGAAACATTTGCTTTTTCAAATTTTTGACTGCATAATAAACAGTGGGGAATAATTAAGACTCAAGAAGATACTGAGAAAAGGGCTAAATTTTAGCAGGCATACTAATATATTTGGGTCTATAGTCTCATTTTTTTTCCAGGTAAAAGCATTTATATGGAAAGTACTACATTTGTAAAAGGCTTTTTTTTATTCTTTGATAACTTCTAATGTGTATCTCTTGAGTTTTGCATATGTTGTGAGAACTTGGATAATGATAATAATCAATTTTTACAAACTTCTGTTTGAAATTTAGTTTGATATGGTCAACTTAATTTTTACTCACTTGAAAACTTCCAGTAAAATATACATGAAAACCAAAAACACAGGGCAGCCTTTTGGGGTGTGTGTTCTAAATTGTGGCTTATTTCTGGGGCTTTTTATATTGTTTCAATATACTCTTTCACCTTGCTAATAACTTTATAGATAATTATCCTTGTTTATTGTCTGTTTCTACCTACATCTGCGCCTCTTGACTTCAGTGGCAAAATAATATCACAACAGAAGGTGGTTTGATATTTTGTTTCTAGGTGTCTACATTTTACATGGTAGGCCACACAAGATAGCATCATTCTCATAAAATCATCCATTTTCTTGGTTTTAGCTTTCTGATTAACAGTTTAACTATGAAAGCTGGAATGACTTAAACTCAGGGGTTTTAATCCAGCTTTGCCAGCCATGTCCTTAAGATCCCCTGCATTTTAACCCCACCATCCGCAAACTAGATTAACTATCACTGTTACCGTCTTAGAGCATTGATATGGGATAAATCCTCCAAAGGGCTTTTGAGGGAAATGTTTTATATGTAATAATGTGGGATGAGGAATATGAGGAATTACACTCATTTTAGTCTTGTTACTATAAAGTTATCAAACAGAATATGACAAGTTACACTCAATGCCAACCATACCTATAAATACTTTTTTTCCCATTAGTACACATAATATATTCTCATTGTAGAATATTAGAAAACAATTAGGAATGGAAGACAAGAACATTTCTAATTACAATGCCCAGCTATAAGCACTGTTAATATTTTGGTATGTATTCTTCCAGTATGGTTTTGTTTAGCTACATGCATCCACATCATGAACATACTTTCATATCTTTAATTAGAACTTTTGAGTGTTTGCAAAGTGTTACACTAATGAGCATTTCAGTTTAACTAGTTCCTTATTGTTTGACTCTCGGGATGGTTGCACACTTGTGTTCTGAACATACTTGTAACTGAGTCTTGACATACATTCTAAATCATTTCTTAGGATGATATCAAGTACAGTGTAAAGAGTGGTGAAAAATAACAAAATGGGCACTAGGAGAATTAGATGTAAGTTTTAACTTTGCCTTTAATTGTTGCTGAAACTTTTAAATCACTTTCTTCGCTGGGCTTCATTTCCCTTCCTAGTAACAGAGGTAAAATGGAGTAACCCCTGTAGAGGATTTAATTCTGACTGCAAACCATTTGAGATATTTTATGGATAAGGAAACTAGGACTGAAAAGGACTCTAGTGTCTCTTTCTCTATGTTTGAAGGTTTTATCGCCCCAGTCCCCCACCCCTTGCTTGCTTTTTTTTTTGTGATAGTGCAGAAGGTCCTGAGTGCCTTGTGGTTCTTTAGAGTCATGGTCATAATCATCCATAATCATTGATTATTGATTAATGGTGTCTGAAGCTGATTCTATTTTGACTTAAGGAGACCCTTTTATGGACAAAATATCACTTAATACCTTATTAACTTTAACTGTTTCCTTCAAAATCAGGAGTCCCAGCAACTGATGACTAGATAAACCAAATGTAGTATATATTCATACAATGGGATATTATTTGGCCACAGAAAGGAATGAAGTGCTGATGCATGCTACAACACGGTGAATCTAGCAAACTACGCTATGTCAAAGAAGCCAGTCACAAAAGATTACATATTACATGATTCCATTTATGTGAAATGTCCATAACAGGCAAAACTATATAGAGGGAAAGTAGATTAGTGGTTGCCTAGGGCTAGAGACCCTGTGAGGATTGGAGTGGTTGATAGCTGAAGGGTTCAAGGTTTCTCACTGAAGCGATGAAAATGTTCTAAAATTGGTGGTGATGGTTGCATAACTCTGTGAATATACTAAAAACTGTCGAATTGTGTGCATTACATGGGTGAATCATATGCTATAGGGATAACTCAATAAAGCTGTTGTCCCCCCAAAACAAAAAATAATCCCCAAATAATCACACTGCAAATGATTCTGAAAACCTTTTGTTTCAAGTTTCTAGATGTTTGGATTATAACTAAATGGAAACTGGTCATATTAAACTCCTTATGTGTTGTTAGTTTGTTTCCTGAAAATCTTAGTTTAAATCCCAATGTATGAGGATGACTGAATTCTATTTTCGTTTGGAGTTTCCTTTGGGGACTTTTACTAAGATACTTGCTAATTGCAACAATTTATGATCTCTCTTTCTCGTTTCTCAGTGTTTCTGAAGTGCTTTGTAGAATAATCGGATTTTGGTATCTTCAGTGGCAGGCTCAGTGAGTTTTTTTCTTTTCTTTTTTTTTTCCCCCCCAAGACAGAGTCTCGCTCTGTCGCCCAGGCTGGGGTGCAGTGGTGTGATCTTGGCTCACTGCAACTTCCGCTTCCTGGGTTCAAGTGATTCTCCTGCCCCAGCCTCCCAGGTAGCTGGGATTACAGGCGCCTGCCAACATGCCTGGCTAATTTTTGTGTTTTTAGTAGAGATGGAGTTTCACCATGTTGGCCAGCCTGGTCTCGAACTCCTGACCTCAGGTGATCTGCCCACCTTGGCCTCCCAAAGTTGCTGGGATTACAGATGTGAGCCACTGTGCCCGACTGCAGTAGGCTGAGTTTTCTACTTGGTGTCTGGCACCTGCTAGACAATACTCTACATGAATATTTTTTGCTATAGCAGACCCCAAATAACTTAGAGTTAATTTGATTTTTTTGTTGTTGGTGGTGGTGTTTATATTGGAATTCATGGCACTGAGTTTTGTTTTATTTGCCTGAGTGTATTCTTGAGTTGCTCATGAGGTAGTTGCCTGAGAGCCTCAGATACTCCTCTATTGGGACACTTCTTCTCTTAGATATATTAATTACAGACAAGTGAGTTGAGCCAGAGAAAGCAGAAGTAGGGTTAAGAATTGAGTGTCTTGGAAATCCAGACTACATTTGGTCATTTTCAATGAAATTTTCACATCCTTTAGGAGTTTCACATCCGTTAGGAGGTTTGTGTGTTTTTTTTTTTTTTTTTTTTTTTTTTTTTTTACCAGATCCTTAGATATTAAGGTTAAAATTTAATCAACAAATTTTGTTTTTTATTTACAGAGACCTATAGGATACACATGGAGTTATTAAACCTAAGGGGTGAATGAAAAGAAAAATGTTGGCAGTTCTATCTTAAGTCTTTATTGCCTGCCTTTGCATGTTGTCATGATATTAGCCAGAGAACCAGGCTTTTAAACCCAAACATTAGTAAACCGTAAAACATATCTTGAGACAATCTAGTGCAACAAGAGCAAATTTGGCAGAATTTCTGAAGCGATTCCATGACCAGTATTTCCAATACATTAATCTATTTAGATATGCTTTGGGTACTTTTCCTGGCAAAATGGTAAATTGTGCAACTGGCGATTAACTCAGATCTTGGAATTAGCCTGTGACTTTGATCTTACATAAATAAGTTTCCTCAGTAAAGTTTTTGTTTAGTATCTGAAATCCAGCTTTTTTCAAGAGAGCTTTTAGCTGGACTATCTTCTGTATTGATACTGAGAATTCAGAATTCTCTCTCATGAGTGAAATTTGTTAATAAGTTCTTGAGAGATTGAGAGGTCCTGTCCTTCTGTCTAGAACACCCCTCCTGCAAACCCTAAATAATGCCTTAGTTAAGCTGAAGATTCGGAAAATTGAGATATAACATGAAGTAAAAGTATTTTTGAAGTCTTTTCAATCCACCTATGTATTGCACACCTGTGTGCCCAGCACATAATATATGATTATCCATTTAGTGACAATGTATTGGGTGACCATGGTGTGCTGGGTACTGTATTAGAGTATAAAGAGATGAAAAGACAATGTCTTTATGTAGTTAATGCTATAATAGGAATATGTATTAAATGGGAGCCTAGAGGTGATACATGCTCTTTGGAGGCAGAGATTGACGAGGAATTAGAAAAGGAACTTAAGGAGAGTTGACTTGAATTGGAGAGTGGAAGATGAATGTAATGGCTTGGAATTGAGGAGAGGTGGGGAGCAGTTTTGGGAGGAAGTCATTCTAGGGAAAGGCACGGTGGTATGGTGTGTTTTGAAAGACTGCATATAGTTGCTATGGCTAGAAGAACATAGTCTCTGTGGATATGGCAAGAGAAGTTGTGGTCAAACTTATGTTTTAGAAATGTTATTTAGGAGTAATGCTGGGATGGCTTAGAGTGGACAAAGACAGCCCAATCAAAAGTCTCCTGCCATGACCGGGCGTGGTGGCTCATGTCTGTAATCCTAGCACTTTTGGAGGCTGAGGTGGGAGGATCACCTGAGGTCAGGAGTTCGACACCAGCTTGGCCAACATGGTGAAACCCCATCTCTACAACAAATACAAAAAATTAGCTGGGTGTGGTGGTGGACGCCTATAATCCCAGCTATTAGGGAGGCTGAGGCAGGAGAATCGCTTGAACCCGGGAGGCGGAGGTTGCAGTGAGCCGAGATCACGCCACTGCACTCCAGCCTGGGCGACAGAGCAAAACTCTGTCTCAAAACAACAACAAAGTCTCCTGCCATAATCAGACAGTCAGCAGCTATGAGAATAGATAAGATAGGTGTCTGGAAGAATGAAGAAAGGGAGACCGAGAATTGGTGCCTCAAAAGAAAGGACAGGACTTGGATTCAAATTGATCCTTGTTTGCATCAGGGACTCCTGAGATTCTTATGAAAACCATAGCCAAGTGCATATACGTATACCCATGTAAAAATTAACATGTAGTAGCAGAAACCCATTCACAGGCTTTCAGAAGTCATGGATCCCAGGTTTAGAGCCCTTGATCTGTAGAATGATGGAGAGAAAAGAGTCAGTAACCTCCATGTTTACTAGAGCCCAGAAATTTGGAAGATTACTGGTGCAGCCGACAGATTGGGCCAGTTGGGTCATAGCAGGCAAGATGAATACAATTTTGGATGTATTGAGATTTCCCCATAAGAATGAGAACAGTGAATTGAACAATGAGAACACGTGGACACAGGAAGGGGAACATCACACACCGGGGACTGTTGTGGGGTGGGGGGAGGGGGGAGGGATAGCATCAGGAGATATACCTAATGCTAAATGACGAGTTAATGGGTGCAGCACAGCAACATGGCACATGTATACATATGTAACAAACCTGCACGTTGTGCACATGAACCCTAAAACTTAAAGTATAATAATAATAAAAAAATAAATAAAATTTAAAATGTTTGCCAACAACAACAACAAAAAGAATGAGAACAGTGCATTTGCCTCTGCTGAAGTGCTTATTGAACACCTGTGCTAAAGAGCTCCTGATGCTGGATTAATTATAATAACATACACTTGACCAGATGCAGGGTCTAGATAAGCAAAAATAAATATTAATCCTACTAGAGCTGTAGCTTGAAATGTAGTGTACCCTGGTTTAAAATGCTGTAAATGGCCAGGCACAGTGGCTCACGTCTGAAATCCCCGTACTTTGGGAGGCCGAGGTGGGTGGATGGCTTGAGCCCAGGAGTACAAGACCAGCCTGGGCAACACGGTGAAACCCCATCTCTAGAACAAATACAAAAATTAGCCAGGCTTGGTGGTGTGTACCTGTAGTCTCAGCTACTCAGGGTAGGGGGCTGAAGTGGAGGATTGCTTGAGCCTCGGAGGTTGAGGCCTTCATCTGAAGGATGGAGGTGAGCCTTGATTGCACCACTGTATTCCAGCCAGGGCAGCAGAGTGAGACCCTGTCTCAATAAATAAATTAAATTAAATGCTCTGAGCAATGGTTTTATTTTGCTTCTTTAGTTTAGGAGGCTACCCTGTTATTGTGTGTGTGTGTGTTTGTTTTTTTTTTTTTTCCCAGATGGGGTCTTGCTCTGTCTCACAGGCTGGAATGCAGTAGTGTGATCCCGGCTCACTGCAACCTCCGCCTCCTGGGTTCAAGCAATTCTCCTACCTTAGCCTCTCGAGTAGCTGGGATTACAGGTGCCTGCTGCCACTCCCAGCTAATTTTTGTATTTGTGGTAAAGATGGGGTTTCACCATGTTGACCAGGCTGGTCTTGAACTCCTGACCTCAAGTGATCCGCCCACCTTAGCCTTCCAAAGTGCACATTTAGTAGGCATTGACAGTGTTAATCTTTGAGTGGAAATAGCTGGAGAATACTCCGAATAAGGCTGAAAAAATGTGGGATTATCACATTTAAGAGGGCCCTGTTTCTATATACTTAATGCTTTTGCACTGAAATGTTTGATATTTTAGTTGACAGCGTTCTTAAGCAATAATTTTGGCATCAGAGAAGTCACTTAGATAATTTCTTGGATCCCCATGAGCACTGGTAATTTGTAGAACAGGTTGAAAGGGGATTGTGAAAATAGTCAGTCTTAGGTGTGTGAGGTCATCTTGTCTCGCTTCCTCTCCACCAGGTTAAAACCACACCTCAGGGCTCCAGGAAGCTGACTGAGCACGTAGTCCAAAGAAATTTTGCATTCTGGTATTTTTCAGTGTTTTCTTGTGATTTTCATCTTTAAGCTAATTTGTTGAGAAGGGCTTATAGGATTTGCTCTCTTTGGGCAAGCTTCCTCATCAGTATCAATGGCTGTAGTCATGCAGTCCTGTTGTGACCATGTTCAACTGAATTGACAACTAATATGTATCACGCCACACCACTCTGCGGTTTTGCCCTTTGTAAATGTTGGCTTCATCTGGGAAATTGTTAGAAATGAAGATTCTTGGTTCGTGTTCTTGACCTACTGAGCCAGTCTACGTATTAACAAGATCTCACACGTGACTCACGTGTGCATTAAAATCTGAGACTTACTGGACTAGCTCAGGAACATGGCCTCTCAGAGCCCTTTTGCTGAAGTTCAAGGCTTTTTCTGTTTATTTTCTCCTCAGAAGTGATGAGAAACATCTGGTCACCATCTTTCATGCAGTATACATTTTCATGGAATTAAAGATAATGATTTAGGTGCCTCTAAGCTGTCTCTTCTTCAAGCTTAATAACTGAAGTTTGTGTGATCTCTTTCTTCATAGAGAAGATGATCTTTTAGCCTTTCATCCTTTATTGCCTTTGGTCTCTGTTTCCTAGATAAGTTTTTAAAAAACGTCATTTCTGAAATGGGCAGAATACTCTTATCAGAGTGTGGTTGCTACTAAATAAGCAAAATAACTTAACCCATGTATTTTTTAAGATCTAGGGGCATTTGGCTAAATTTTTTGTTTTATTTTAAAAGTTTTTTTTTTTAAGCAGTAAAAATAGCAACTAATTCTTCCTTGAGGGAACTTCAAACCCAAAAAGTACCTCCTCTCTTTTCTGAAGGATGGAATAAGTTGACCAATGGTCTTTGGCATTCTTTTGGGTTGGTACTTCAGGCTAATTTTACAATAGAGGAAGGAATGATGGAAAGAGGGAAAGAAGTAAAGAGAGAAAGGAAAGAAGGAGGGAGAGAAAGGGGGAGCGAAGGGAACCAGATTAATAATTCAAAGCAGAAGAGACTATTAAAAGTCACTCAGGTGGGAAATGAGAGGTTTATTTTTGGTGACTGCTTTACAAATGTTTTGGTTTTGGGATGTGAAGGAGAATTCTTTGAACTATTAACATTTTTTTCCTCCTGACTTTTGAAGGTCAGACTTTTATCCACCTTTTGCTTATAGGAATAGTTCAATTTTGCATGGAATTACATTTGTGGTTTTTTGTGTGTGTGTTTTTTAAGGCATCAGGGTTATATCTGAATCATCATCTTTTGCATGTTTTTAGTCTGGACATCTTTTAATTCAGTGCAAGTTGTAGCTCTGAATGAGATGCTCCTTAGTTTTCTGCAATAAAGCATCCACCTGAGAAAGGGAGAGTAGTCTGAGTGTAGGATCTTCTAAAGTGATTCTTAAAATCATACTTCCCACTTTGTTTTAAAGGAAGAATGTTTGTGCAGTGTCAAAACATTAAAAGAACTGGAGAAACCTTGGCATATTCAGCATTCGCTGTATCATCTTGTCACAGCAGGAGGAGACAATAGTGGCTAATTCACTAATTGCTTCCTATCACATTTACACAAGGTTGTAGGGTCAGCATTACCTTGCTGGGTTGTAATTTAATGAGCCCAAAAGGTTTCTTTATCTTAAATCCAGATTAGTCACATGGCTGATTGGCAAATAAAACTTGGGCAAGTGCTTGCTACGCAGTTAAATTACAGTCTATTGACCTTAAGTATGGCTTTCATTAAACAGTAATGTACTTGCTTGATGCCCTGCCTTTGGTATTTCATTTTATTGAGTTTGCCTGAATCCCTGCTAATCCTCAAAATTTGTGGGTCTGGTAAGGCTGTTGGCTGAATGAAGAGGGTAGAGGTTTATTGGTGCACTTACTGCGTGCCGATTGTCTAGGCCACTGACACATGCAACTTAGCCTCTGTGGCTGGACATGTACATAGTTAACAGTAAAGCATTTCTCTCTTTCCCTAGACAGGACCATGGGGTCTGAGTTAGTGTGAAAGAATGCAAGGATGTGGAAATTTGAACCTCAGGGTTGTTCTTACTGCTGCTGTGTTTCCCGGAAAACAGCCATTGACTTTTCTTCTTTCTTTTTAACATGGGGAAGGCATTTATAGCATAATGGAGTATTGTTTGATTATTTATATGCATTTCCTTGGGTCTTTTTGCTTTTAGAGTTTTGTTGATTTGTTCTTTGCTGTGTATTGTGGGGAATAGGGTATGTGTATTTGCTGTGTATTGTGTGGGGAATAGGGTATGAAGCCTATAGGGAAGAAGGGTGGATGGAGAGGCACTAAAAGTACAGGGATTTGACTTATTTTAACAAGAAAAAATTCTGATGACTAAAGATAATTTGTGAACATGTAGTTATGGCTTCATACCTTTTGTCTTAGTTCAGGCTGGTATAACAAATTAGTGTAGATGAAGTGGCTTGAACAACAAACTTTGATTTCTCACGGTTCTGGAGGTTGTAAGTTCAAGATCAGGGTGCCACCCAGTATGGTTGGGCTCTGGTGAGTGGCTTATTCTGGGTTGTGTGCTGCTGATTTCTTGTATCCTCACATGGCAGAAAGAGAACTAGGAAGCTCCCCGGGGTCTCTTTTTATAAGGGCACTAATCCCATTCATGAAGACTCTGCTGTCATGACCTGTTTCCTCCCAAAGGCCCCACCTTTTAATACCATCAAGTTGGGGGCTAGGATTTCAACACATGAATTTGACAGTGGGACACAAAAATTCAGTCCATGCATCCCTTCAAATAATATGAGCTTTTATTACCATTAGGAGGACTACATTGATTGAGTTGATTGGAAGTAGATTTTCAGAAATGACTTCCAGTTATCTATTGATACTATAAACAAGGTGGTATTTCATTAATGATAGGACCTGTGTTGGTCCCTTAGGAATGATGCATTCTTTGCAGAGAAGAGTTGATCAAGGTGAGTCCTGTTACTTGAACCTTTGTGAAGGACAAAGTAAAGAATCATCCCAAAACAGGAAATGCCACACTTTTATTTCCTGAGGATTGAGTTCATCAGGAAAGATATAATAGTTATCTCTTGTTGTGTAAACAATAACAAACTACTGCAAAGCTAGAGGCTTAAAACTATGGTAAATATTTATTATCTCCCAGTGTCTATGGGTCAGGAATTTGGGTGGTTCTGCCTTAGGGCCTCTCACGAGGTCGCAATCATATGATGGCTTGACCGGGCCACGGGGATTTACTTCAGAGGTGTCTCGCTGATGTAGTTGGTAAGTTGCTGTTGCCTAATGATGTGAAGCCTAAGTTGGTAAGTTGCTGTTGCCTAATGATATAAAGCCTAAGTGCCACTCCATAAAGGAGTTTCTACAGACTGCATGTTAACACAGCATGGCATCTGGGAGCAATCTGAGAGACAGCAAGATGGAAACTGCAGTGGATTTTATTCCCTAGCTTAGGAAGTTCTTTACCATCACTTTCCAATATTCTGCTGATAACACAAGTCAGCCCTATTTATCATGGGGGGACTGGACAAGGGCATTAATATCAATTGGCTAGGATCATTGGAGGCTGGTTGTACCACAAAGGACACTTGATTGGCTTTTTATCTCAGTTGCTTTCTCTAATGTTGTCAGTGCTATGGTTTGAATATTTGTTCCTTCCAAAACTCATGTCGAAATGTAATCCCTGCTGGGCGCGGTGGCTCATGCCTGTAATCCCAGTACTTTGGGAGGCTGAGGCGGGCGGATCATGAGTTCAGGAGATTGAAACCATCCTGGCCAACATGGTGAATCCCTATCTCTACTAAAAGTACAAAAATTAGCTGGGCGTGGTGCCATGTGCCTGTAGTCCCAGCTACTTGGGAAGCTGAGGCAGGAGAATCGCTTGAACCTGGGAGGCAGAGGTTGCAGTGAGCAGAGATTGCGCCACTGCACTCCAGCCTGGGTGACAGAGTGAGACTCTGTCTCAAAAAAAAAAAAAAAAAAAAAGAAAGAAATGTAATCCCTAATGTGGTGGTATTGATAAGTGGGGTCCTGAGGGTTTTGCCTTCATGCATGAATTGATCCATTCATGAATTAATGGGTTATCATGGGAGTGAGACTGGTGGTTTTCTAGGAAGAGGAAGAGAGACATGAGCTAGCAGACTTAGCCCCCTCACCTTGCGATGGCCTGTACCACCTCAGGACTCTGTAGAAAGTCCCCACCAGCAAGAAAGCCCTCACCAGATGTGGGCCCTCCACCTTGAACTTCCCAGCCTCCATAACTACAAGAAATAAATTCCCTTTCTTTATAAATTACCCAGTTTCAGATATCTTATTATGAGCAACAGAAAATAAATGGAGCCAGGTGACACTACAGCTTCTTTAAGCTCACATGTCGGGTGTAGTATATGGAAGATAAGAGTCCTCAATTTGGTGGGGAGAAATCATACATCTCAGGGTAAGGATTTTTCCGTTGCTAATAAAGGTATTTTAGTCGATATAAATACAAGTACTATTTGGCATGCATTATTAGCCTGTTACCTTTGTTGAGCACTAAGAGTACTCTGTAGGTAGGTAAATTATAGTTAGAGGTCCATCTAAGGAGAGTCTAATTTAGCATTTGTGTCAGATTTATGTTTCCTAATGTGTTGATTATATGGAAGGTTCTTTTGGAAATTTGGTTAGTTGCCTGCCTTCAGATAGCTACATAAATTGCACAGCATGCACCATAGGTGCATTCTTTATATGGTTCATGGGAGGATTTGGTTTATTTTTAGAGTTTGACATAGGGTTCTTTGGGAGAAAGTTTGTTACTGCATCTGGGAAAAGATCCTCTTGGTGATGCATCTTCATCTCACCCATTTATTCTTGGGATGCTTTCTGTGTGTTAATGGAGGGTTTTCACTGCATTGTGCTCATGAAGGGCCTTGAACTCCCCCTTTGTGCTTTAACCTTGGCAGGGTCTGTATGGCTGACCTTGCACTTCTGAGAACTTCTCTGCAGTTCCCTTTGGGCGGCCTGAACATTGGCTGTTTAATACCAATTAAAAGCAAGGGCTGTTCCTCTCAGTGGATTGCTATTAATTACAGCCCGTGTTCCAGTAATCTGAGACAGAGCAGCTTCCTCTGGTTTCATTGAAGGCTACTTTAGCTCTCTGTTTTGGTTGGCTGATAAAAATCTGAGAGGCACATACTGATTTGGAATAGGAAGAGTATTCTGACCCCAAGAAGAGGTATCTGGGAGTTGGAAGATGAGTGCTCTGTTCTTATCGTGTCTTTGGGTTAGGTGGGGCATATAAGGGAACATGGTGAAATCAAACAGTCCTGGACCCATGTCAGAGATCAGGGTTCTAGTTCCAGCCTTAACACTAACAGGTTGTGTAACTTGGAACTAATCATTTCATCTCTTCCTATACCAGTTTACTGGGTTTAAACAAAGTTATCTTGATTGTCCCTTCTGTGTCTAAAATTTTGCTAAAAATTGGTTACTGTTCTTATAAATGATATGAAATATTATGAGACTATTCAAGGTTAATTCTTTAACTTGAGATTTTAAGAATCAGTTTTTTAAAATAAGTTTTTTTGGGCATTTAATGGTATGGGTGAAGTCTGGTGGTCCCTGATGATTGGTTTAGTTACTGGGATATTTTCTCCATGAACAGTTGGGGGGAGTTTTAGTTTGTGCCAGAATGTAGATAGAAGGGTATATTTGGGTTTGGTGTTTCTGAAGCACTTTAGTTCAATGAGATTTTGAAGGAAATCCCTGGATAGAGATTATAGTCATCCCTTGGGTTCTGGGGGATTGGTCTCAGGACCTCCTGTGGATACCAAAATCCATGGGTGTTCAAGTCTCTGATATAAAGTGGCATATTGTTTGCATCTGACCCATGCACATCCGCCCTTATACTTTAAATCACCTATAGATTATCTATAATTCCTAACGCAATGTCTACACATCACTTCATTCTTGTGGATTCAACGTAGTACTTGGCATGTGGCAAATTCAAGTTTTGGTTTCTGGAACCTTGTGGAAATTTTTTTTTTTTCCTGAATATTTTGTATCCCTGCTTTGTTGAATCCGCAGATGTGGAACCCATGGATACAGAAGGCTGACTGTATTTTTTTTTTTAAACTCTCAGAAATCTGGGATGTAAGAGTTCAACTCGATTCATGAAGCATAATTTATTACTATTTTTTTTTTGCACTAGAAATCAGAACACATTAATGGTTGAAGGTTTTTTGGCTTTGAGAAGAGGCTAGGAGGTGTTCTTTGCATACAAAACAGTAGATTTTCCTGTATGTTGTGATTGGTTATATGGGCAGAGGAAAAGAATATTTGAAACTATGGTTGATCTGTGTAATTCTAGGCATATGGAGGCTTTGCCTTTAGGTACTTTTCGCCTTCAGACTGCTCTTAAGGGTAGGAAACATCTCAGTTATGTATGTAATAATCATTAAATGAATGTTCCCAAATGAATAAAGAGACTTAATAACAGGTGTAGCGTTAAAAGAGAGGCTGCAAAGGGGAATCCTTCACCCTAAATTCCAAATTCCAAAGTGGAAGAATAACCACTCTGGGGTGGGAGTGTTATTTTCTCAAGTGCTAAAAGGGAGATATGAACTATCCTGCTTGGCCTGTGGGAGAGGGTCATGGTTATTAGGGTTGGGTAATATTTTTGTTACAAATGTGTAGAAGAATGTCATTAATTGTGGCCTTTAGCACGCAGATTTTCTTGATCAGATAATACCTTGACAACTCCAGACAAGTGACTGCTAATCTTGTGTCAGTTGTAAATATGTGTTTGGAAGGTGATATTGAACCAGTGGGTTATTTCAGTCAAGATGTTTGAAAAAGAGGTATACATCAAATGAAAATGACGCGGATTATGGAAAAGTCTTAATTTTAATGGCTTAAAAAAATTCTGCATTAAACCCGAAAAACTAGAGACATAGACCAGCTGGGAGGTACTATGAGAAACTGCTTTACAAATGATTTTCTGTGGAACCCTGTCACCAGCATTTAGTGAAACATGCTTTCCATTTGAATATGCATTTAGATGAGGCCAACTGGCTGCTAGATCATCGTCTAATGGGCCTGTGATCCCACATGAAGATTATTTTCCCTTTGGTCCTAGAACCACTCTCCATCCTGCTCACCCTTATAGACTATATGAGAGGGTCCCTAGGTCTCACTTTCAGGTGGGCTCAGCCAGTGGAAATCAGAGAGGTGTGAGTTCGTGGTATGTATTTTGTCCCTGCTCCCTGCTAGGCTGTCCTGATGCATTTAGACTGAGGTGGTCACTGCTTTTCACTGGTGCTATTGAACTGGAACTATAGTTTCCCATTGGTGAGATGTTGTTACTACAGTTTTTCACATACATGTATATTTCACATACATATATTTTAATTTTTTACATTTATTGTTTCTCCAGTGAGTTAAAGCCTTAGAGGATTGAGTTTACTTTTAGCACCTAAGAATACTACTACCTTTTCATGGAGGAAGATCATTGAAACTGTAAGAGTTTGCAGTTACAGAAGCAGTATCCTCTCTGGAGCACTGAACAGGTGTTGGGGGCCAGAGGATTCAAGCCCTGTCCACCATTCCCTGCTGAGCACCTTCTCTACCAGCAGTAGCTCTTCAGCCTCTGAAGGCATGGCGGAGGCCTGGAGTAGGGCCCTGCCAACCTTGAATGCTCATGCCTGGTAGGTTATGAGGATTAAGTTACATAAGATTGTATGTGCTTAAAATAGGAGTTGGCATAGAACAAGTACTCCTTGATTTTGATCTGGTCTAATTCATTCATATTTAGGATGAAAAAATGGTAGCAATGTTAAGTTTAATTCAGATGACAAGACTTACTAAAAGGTCTTTCTGATACCTCATCTATACATATAGTATTCTACTCTGTGTAGATCATCTAAAATTTCTATAAGTTGGAGATGATCTTGGCTTTTCTGTTTTAAGATTACAATGAAAGACAGTGAAATCTGCAGCTGAATTTAGGGAAGACTCCTTGAAAACATCATCAGTTGGCTTTCTCATTTGGAATACAAATGGACAGTTGTATCCTCCTGCCATTGCTTTGTTATGATTATCTAGGAGTTTTCTTATTTTTTTAAAATGTGACTTTATAGACATTTCAAGTACTATAACATTTAGCCATTGAAGCTCTCTCTCTCTCTCTCTCTCTCTCTCTATATATATATATATATATAATTATTATTATTTTTTGAGACAGTCTTGCTTAGTCCTCCAGGCTGTAGTGCAGTGATGTGATCTCTGCTCACCCCAACCTCTGCTTCCCAGGTTCAAGCGATTCTCGTGCCTCAGCCTCCCAAGTAGCTGGGATTACAGGCATGTACCACCACGCCCAGCTAAGTTTTGTATTTTTAGTAGAGACGGGGTTTCACCATGTTGGCCAGGCTGGCCTTGAACTCCTGGCCTCAAGTGATCCAACCCCCCTTGACCTCCCAAAGTGCTGGGATTACAGGCATGAGCCACTGTGTCCAGCCACTATAATTGATTTTTAGTAAATTCTGTGGAATATACAGCATTTTATTTTTCGATTCATCAGTTGGTGGACGTTTAAATTGCTTCTACTTTCTGGCTATTATGAATAATGCTGCTGTGAGCATTCTTATACACGTTTTTGTGTGGACATATGTTTTCTTAGGAGCTACTCTTACTTTGTTGCTAGCTGAGGCTTCTAGGACTGGGATCCTTCGAACACTGCATGTACCTATAATACTCTTGGAGGAGAGGAGGATTCCTCTGAAGTCAGAAATATCCTCCCTGGAGAATTCTGCAAGGAGTTGGATGGACTCATTGGGGCCGAGGAAGGAGCTTTGAGCCAGGGATGTCTCAGGAATGTGAGAGTTGAAGCACAGCTGTGCAGTGTGGCCTTGGGCAACTTGCCAGCTGCCTTACCTGTAGGGAAAGGGTGATGTTACTACTGAAAATTGTGACCTCCTCCAGACACCAGTGGTGAGGATTAATTAGTAAATGTTGGCTGTGCTAAGCTTTTCCTTTGGCTCTTCTTTATTCTCAGAGGCAGCCCTGCTTTTTAGGGCTGAAGGTAGTAAGATCTGTAAGAAAAAGCCAGAGAAACCCACCTTGTCATTGCTTTCTTGGGAATTAAGGGTTATCTTGTGTTTGGTTAGGACACCAGTTAGTTTCCAGCATTCTCAGTGGAGGTAATCAGATCTTGGAAACTTTGAGGGCATGTGATCAAGCAAACAACAAAACTCTGAGGATTAGAGGACTGATAGAGACCCTGTGAAGGGTTCACCTGGAAGGAGGCAGTATGGTGGTGTGGAAACAACCTGCTTTGTGGAGTCACATAGATCTGGGATGGAAGCCTGGTTTTACCAATCTCTCTCGAGTTACTGAATAGGAATAGTGATGACCACTTGTCAGAATTGTGGCAGGGATGAAATATGACAGCAATTGTAAAGAACCTGTCACAGTGGCTGACATACTGTAGATTATTTGTGATTATTCATTTCCTTTTTCATCTGGTTCATTGCTGAACTTCTAGGCAAACTGCCATCTTACAGAGAGACTGGGATGGAGGGCAAGCCTCCCTTGTAACTGTTGGTATCTATTTGATTTTGGACAAGACTTCCCTTTCCTTCACTAGATCTTGAAAGTTTTTTAGTGTCAAAATTCTCAGATAAGCATCTCATCTTATTTTTAGACATGTAGGAGTTAGTCTATCCTCTTTTAAAGAGTTCTTGTTGAAAGTTAATGCATTTATTTTTTATCTTCTATAGTTTCCTGTTCAATATGGTAGCAACCAGTCATATGTAGCTATTGAAACGTAAATTAAATGTAAATAAAAAATTCAGTTTCTCAGTTGCTCTAGCTACATTACAGGTACACAAGAGCTACATGTGGCTAGTAGCTACTCCATTGGACAGTATATAGGATAGAACATGTATGTCATCACAGAAAGTTCCATTGTACAGTACTGCTCTATGGAATAAGACTCTAAAAAGTGGGAGTTTCAGTAGAAGCTTATTCTTGCATTTGTATGAATCTGTCTGTGGCTAGAACTCTGGCATCCCATTACTTGGGATTGCTAAAATAATCATACTTGCAGTAATGACCCACTGAGGCCCTTGTTTCTCAAGTAGTCTTAAAGTTTTGAACTTAAAGATAAAAGATGGGCTGGGTGTGGTGGCTTACGCCTGTAATCCCAGCACTTTGGGAGGCTGAGGTAGGCAAATCGCTTGAACCCGGAAGTTCAAGACCACCCTGCCTCTACTAAGAACACAAAAATTAGCCAGGCATGGTGGCACATGCCTGTAGTCCCAGCTACTAGGGAGGCTGAGGTGGTAGGATTGCTTGAACCCGGGAGGTGGAGGTTGCAGTGAGCCAAGATTGCACCACTGCACTCCAGCCTAGGTGACAGAGTGAGACCCTGTCTTGAAAAAAAAAAAAAAAAAAAGTTAAAATATAAATTCAGCCTGTGTTTACTCTGCAAACAATCTCACCAGCTCTCCAGACCTCTACCAAGTCATAGGGACTGCCTTGCTTTGAGGTGAAAGTTTATATGCAAGTATCTTTTTAAGTAGGACCATTTAGAAAGAATATGTTTGAATTGAGTTTGCTCTAAGTAATGTTTAACACTTTAATATCCTTTTCTATTTATGGGAATATAAGCTAACAGCATTTATACTTTATTTTCAGAATACCAGTGGTTTTCTTAGCTCTGGAAGAACTATATCTTTAGATCCCAATGTAGACTTAAATTAAATAAATCCGTTTGGCTGGCTTCATCTGGATACAAATGACTACATATTTGTAATAGGTACTTGATTTCATGTTTAACTTACTTTTCTGTTTTTCCTCTGTATTTTGTTTTCAGAGCATTGAGTTAGCAATCAGAAGAACTAATGTTTATTCTCTTCCAAATCCCCTTCTTGCTTTCTTACTTATTAAGCATTGTCTGTGTGATTTGCTTAGGATACAAAAAATGATCACAATGTGGTTTTGGCTTAGGAGGGGCTCATGTGAAGTGGTCCATGACCTGTCTGCCTTATTGCTTTGTTGATGGGTTTGATAGAAGGTTAAGTGTGAAATGCTGTGTAGACAGCTCATTGTTACACAACATCTGTATTATTAGCATCCTTTTTAATGAGATAGATGGAGGTGTGGGCTATGAATGAGATTCTTCATGGCGTGAGTTTTCTGGCGGGATTTTTTAAGAGTGAGAAGAGGTGTGCCTTGAAGCAGGTAAGTAGGAGAACCTACTCCAGATATTGAGAGGGATGGCTAGAGAAGGACTGAATAGACCAGCTGCAAAAAAAAAAAAAAAAAAAAAAAAAAGCCAGGGCAGAGGAAGGAGGTGAATGCCAGGTATCTTTCTGATGACTGTACTGTGTATTTTCTAATATTCTTTGAAAACTTTGAGATCAGCAGAGATGCTGAGCCCTGCTGATGAGGAAGGGAGATTTGTTTAGAGACCGCTAATGATACTTTAAAGGTGCGTGCAGTGTGTCTGTGTACTAGGCAGGTGCCATTTAAGTCAGAAGCCACTTTCCTGCTTTAGGACAGGTGCTGGGATGTGGAAGCTAGGGATGCAAAGTTACAGCTCTGTGTTGGTTTATTGGCCACCTCATCATGAGTGCTTCTACTTCGTTAGTGACCTCTGATATGACTGCTGGATAGTCTTCTTGCAGTAACTTCCTTTAAAACTACGGTGGTTTGTGGTGAATAAAATTTATTTTCAAATTGTATTATTGCTTTTAACTGGTCTCAGAGATCTGGGCTGCCTTGATATAGGCCAGTGTTTAACTAAGCAAAGTGTTATGTCAGAATGTGGTTACTATTCCATTATTTCTTCATCCTTCAATTTTGCTTTAATTTGATCTTAAATTTGCAAGTACCTAATGTTTTTAAGAGTGTTATATATATCATTTTTCCCTAATTTTAAAACCTAAATACTTTAACAAGCTGCTCAACATGAAGAAGGGAATGGTTTGAATCAGTTTATGAAAGAATACTCTGTTCCCAGGTTGGGTGGGTGCCCTGTCAATAGCTTTATTATGTATGGCAAACACAATGCTAAGAAAACTTATTAGAAACTGAAGTCTTAAATGCTTGGGAGATTATAATGTGTTCCGACTTCAAAATTTTAAGTTAACTTCCGCTACCAGTTTCTATGAGACTGATTTCTGTAGTCTGCTTTCTGTAGTCATAGAAAATAGTAGTGAAAGCTATAGAAAGCTGTAGAAATGGAGAGGTGGGTGAGAATTTATTAAGGTGCCTTCAAACATATAAACTAGAAATAGATTCAGTTATATCAAAGATAGGCCTAGATGTGGACGGAATAGTGAATAGTTTCTGGGGCTACTCTTTCAACATGGATCTATCTGGTTAATTGATACTAGTCATTCTCTACTGCTATTTTTATAGCATTCATCACATTTTAATTTTTGTGGCCATCTCATCCTGGGCTTTGAGCAGCCAAGAATAAGGTTAGTTCATCTTTGTATCTCTTGCATCTAGCATGGTACCTGGCACATAGAAAGCATTCAATAAATACTGTACTGATTGAATGAAACATTTTTTACAAATGTGTTTGAACCAAAGGCAGCCTATTGTTAACCTTGGTGAGCCTTGGAAAGCTTTTTGCTTGTGGTGACGTAGCAACTGAAATATTTTGTAAAAAGTGAAAATACCTTCAAATGATTTATCTCTTTCTGATCTTTATTAAGACAGCAGTGTTGTATCCACACATTCCTAACTGTGTGTAGTCAGTTCTTACAAGTTCTTGCCATGCTTGTGTCCTTAAAATGTTTCACAATTTTGGCACTGAGAAGCCAGAGCGAAGTGAAGGAGTTGCTCATTGTTCTCCATACACTCTGGGTTCTCCCACCTCTGCACCTTGGCTCAGGTTTTCCCCTTTAGCTAGAATGCCCTTTTTCCTTGGCTTTGGCTGTCTCCTAATGGATTACTCGCTGTACCTACCCTTCTAGGCTGAGCTCATAGCTAGCATATGTAATCTAACATTTGAATCAGTTGAGAAAACTCTTATTTTCCTGCTCTATACACCCAGTATAGTTGGTTTGCAGGTGTCTGTGGAGTTTGTTTTATACAGTGCCTGTTGGGCTAGAGCTGCATTATAGCTAGTGTCTGTAAGACCGTTCTAGTTTAAGAGCATGCAGGGTGGCGACAGTGAGATGAGACTGGCTGTATCAGTTTATGGCTGTTCAGTTTATGGCAGGTGACTTAAACTGAGCCTTCATTTTCTCATAAGCAAAATGGGAACTTAGTATAACTAAGTAGGAAAATGTATATAATGCCTAGGAATGGCTTTTGCTAGGTGCCTAATAAGTAGAGTTTCCTTTTCTTCTCTTTATTTCAAATGATGTAAAAGAAGCCTTGTTTTGAAACCAAGAGTTGTTAATCTGACCAAATTTCATGAAAGGATATTGATCACAACATATTTGTTATCAGAGTTTGGTAACACCTGACTAATTTTTTGTATTGCTTTGGGATTTATTTAAGCATGTGAGACTGGTATTACCTAAGGTTTTAGTTGACAGAAGATGGATAGCCTGAGAGGTCGAAATTATGAGAGCAAAAGACTTTTGAAAATTTCTGCCATGGCATATTTCATACGTTTCAGCTTGGTGTCCAGGGTTTCCCTGAACAGACGAGTTTGTGACATACGAGCTCATAAATATACTTGCCTGTGCCCTCTTCCAGAAGGGAAAGCCAGATCTCCAGGGATGCTAACTGTTGGGGAGACAATGAGAGGAGCTTCTTGTCTGAATATCTTTGTTCACAGCAGAGATCATATTTGAAGTTCTTCTCTTCATCAAAAAGAGCAGAATGGAAAATGGTTTAATATTCCTGTCGTTAGGGTTTCCGCTCTGTGTGGGGTCATGAGAGTCACAGTCTTTATTCTGAATTCTGAAATGATGGTTTGTTTTACTTTTAAAAATGCATCTCACAGGGAAATAGAGAATTGTTCCTGTGAACTTCCTGCCTGCTGTACTAAACGCAGTTGCTGTGGCAGTTTTTAAAAAGAAATTAAAATGCAGTAATGCTTTAAATGTACTGCTTTAAGAAACTCGATAACTCTTGATTAGTTAGCATAACAAACAGCAAAGCAGAACTTTTTTTTTTTTCTTTTTGAGATAGGATCTCCTCCAGCCCAGGCTGGAGTACAGTAGCACAATCACGGCTCACTGCAGCCAGGCTCAATAGATCTGCCCACCTCAGCCTCCTGAGGAGGCTGGAACTACAAGCAGGCATCATCACACCCAGCTAATTTTTGTATTTTTTGTAGAGATGGGGTTTCACCATGTTGCCCAGGCAGGTCTTGAACTTCTGGGTTCAAGTGATTTGCCCGCCTCAGCCTCCCAAAGTGCTGGGATTACAGGAGTGAGCCACCATGCCTGGCCTAGAATCTTTACATACCGGTTTTAACCATGTTGTTTCACTTTTTGAAGCACTTAATAGGAGGTAAATATACTTTTGAAAGTTACATACTTAATAGAAACACACATTAATGGTACCCAAAGAACCAACTCACTCGTAGATTGTGCTCCATTTTTGTGCGGAAGTTTTTGTGCCAGCCAATTACATTTGCTTCTGTGGTAGATTTCTCTTCATTGGGTCAAAGGAGAGGCGTCATTAAGGAAAGCGCATGTGTCTTTGTTTCCTCTGGGTGTTCTGATGTGAGAGAGCCTGGCTTCTTCAGTAGAAGATTCTGGGAGGTTTTTGATAATCAAGTGTGGGAGGTCTTTTCTAATTTTCAGTGCTTCCTGGTGAGAAAAGCAGATCTCAAGAAGGGCTGAGAGAGGGTCCACTTGCCTCCACAAAGATCCTGATGCTAATAGAGGCTAAAGAGTCACTTTTGGCTTCAACTTTTAACTGCATTCTTAGGGCTCTTAATGTATTATGGACTTGAAATTTGCAATGAGAGTAGATCTCAAGTGGTCTCACCATACACACCCACACCAAGAAAGGAAACGATGTGAGGTGATAGATAATGCTAATTAGCTTGATTGTGGTAATCATTTCACAATATAAACTTATATAAAAAAATCACATACACCTTTATTATATATATAATTCTTGTCAGTCATACCTCAATAAAGCTGGGGAAAAAATAGAAGTGTGTCCATAATATTCAATAAATAATACAGTCATGAGCCACATAACATTTCCATCAAAAACGGACAACAAACTGGTCTCACAAGATTATAATAGAGCTGAGAATTCCTATCATCCAGTGACATTGTAGCTGCCTTAACATAGGGCAATGCATTACCCACGTGTTTGTAGTGATGTTGGTGTAAACAAACCTACTGTGCTGCAAATGGAGAACACATACAATTATGTTCAGTATATAATACTTGATAATGATCATAAACGACTAAGTTACTGGCTTAAAAAAATAGGAGTGTGGTGAGGGAGAGACCAACAAATAGGGCAGAGAGAGAGGTAGTTTTAATTTCTGGGAGAGATGCGGATATTAAATTTACCTCCCTTGGAAACACTGGAAGGAGGATAAAGCAAGAGGGCTCTGGGAATCTAGTGGAAACTTTTTAGGTGTGGACACTTCCGTTAATCCTTTTTTTTTTTTTTTTTTTTTGTAGTTTAGGGGGCAATAGTGTATTAGGCTCTAACTTTGGGTTTTGTGATTTCCTTTTATAAGATAAATTTAGTTTTCTTTTTTGGAGTTTAATTGTTTATTGTAATGCTAATTGTCTTCATGTAGCATGTTGTAAGCTTAAAATGTTCCGTAAGAGTAACCTGGCGTGGTGGTGCATGTCTGTAGTCCTAGCTACTAGGGAGGCTGAGATGGGATGATAGTTTGAACACAGGAGTTCGAGACCAGCCTGGGCAACATAATAAGACCCTGTTTCAAATCAAAAAACCAAAAAATATTTCATAAAAGGTAGCTGCTATTAATAATGGCATAATTATAATAATATCTTACTGTTATTATATATCCAGAATGGTTATAGCAAACTTGGTGCTCTTTGAAAATTACCACAGCAGCTAACCCTGGAAACCAAAGAAAGCCATTGAGGAAACCCTAGCCATCCCCAAACTTAGAGGAAATAAGTTAAGGCATTTATTTAGTCTTCAAGGGTTTTATTTATGGCAAAGAAATGAGGAGAAGTCATCATCAGTTTGATGATTAGCATCTGTTTTATTTAGAGAATTTTGACATCATAAACTAGGAATTTGTAAAACTGTATGTGCATATTTTTCTACATCTGGGGAGCTACCATATGTTATACAGATCTCATCCCTTACATTTCTAGAGTTGTACTGTAGGAACTATGTCTAGTAAAAATCTCACTCTTGGCTTATATGCATTTGGAATTACCCTTTCATATAATAAAGAAATAGGGTATTGATTTCTATTTTTGTGAATGCTTACTTTGTGTATATTTATCTTTTTAAGTTTTCGTAGCAGCTCTGCAAAGTAGGCATTTTATCTTTATTTTCCAGGTGAGGAAACTGATTCTGAGGAGTAAAATAATTTGCTCAAAGTTTTGTGATAGTGGCAGTACTCAGGTTGGAAACAAGGATTGGCTGACTCCAAAGTCCATTTTCTGTTTGTTACTTAAGTTGTACTTACACATTTTCCTAAATTTATTTTTCTCATGACTTGTCCTCACTCCAGAGTCTGGATTACCAGCCCCTGTGGTCTAGCAGAAGTTTGGGATGTTGAGGTAGGGCCTGGGCATTGGGGTGTAGACATCGATATTGCTGGCCAGGATAGGGGCTAGGCCATGGAATGACTGTGGGTAGAACTCAGCTGGTGGGGAGATATGGTCCATTTGATGGCTGACATTAGTGAGAGGGCAGGAGAGTACTCTTGATCAGTGATTGGTTTCCCAGGACAGAAGCAAAGCCTTCCCTCAGGCTTCCTGAGTGAAAGAGCATCCTTCAAACATCGTGCTTGAAAGGTGGACTCTTCTCCTCGGTTCAGTGGAGGCAGCCTGCCTGGGTCCCTTGAGTGCGCCTTCATCCTGGGGCATCTTGGGATTTAGGAAGCTTGTATCTGAATTTTGGAATGCAAGGGCTTCTGGTGGGGGCCATTATATTTTCAGCTAAGATTGGCCTTCCCTGGTCCAGAGCCTGCACACGTTTCTAAAATCTTTTTCAAACTCTCTGCTGCTTCATTAAAGTAAGAAAAAATAGCTACACTCTAGATTTGGTTTCTTGTTTCTTCAATGACACTTTGTCTCCTCATCCTAACACAGTAATCAACTAACCTAGTAAACTAACCCATGTTAGTGTAGCTAATATCCATAAATGTATTAGAGGAAGAATTCTTTTTTAGCAAGAAACTCCGAGGCCATGCTCCCTATCTTTGTCTAACTCCTTGGTGACTTTAGTAATGAGAATTTTAATCTAGAGGCTCCAGGGAGACACCCTCCCCACAAAGTGTGGGATTGCTCCTGTATTCTGTTAATGCCTATTTGTTAAAAGAGTTAACAGTGACCCTTGAACCATGAAGCAACTCTTTTTGGTGCTAAAAGAACACAAGTGCCCAAGAATGCAGCAGCATCGAAACTGGGGATGAAGTGATTTGTTCTTGACATCAGTTGGCAGGTACATTCTCTTGCAGAGAGTAAAGATGAAATAGAATCCCATTCATAGAAGGCAGTTTGTAGGGAGGGAGGCTGGGGATGGGAAAATGAGCTCAGGCTCAGAGGCCTTTTACGTCTTAGTGTTCTCACAAATATGCTTCCAATAAAAACCATTTAAAAGGCAAAATATAAAATTCTTCCATTTAGGAGGACCTTGCTGAGATCTATGGTGGTGGTTTAAACTGTGCCGTGATTAGAACCATGCCCTATGAATGTGTAATATGTTGTCGACCAGATGGTCATATAATGCTCACTGTCCTGGTGAGTTTGAATTAGGGAGCTGGGGAAATCTTGGCTGAGAAAAGGTAAGATAAGGCAAAAGTATATCTGCTTGAGGGGCAAAGTTGCATTCAACTGATTTGGTCTCTGCAGAAGTTTGCCATAGAAATCTGTCAGTGTGTACTGCTTTCTACTATTAATTGGGGTTTTAGTCACATGCTTTGTGGTTTGTTCATGAAGTTTTTATTTAAATGACTTATGAGAACTATCAAAATGTTTGCTCTGAAGGCTTAAATTGTGTTCTTATGCCATGGATTTTTTTTCAGATGATCAACTTACCCATGTGAAAATGCTTGAGCAGGTTGGCTGCCAAATTGTAATGAAAGGCTGTCAGCAATGCCTTGATTTATCTTTCTTTCACCTCTCCTGGATATGCTGTCTGCTTCCTAAGTCTAAGAGGGATATACTCAGTCCTGCAGACAACATCTGTGCTTCTGCATCAGGTTCCCTGCCTTTCTTGGGAGCTTTAAACATAAGAGTATCAGGAAAGGTTCCATAGTTGGTGACAATAGAAGATAGGTTAGTTTTGGGCAAATGAGGAAATGAAATGAGCTTCTCTTTCTCCTAGCATACCCTGCTGAGATTTATTCCCAGCACCTTCAAGGGGGCTATTGTAGAATGCAATCCCCAGTGCTCTCAGTGAAAGGGAGAATTACAAAGTACAGAGTCTTATCCTTTCACTGTAATCCCGGGTGCACACTTGGATTCTTGATCTGTAAGTGGGAGTGTGGTCCAGACCTCATTCAATGTAAAGCTCTTATAGAGACCCTGATTTTTTAAAGGGAATTTCTGCTGTTGCCACTTGTCTTGTCATCTTCTCCCTGAGAATGTTTTACCATAGCAGTTAATAAGTTATGTGATTTTAAATACCTCTTCACTTGGAGGAGTCAGTGCCTGTGGTAAGTCCTTTGACCATTCATTAACTCATTCAAACTCTAGGCTTTAGCTGACAACTTTTTCATTAGCAGCTTTCTTTGCTTGTTATTTTACTTTGATTTTCATGCTTTTCACCTTATATGTGTCTATCTGTTTTCCCTCTAGGACTTTCATGACCCTACATTTTCAGCAATTCATTGTCTGTCTGATTTGATGTTATTACCTTGAGGCCTGGAGATTTCTTACACAGAGGTGTTTTTCATTGACCTGGATAAACTCAGAAACAAGTCATCACTGTCTTTTGGCATCCCGCCTCCCCATTTATGTGTTATTCACCATAGTCTAATTAAATATGTTAAGTAGCAATGCCGGAAGAAGTAGATTCTGCTTTCAAAATGGTTTTAATTTATCTCAACAAAGGTAGAGAAAACCTTTGTTGCTTTAGGAGTCTAGGAGACTCCCCTGGGCAAAGTTTGCTGTTTTTTCTTCCCAGATTCCCCTTGCCCTTCACCATTCCTCCAAGACGCTTGAGGAATGATGATTTAAAAGAAAAAGGTCATGAGGGAGGACTGGTTCATAGATATTTCATGAAAAAGTGTGGCCTGTCTTGGGATTAAACCATTCCTGGGAAGTAGAAATGAGCTCTTCATTGCTTTGTAGGCAACCACAGTATATAAATACTGTAGAAGATCTGGGTTAAAAACCAAAGCCCAACTGTTATCTATAGTGTGCTGTTGCCAAGCTCCCAGTAAAGTTTTAGTTTAACAGACCACATTGTGGCTGATAATGATAATTTTGTGTTATCCCTATTGGATGAGTGGCTAGCCTGTTTCCACAGTAGACAGATGCTTTTCTTAATGGCAGACACCAGCCCAGGGCCTTGCTTTGTAGTAGGCCTTTGATAAATGTTTGTTAGATTTAATTGCCTGCTGACTTGTTGAGTACGGAGTGTGATTAGATTAAAACTAATATGTTGTAATTAAGAACTATCAGTCACAAAACAAATTTAATTTTTTTCTATAAATGTATGAAATATAAAAGTTATAAAATAATTATGACTTATCAAGGGGAAAGTTGTGACTTATCAAGCCCTGCTTATACTGCATTCAGTAGCTGAGGTTCAGTTCATTTCCACATTTGAGTTTGAACTCCATGTCTGGTTGTTTTTTAAATGTGTGTGTTTTTTCTTTTTTTTTGGTGGGAATTGGAGTTGGGGTCTCTCTGTCATACGGGCTAGAGTGCAGTAGTGCAATGATAGCTGACTGCAGCCTCAAACTTTTGGACTCAAGCCATCCTCCTGCCTCAGCCTCCTGAGTAGCTAGGTGTCATCACACCTGGCTAATTAAAAAAAAAATTTTTTTTTTTTTTGTAGAGGTGGTGTCTCACTATGTTGCCCAGGCTGGTCTTGATCTCCTGGGCTCACACAATCCTCTTGACTCAACCTACCGAAGCACTGGGATTACAGGTGTGGGCCACTGCGCTTGGCTGCACGTTTTCTTTCCACAGTTTTTTCTGTCCTTTGTTGAAAGGCTTCATTGTCCTGCTGATAATTAGGCTAATATAATAAGAATTAGGAAGATTCTTCTTTATCACCTGTTCTTAGATGACAAAGATTCTTAGAAATTCTTGCTCTGTTTATTTTGTACTTCCGGGTAATGTAGTTTAGATCTGAAGAGACATAATTGAGGTTAGCTCTCACAGAGGAGGAAAATACTTGTGTACTAAGGATCAGTTTAAATGACTCAAGAAAAGCAATCAAAGAAGTGTTATCTTTACCATTGTATTGGTCTGTTCTCACATTGCTAATAAAGACATACGTTAGACTGGGTATTTATAAAGGAAGAGGTTTAATTGACTCACAGTTCAGCATGGCTGGGGAGGCCTCAGGAAATTTACAATCATGGTGGAAGGGGAAGCAAACGCGTCCTTCTTCACGTGTCGGCAGCAAGGAGAAGTATGAACGGAATGGGAGAAAAGCCCTTACGAAACCATCAGATCTCATGAGAACTCACTATCTTGAGAACAGCATGAGCCTAACTACCCCCGTGATTCAATTACCTTCCACCGAGTCCCTCCCATGACATGTGGGGATTATGGGAACTACAATTCAAGATGACATTTGGGTGGGGACACAGCCAAACCATATCAACCATATTCTGCCTAAATTAGAAGCCTATCTCTAATCACAGCTTAATTATTCAAGTGCCTAATGTCACCACAGATTCTTCTTTTAATTGGTGATTTTCTAATACTATTGCAGGACCTTCTGATTGATAGTTTGTGCACAAGTTTTCAAAAAGAAGTTAGTGTCTCTTTTTAAGAGAAATTCATCAACTAAAGTGACATTAGAACCAGTGATTAAAAATTACTGAGGTCACATCTGTGGATGTCTATGACTGTCTACTTTTTGTTTATAGAACTCATGACTGTTTAAATGAAAGCAGTCACCTCAGTCCTCACTAAAAACAATGATTGTTAAAAATATAAAATTTAAGGTGGCTAGCAGGATGAGGCAATAAATACCAGATAAATGGAGTCATGAGTAAAAGTATTAATGTCAAGGCTTCTTTTTGGTTGAAATCTAAATGCTGTTTTTCAATTTGGACTTAACAGGGAGGGTGCTGCAAATGAAAGGAGCATTTTTTTTTTCTATAAAGCCTAACACAGTGTTAGGGTGTCTTAGTCCATTTGGGCTGCTGTACAGTAACAGAGTACTATAAATTAGGTAGCTTCTAAAGAACAGAAACTTATTTCTCATGGTTCTGGAGACTGAGAAGTCCAAGATCAAGGCATCAGCAAATTTGAGGGGAGGACCTGCCTCCTGGTTTGGAGACAGCCATCCTTCTGCTGTATCTTCATATAGCAGAAAGGATAAGTAAGCTCTCTGGGACCTCTTTTTTAGGGGCACTAATCGCATTTACGAGGACTCCGCCTTCATGATCTAATCACCTCCCAAGAGCCCCATCTCCTAAAACCATTACATTTAGGGGTTAGGTTTCAACCTATGAATTTTGAGGAGACACATTCAGTTTATGGCAGTGGGAGATACTTTGTCTTCAGATAATTAGATCTTTAACTCCGAATTCTTATGTACCTTTTAGAAATAAGGACTGATTTAGACTAGAGTTGTTGGGCCCGGCGTGACCCGAAGTAGTGGAGAGAGCACAGGACTAGAGCGCAGACCTCAGGACGTGGATCCGAGCCGGCGCGATGGGCGGAGAGCAGGAGGAGGAGCGGTTCGATGGCATGTTGCTGGCCATGGCTCAGCAGCACGAGGGCGGCGTGCAGGAGCTTGTGAACACTTTCTTCAGCTTCCTTCGACGCAAAACAGACTTTTTCACTGCAGGAGAAGAGGGGATGGCAAAGAAGCTTATCATACAGACTTTCAGCCACGACAATCAGCTGGCACAGAAGGCCCGGTGGGAGAAGAGAACCCGGGAGAAGGTGGAGCGGGTGGCCGGGCTGGCCAAGGAAGCCAAGTCAGAGACCTCGGGGCCCCAGATAAAGGCAGACAGGCAGAGAGGCTGCAGCTAGAGATTGACCAGAAAAAGGATGCAGAGAATCATGAGGCCCAGCTCAAGAACGGCAGCCTTGACTCCCCAGGAAAGCAGGAGAAGAAGGAGGAAGATGAGGAGGACAAAGGAAAACTGAAGCCCAACCTAGGCAACGGGGCAGACCTGCCCAATTACTGCTGGACCCAGAGCCTGTCGGAGCTGGACCTGGTGGTCCCTTTCCGTGTAAACTTCCGGCTGAAAGGGAAGGACATGGTGGTGGACATCCAGGGGCAGCACCTCCGGGTGGGGCTCAAGGGGCAGCCAGCAATCATCGATGGGGAGCTCTACAACGAAGTGAAGGTAGGGGAGAGCTCGTGGCTCATTGAGGATGGCAAGGTGGTGACTGTGCATCTTGAGAAGATCAATAAGATGGAGTGGTGGAGCTGCTTGGTGTCCAGTGACCCTAAGATCAATACCAAGATGATTAACCCTGAGAATTCCAAGCTGTCAGACCTGGACAATGAGACTCGCAGCATGGTGGAAAAGATGATGTATGACCAGAGACAGAAGTCCATGGGGCTGCCAATCTCAGACGAACAGAAGAAACAGGAGATTCTGAAGAAGTTCATGGATCAGCATCTGGAGATGGATTTTTCCAAGGCCAAATTCAACTAGCCCGTGCTTTTTCCTCCCTGAACTCTTGGGGCTGAGCTACAACCATCCAACCTTCTTTCCCACTCTTCTCTGGCCCTTGTGAGCCTCAGGGCTTGGGGTAGGCATGGGACTGGCCTAGACACACGGATCCCAGGGCATCAGGAGAAAGGCTGGGGCTTGGGGTCTTGTCTTCCCCAGTTGGCCTACTGTTAGGCATTAAAGCAATTTGCCCAGCAAAAACAGAAATAAGTACTGATTTATTTCCTCATTTGTGATGCCAAATTGTAAAGATTAAGGTAATTGTTCTGTTAAGGTATGAAAATAAATGACTTATAAGAGACAGAGGCAGATAGGATATTGGCAACCTTCACACCCTAGTTTGAAAGGTACTGGCCTTTCTTGGCTGTGCTGAGGCATGAATAAATACTATAGCAATAGTAACCACACCTTTGTTGTATTTTATTTCTTCAATTACCATCTGTTGTTGCAGCTTTTAGCTAAAGCAGAGCTTCCCGAACTTCCAACTTGAATCATAGCACTGCGTCTTGGTGAATTGATTCTAGAGGTGGAAGTTAGTGCCTTAAATTTGATGCAGTCACATATGCCTTTTGGGTGACTTCACTTTGAATCCTCAAAGGATGACTTAGAGAATGCCAAATAAACACCCTGGCAACTGGTAATGACCTTCTGGGAGATTCTGACAGATTAAGGTTTCACAACAAACACAGATAAAAGACAATTTTTCAGAAGACAATGGTGAAGGAACTGAGTAAGTAAAGCATAACTGAAGGCAGTAGAGGTAGTTGAGTGGAAATGCATAGAGAGCTGGGAGGAGTGGAGTTCACCAGCAAATGTGTCTTGTGTATCTGGCTGGGAGGTGTAATTGGGATGGAGAAAGGAAGGGCAGCATGCAGGAAGTCATGTGATAGGAATAGAGCTGTGTGCCAGGGGTGGCAAGTTGACTCTGTTGGTTGGTACCAAGAGTTTGCCTTACTGTAGTTAGACAGAGTTAGTTTTTGTTCTGAATGAGACACCGACTTTCCCATATTTCCCGATAGGGGTTTTGAATATAGTGACTTGAAGCAAGAACATTATTGGAACTATGGTATCAGATTTCCTGAAGGTCACATTATTCATTAATAATAATGTTGCTCTTTGAGCCCTTAAAATTGGCCTTTTTCTAGACTCCTAAACTCTATATGTTCTTAATGAAATAACGCTGGCTAGAGCCCTTACCAAACCCTGACCAGAAACAGTGAATTAAAAGATACAGAAGACTGGGAGCTAGAAGTTGTTTTTTTTTTTTTTTTTTCAAACCCATATTGTCTCGAAAACATCTACCTTAGGATCTATTCACATCCTTATTCACATGCCAACTCCTTGATTCATTTGCAAGATTGCCACCCTCCTTGCTATTTACAATAATTCATTCTTTAATTTCAAATTTTTATGCTATTTTCATATTGTTTAAATGAGGTTCTCTACCTACCCAACATGGTAGCTATTTGCCTAATATCTTAGTTGTACCTAAACATTGTGGAAGGTAGTTTCTTTTATAAATTTAAAATGTTTGGCTTTTCAAACCCCTGTTTTCTCATCTTCCTTTGTCAGAGTTCTGTTTGAGGTGACCAAAGCCACTTGGATCCTGATTTAGTGGATGATTTCAGTGAAATTAAGACTTTGGGATTGACTTTTCTCTCCCCCCCACTCATCACAGTGGGAATGCATTTTTCATCTTTTCTGTGGGGTGATTTGGAGAATGACTGAGATGGTTATTCCTTTTTTCCTCCTGTTTCAGTCTGTTCTGTGCTGTAATGACAGAATACTTGAGACTGGGTAATTTATAAGGAATAGAATTTTATTTCTCACCGTTCTGGAGGTGACTGGGAAGTCCACGATCAAGGTGCCAGCATTTGGTTTAGGGAGCATTTGGTGAGGACCCTCTTGCTGCATCCTCATCTGGCAGAAGGCATAAGTGCAAGTCATCCAAATGCGGAGTGAAGCCTCTTTTATAAGAGCCTTAATCCCATCGAGAGGGAGAAGCCATCATGGCTTAATCACCTTTAAAGGCTCCACTTGTAAATACCATCACTTTGGCAACACCTAAATTTTGGAAGGGACACATTCAAACCATAACACCCCCTGTCACCTATTGTCTGCCCTCCTTTTGGGAGTGGGCAGTGGTGCTGACTGACAGATGGATCCTCCAGGCTTCCTTGCCCTCTGGCTTCTAACTGGATTGGCCAAGGGGGAACTTAAGGAGAGCTAAGAGTGGGAGGGGAGAGAGCTGCCAGTCGCCATATCTCTTCTCTCTGCCTGCTTCTCTGCTGCAGTTTTGTCAGTGACTGTGTCCCACCAAGAAACCACTCTTGCCTGGTGGGTCCTCTTTCAGGCCTCCAGCAGGTTACTTTCCTCTCCTTGATGCTTCGAGTCACTTTCTACCTGAATGCCCCTTGTGGTACCCTTCACCCTTCCCTCATCTTTGTAAATAGTCCTTCAGTCAGATGTCTTCATTGAAACTATGTGAGTTGCCTCTATGTAGTACATGTAAGACACTGTTAATTAAAAGTACAGGTAAGACACTG
Source organism: Homo sapiens (assembly GCF_000001405.40). Classification (NCBI taxonomy): domain Eukaryota; kingdom Metazoa; phylum Chordata; class Mammalia; order Primates; family Hominidae; genus Homo; species Homo sapiens. The sequence continues at coordinate 152,393,200 of NC_000002.12, forward strand.
TGGTATCAACACTTTAATATGAGGAAACACATAGCACATTAAATGTACATGATTATAAGATATGTCTTAATTTCAGATACATTAATACTTAGAAACAACACCCATGACTCTTAAAACAGAGGGAAACCTATGAAATTGCTACTGGTTTTTCATTGTGTTAAAGATACCATAATAAATGTCTTTATTTATAAACTTGCCTATATTTGAGATTATGTCCATAGGATAGATGAGAAGAGAGTTATGGACATTTTCTAAGACTTGTTTCTTTTTGCCGCATTGCATTCTAAAAGGGTAAAACATATTTAGAGTGCCACCTGCAGCTTCTTAGCTCTTGTTTGACTGTCCCCCTGACAGCAATGTGTGTTGACTTTTCCACAAATCTTTCCTAATCTGATAGGCCAAAGAGAGTCTTTCCATTTGGAAGTGAAAGTGAACATTTTCTATTTTATTAACAGGTTGTATTTTTCTTTTACTTTAAAAAAATCTCTTTTGCCTATTTATTTATTGGGTCTTACTGTTTTTCATATGCATGAGCTCTTTGTGTAGTAGGTCAGAGGTTAGCTAACTTTTTCTATAAAGGACCAGATAATAGACACTTCAGGCTTTGTGGGCCATACAGCTTCTGTAGGGTGAAAGCAGCCTTAGACAATAGGCAACTAATGAGGATGGCTGTGCTCCCATATGGACGCTGAGATGTGAGTATTATATAGTTTTTTATATGCCCTGGAGTATCATTCCTCTTTATTTTTTTAGCCATTTAAAAATGTAAAAACCATTCTTAGCTCACGGGCTGTAGAAGAACAGGCGGTGGGCTGGATTTGATTAGCGGGCCATAGTTTGCTGACCCTTGTAATAGATGATAACTCATTTAATTTATTTTGACTATTTTCCTCACTTCCTTTTTTAGATAAATTTTTTAGGCCTACAGAAGTTTGAATTTCTTACAACATCAAATTTTAAATTTCTGACCATTTTTGTCATGATTCTGAAAGTTAGAATGTTCTTACTAACGATCATATCCAAAAATACACGACTTAATTTTAGCTTCGGAGACAATGTTTTTTAAAGAATTCGCTTTTATTCATGTGGAATCTAGTTGTGTATAGTGTGATTTGGAGGTCTAAATTTAATTTTTTTGCAAGCAGCAAACCAATTGTGGGTTGCTTTTGAATCCTCCTGGTTAGTACTGGGTTCACTAACTGTGCTTTGGGTACCTTTGATTCTAGATTTACAGCATGATAATTTTCCCACTTTTCATTTATGTTCAAGAAGTATGGTACCAAACTGTGACATGAGTTCCTCTTAGTTCTTCTTGGCTCATCTGTTTCCATATGAGCTGGCATTCACAGGAAATTCAGAACTCTTACAGGCATAATATTAATAGATACATGTGGAAAGAGTTGTTCTCTGAAAAAAAAATTTTGACTTTTTTTTTTTTTAATGAAGAATGACAACTTGATCTCCCACACTAGGAAAGAAAAGTGCAATTAATAGTTTATATTACATAACATTAACTGTTGGGTTTTTTTTTTTTTTGGCCTTTGGAAGATACACTCAAATTTGTGATAAGTAAAATGACTTATTTATCACAGGTTACCATATAAGATTGGACAAGAACGATCTTTTATTTCTAGTCTTTTAGGTTGTTGGAGTGACCTAAAATGTAATTTGAGGATAAGCAAAACCCTGATCTGCTGAAAATTACAAAACCAAATTTGCAGGCATGGCTTTCTTGCTCCTGAGACTGAAAAATTTGTCTGCTTCCAATTCAGTTGACTATAAAGAATAGATAGCATGCTTTTATTTTCTGACAGCACTAAGAGTTATTCCTGCTGAACCAGGAATGCTGTTAGAGTGTCAAGGATGGATTTGCCTTAACTTATTTTTCCACAAAGCTGTAATTTAAAAAAAATCTGTTAACATTTCTTTGTAATTCTTTGGTTCACAGTAGACAGTCCCACTGCAGAAGTCCTGCTCCGGTCAGCCCGTATTTCCAGAGTGTTCTTTCAGAACTGGAAATGTCTGTATATTCAGCTGGGTTGCCATGGTGCTGTGGGACATGAGGTGGCAAACCCTACACAAGAGTTAAAGAGATGAGTAGTGCTTAGGATACAGATTACAGAAAGTACAGCTTGCCATCAAGTTCTAGGCAAGAGATAGAACTAAATGTCTTAATCCTAAGAGGAAAAACTTCATTCCAAGGGACATTGGGTTTAGATGAGATTCATTGTTAGATTATGCCCCAGATGGCCTGTTAGCTTTCTTAGGAAACTTGTTCCCATTTTGTGTCTCCACAATGGTTCTCAGCTACTATCTGGACCAGTCCCTTAAAATTAAAAGTTAAATTAGATGTGATGTGATTTGAAATTTGAAACCTATGTTTTTATTTAACTAGACTACAATGGTACACTTAGAATTTTTGTTCAACTTCCCCACCCAATATGAATTTGGAGAAAAACAAGAATGACTAAAAAATCAGCAGGCTCACATGAAATTGAGAGGACGGTTTGGAAATCTCCTTGAATTTCTTTTTGTAAGCCAAATTTATTTTTATAAGCCTTTAACGGAAGACAGTTTGTTCTTTGGATAATTGGCCCAGGCTTTATCCTCCTCTTTCAAATATGCTTCAACCAAATACCCAACTGTGAGATGAATAGGATAAATGAAGGTGGGAGTCGTAGAGTGGTGGGGGTGGGTGGGCCAGGGGGCGGGGCGGCGGCAGGCAAAACAGTCATGTGGAATCTTTTGTTTCATTTTTAAAATAATTCTTAAGAGCTGCTGTCTTTCGACAGAGTCAGAAAGTCCTTGCTTAAGTGTATTTGTCACTATAGAGAGTGAATGGGATTCTGAAGTCTTTAACGTGGTTCTGTAAATGTAAGTCTTGTTGTTTAATCACGGCATTTCTGCAAAAATGAACTCCTGTACCCACATCCCTCCCCCTCTCCTTTATTTTAGTGTCTTAGAACTCAGCTAAGCATTTGAACAGTCATTGCTAAGTGTTTCCACACTGGGGGAGCTAGAAGAACTTGGCTGGATAGAATTCTGATTTTCATGGGAGGGAATTAGTTTTCCGTTTTCTGCCTTAGAAGTCATATACTATACTTGCTATTTGGGCTGAACTGACTTGAAAAGTCAAACAGGAATGAGTCTAGCTACTAAATTTAGAGAACTGATTCGTAATTTCTTGATCTAATACAGTGGGCAGTCTTGTCATTGACCAGTTATTTATTTCAGTGTTTGCCAAACCTAGAATGAAATCCAAGGCTGCTGCTTAACCCTCTATAGCTCTGGTAGTTCATTTCTACTTCTCCTGCTCATTTCCGAAGATAACATGTATCCAGAGAGCCTGTGAGGTCCTGGCTTAGATGAGTCCTGCATATCAGGGCAAACTTCCATGCCTCTGGACATCTTTCACATTTCAGACATTGTCTTATTTCTTTTTCTTATCCAGTTAACAAGTATGTTTTTATTTAAGTCAGGCTTTAACTCTCCCCTCTCTCCCCTCTCCCCTCCTCAAGGGAAATTTAAATTAAGTGGGAAATTACTTTTTGTATAGATGTTCTTTTGTCTTAAATTCATGCTCATGTGACTTTCCACTTGCCATTTAGAGTAACAGTTATTCAAAGAGCATTACCTAAATTCCATCATTAAGAAAAAAACTTATGCCCCTGCTCTGCTCCTTCACCCCTCATCATTATTTTTAAAGCTCTCTAAATGCCTGTCTTGCTTAAAGAATCATAAGACTATGGAAGTGGAATGCACTTGGCATGTTGTTCACTATTCCATGAATTTGTAGACTAAATATGTTATTTCTGTGGCTCATCCAGAAGATGTTGTCATCCTTTAAAATTGCAATTAGCATTATTGTAAAATTCGTTGATGGAAAAAGATCTATTAAGGTTACGTGTATTTTGGATTTAATGTTGCTTTACCTAAGGATGTTAGGGTTCACCAAATCCTGCTTTGCTTGGGATATGCAGGGAGGAAAATTGAGAAGAAATCTTTTTTTTTCCCATTAATAAATGAAAGAACTTCAATGTGAAGAATTTAAAAAAGTCCCAAGCACAGATGGTTCACCTGGGTAATTTGCAAGGAAACTGGATGAGCATAATGTAGGTGGGGAAGACTTAGGGAAATTATTCGGATAGTTCAGTTCCTTTCCTTTTATCTGTCTGAGCCAGTTAGGGGGAAAAAAAAAAATGAGGTTTTTGGATGTCAGAATTACCTGCTGGAATTTTTCATGCACTTTTCAGAATAAAAAACGTCAAAAGAGAGAAGTTAAATTTTCCAGTATGTTTTAAGAAAATAAACAAAATGAGACATGCTGGGGAAAGTGATAGGACACTTTCAGGTTGTGAACCTCAGGGAGTTTCCTGGCTAAGACAGGTGGCTTGGAGTTTTCCCTCTTTCTCCTTCTCTCCTCCCTTCTACTTTACTTTTCTCCCTCTCTTCCTCCTTTTTTTTTCTTTTATTTGCACACCCAGAAGCATGGACCTTTCCTTCTTTTGGTCCTTCTATCCATCAGGGTCAGGTCTTTCAAGATAAGTGGACACAATACCACTGAATCTGTAAACTTCTGATTTGTATGTCATTCTTCTCTGTGAGCCAGCGTTGTCACTGGTTTAAAAAAAATAAAAGCTTTGGCTGGGTGCAGTGGCTCACACCTGTAATCCCAGCACCTTGGGAGACCAAGGCAGGCGGATCACCTGAGGTCAGGAGTTCAAGACCAGCCTGGCCAACATGGCAAAACCTCATCTCTACTAAAAAATACAAAAACTATCTGGGTGTGGTGGCAGGTGCCTGTAATCCCAGCCTTGGGAGGCTGAGGCGGGAGAATTGCTTGAACCTGGGAGGTGGAGGTTTTGCAGTGAGCCGAGATTGAGCCGCTGCACTCCAGCCTGGGCAACAGAGTGAGACTCCATCTCGAAAAAAAATAAATAAAATAAAAGCCTCAGCATGTTGTCCTCTGGCCTGCGAACTTGCTGAAGTATTATTCCTTGTTGTATCCCCCAGGCTATGTTGCTGTCTAGCCTGTGAATAAGGCAAATTCCATATTATGGAGGTAGTGGGCTGTGTGAAAAGAGCACAGATTTTTTATATGATGAGTTACACGACTTAAGGCTAAGTACCTAATTTGTAAGTCCTCATCTGTAAAATAAGAATAATATCTAGTTCAAAGAGATGCGAGAATTATAAATTCTCCTATGTAAGATGCTTTATATATTGCTTGGTATACTTGGTAGGTCCTCAAGAAATGTTTGTTTCTTTTCTGCTAGGTCTCTAGTAATTGGAATTTTGGATGACTGAACATTCAAACTGATGATTTTTGGATGATTAACATTCAACTGATTTTTTGAGCAATTAATATGTAAGGCTTTTCTAAGTCCTGAGGGAGGTAAAACATGAATGATAGGTAGCATTTGCATGCACAGGCACTGTTTTAAGCCATGTGTACATTTTATCTGGCTTTATCTTCTATACACAGTTATGAGATATGCACCATTATCTCCAGTTTATTGATAAAGAAATAGTATAGAGGATTGATTTATCTGAGACCACACAGCTAGTAAGTGGTACAGTTCGCTGAGGCATAAAGAGAGAAACTGATACATGTAATACAAGGCATAACATGGTACTTATTTTTAAAAAGGGTGAACATGACCAGATGATTGAGAAGAGAAGGCAATTGTATTTGGTTTGGGTAGGAAAATTAGGACAGGCTTCAGGGAGAGGATGTCATTTGAGCTGGGCATAGAAGGAATTGAGTGTGTTGTGGAGAGACAAACATGGGAGCCAAAGAGAGAAGAATGTGGTGGCCACGGAGACAGGAACACTTGGGTGCTGCCCCAGAGCAGCAGACAGCTTCACTGGCTTTCTGAAGAATACTGGATGTGTGATAAACAATCCCAGAAGCTGCCCCTGGACCCTGAGCTGGTGCTGGGATCCCAGACCTGAGGTCGGGTTTGAGAGTGAGGCTTCCTCTGCCCAGGGTTGCCACGTGGCAGTGGTGGAGGCTGAACATTGATAGAGAAGTGAAATCAGAAGGTAGGTGACTAATCCAAATAAAAGTTGTGGATCTGAGGGTGGAGGAGTAGAAGGTGGCAGCACAGGATGAGGGAGGATGTTTGAAATGATGGTTGAAAGGGGGAAGCCTAGAGAAGTTTGTGAGCCCCGGATGGTCTCTGCTGTGCCTTTTTAATAGATGCTGGTCCCTCTGGACGTGGGTGAGGAGCAGCTTATTAAGTATTTTCTTCATAGTATTGAAAGGAAGTAGGAGACAAAAGCCTGGGTGGGGAACCTGAGATGGGGTGTTGGACCCATGGAACCTACCTGCCAGTGTCAAGGTAGAGGTGGAAGGATTTGATAGGCTGTTGACCAGTTTTTTTTCTGGGGTTGGCAGTGAAGTAGTGACATAATGGGGATTATGCTTGAGGAAGATTGATCTGCCATTTGTATGGGGATGGATTAGGTTATTTAGACTTTAGGGAGGGAACTTGTATTGGTGCCTTTACACCTTGGGGCAGAATTTGTAAGGCTTTGCAATCGATTCGATTGAGAGGCTGGGAAGTGAGGAAGCAGTTAAAGATGACCTTAATGTCTTTAATAGTGTTTCTATATGTATTAGATATTTGGGTGAGTTCTATGTGGCAGGTGGAGTGCTAGCTACTGGATGAAGAGTGCTGAGCAAAACTGTGTGAGTAGATAGGTGGGGAGGAAGTGGAATGAAAGTGGCTCTTGGGGTTTGAACCTGGGTCCTGGGGAAAGTGGTGTGACATTTACTGAAACAGGACAGGCAGCAGAGGAGTCGGCTTAGAAGCCCTGATGATGCATTTTGTTTTGATGAGTTGAGTTTGAGGTTGATCACAGCAAGTGATCAATCATAAAATTAGACATCTTGGATAGAGATTGGAGATGGCAACAGATAGAAAGTGGGTTGAAAAACAAAGAATGGGCCGGGCGCAGTGGCTCATGCCTGTGGTCCCAGCACTTTGGGAAGCCGAGGCGGGCGGATCACTTGAGGTCGGGGTTTAAGACTAGCCTGGCCAACATGGCGAAACTCCGTCTCTAATAAAAAATACAAAAAGCAGCTGGATGTGGTGGCACATGCCTGCAGTCCCAGCTACTCTGTGGGCTGAGGCAGAAGAATCGCTTGAATCCAGGAGGTGGAGGAGGTTGCAGTGAGCTGAGATCGCGCCACTGCACTCCAGGCCTGGGTGACAGAGCCAGACTCGGTCTCAAAAAAACAAAAAAAATAAAAAAAATAAAGAATGCTCTTTTAGAGATTCAAGGGAAGCAGGCAGAGGGTATGGCCTTATGAGCAAAACTTAAATTTTAGGGGGCAGAAGGAAGATGCTGCAAAGAGTATGGAGGAGGAATCAGTATAACTTGTATATTTCTACCTACCTGTTTTCTTGTGCAGTTTGTTTCCTTTATGGCTTTAGAACAAGGTTTCTTAACCTTAACACTATTTATGCATTTGGGACCAGATAACTGTTATGTCATAGGTGTGTCCTGTGCTTTGTAGGATGCTGAGTGGCACCCCTGGTCCCTGCCCACTATAGGCCACTGAGTAGCACTGCCTCTTCCCAATTATGTCAACCAAAAATGTCTGTAGACTGCTGAATATGCCCTGGGGGGCAGTCACCCATAGTTGAGCCCCACTGCTTTAGGGGTAATGATTTTGTAGTTTTCTTTCTTTTTTCTTCCCACGTGTATCCTGCCCAAACCACAGCCAGGGAGGAATTGGAGGCAGGCGATGCCAGCAAAAGGGTTGAACCTTCATTTGGCTGCAAGGAGTATGTGACTCAGTTCTCAATAAAGTTACATGTAGGAAGATGTTGGGAATTATCCTGTGAAACAGTTTCATGTACTAGGAGAAGTGTGAACTGCTAAGACTATTTCATTGTAGCTCTCAACAGGCCTGGGCCTGTGATATGACTGCATTTATGGACACTGGGGTGGGATGGAGTGGAGGGAATTTTAGCTCTGAAAGTTTGGGGAATTTATCAGTTTCAAAAAGTATTATTTTACAGAAGTCCCTATGTAGTTCTTCAATGCCTTTAGGAGAAGCTATTAATTTAAATGTGTCCTGTCAAAGAAAATAAATGTGTGTCCTAATAAAGGTCCCTAAAAGTTCACGTTGGACATCTCACCCCTCCAAATGAAGTGACACAGGAGGCATACACAGTCCTAGTGGTTTCTGCATACCTGGCACACTGCCTTTTCACCTGGTAGATGCCCATGAGTTAGTTGAGTTGAATTGAAATCCCACCTGTCATTTATGCTTGAAGAATTCTTCCTTTTTGATCTTGAAAGGGGAAGGAGAAGTGCTTGGAGGCAAAAAGCTTTAATCTGTGCAAAATATCAAAGAATAAGTTCATGACCATGTCAGCGGCATTCACAGTTTCATTTGAAATCTTTATTTAGAGATTGGCCTTGGATTTGGGTGTGCTTGTTAGGTCAGTGGAGGGGAGGCTGTTGATTCAGGTTGGGGCTTTTTTCCATTTCTTAGAGTTCTCCAGGTGCTCCTCTCCTGCCTTTGAGCCTAAAGTTCATTTCTGACAGGTGCTTGATGAAGTGGTTATTATAATCAGTTTGGCCTAATACGCTATTCATAAAACTTGAAAATTGACCAAAAAGAGAGAGGCAGAGAAAAAAACTGAACTATTTTTAGGTAGTTTCAGATGTTGTGTTTAATCTTTTTTTTTTTTTTTTTTTTTTTTTGAGACGGAGTCTCTTTCTGTCACCCAGGCTGGAATGCAGTGGCGCGATCTCAGCTCACTGCAACCTCCGCCTCCCGGGCTCACATGCCATTCTCCTGCCTCAGCCTCCTGAGTAGCTGGGACTACAGGCACATGCCACCCAGCTAATTTTTTGTATTTTTAGTAGAGACAGGGTTTCACCATGTTAGCCAGGATGGTCTCGATCTCCTGACCTCATGATCCGCCCGCCTTGGCCTCCCAAAGTGCTGAGATTACAGGCGTGAGCCACTACGCCCGGCCGTGTTTGATCTTTTAAAAGCCCATAAATGCTAAGCGTTGTTCTCATCTGTAAATAGTGGTGAAACATGAAGGTATGAACAGGTGTGCTCTAAGTCAGAGGGCGGAGTGGAGGGGAACCTGCATGAAGTATCTTTCCTTAGCAGGCCAGGCACATTCCCTGCTGTTTTTGGGGAGCGGGCTCCAGGATCCTTTCCCTCTTGGAAAAGAGCAGAAAGTGCCAATTGGATCTCTGGTCACTGAATAAAACTGATCTACCCTCTGAGTGTGGCCCAGCTCTTAACAGGAGCAAATTGAGACCTCAACTGAATTCTGCCTTGAAGATCTTTTGTGATGTTTACTGGTCCACGAAGACAGGAGAGTGAGGGTAGGAAGGTGCAAGGACAGATAGTTGCTGCCAAAATGAATTTGGCCAGGTTCATTCATCTGCTCTCCCTTGCACACAGCTCTCTCATTCCTTCCTCTTTGACTTTTTAAAAAATAAACTTTTTGTTGTAGTATAGTTTCAGATGTATGGGAAAAATGAGGCTATAATACAGAGAATTCCCACATATCCTGTATCTAGTTTCCCCCATTATTATCTTAAGTTAGAATGGTATGTTTATCACACTTAATGAGCCAATACAGTTACCTTATAATTAGCTAAAGTCTGTGCTTTATTCACCTTTCCTCAGTTGATACTTAATGTTCTTTTTCGGTCCGGGGATCCCATCCAGGATGCGGTGTCACATTTAGTTGTCGTGGAGCCCCAGGCTATTTTTGGTTGTGACAGTGTCCCAGACTTTCCTTGTTTTTGATGATCTTGACAGTTTCGAGGAGTACTGGTCAGGTGTTTTGTAGAATACCCCTCAATTGAGATTTGTCTGTTGTTTTTCTGTGGCGATTCAACTGGGGTTGTGGATTTTGAGGGGGAGGATGACAGAGGTAAAGTGCCATTTTCATCACATATCAGTGTGACTTATCACATGCTGATCCTTATCACTTGGCGGAGGTAGCGTTTGCCAAGTTTCTGTACTGTAAACTGAAAAAAAAAAAAAACCCACAAAACTGTAAAAACAACAAGCAAAAACCCAAACAGCTCTGTCATCTTCAGAAGGACGTCACTGTGTACAGCGTACACTTGAGGAGTGGGATGTTGAGAGAGGAGGATCTATCTAACTTATTTGGAATTCTTCTGCCTGGGAGATTTGTCTCTTCTTCCCCATTTATGTATTCAGTCATTTGTATCAGTGTGGACTCATGGATGTTTTTATCCTTTGGGTTAGAATCTAATACTGCTTTATTTTGTTTGAATCGTTTCAGCTTTGACCATTGGGAGCTCCTTACTTGGCTTCTGTGTCCCTTTCTTGGCATACACTCATTTTTTTTTTTTAAGTACTTCCTTTCTGGCACTACAGAATTCCTCTTTGACTTTTTGTGTGCCTTTGTAATGCTTTCTGCCTGGTGTAGGAGTAGTGACAGATCACATACTTGGTGGCCTGAAAGCTAAGGTTTTGGTCTCAGCTCTGCTGCCCAATTCACGTCACCTTTGTGACCCTGTTGTCTCTAAAATGATCTTTAGCTAACAGAATTATAAGAAATAAATGTAGGGCCGGGCACAGTGGCTCACGCCTGTAATCCCAGCACTTTGGGATGCCAAGGTGGGTAGATCATGAGGCCAAGAGATTGAGACCAACCTGGCCAACATGGTGAAACCCCCTCTCTACTAAAAATGCAAAAATTAGTTGGACATGGTGGTGAGCCCCTGTAGTCCCAGCTTCTTGGGAGGCTGAGGCAGGAGAATTGCTTGAACCCAGGAGGCAGAGGTTGCAGTGAGCCGAGATCACGCCACTGCACTGCAGCCTGGTGACAGAGCGAGACTCCGTCTCAATAAATAAATAAATAAATGTAAAAGGACTTCACACATTGGTTATCAATCCATACCCCCCGCCTTTTTTTTGGACATTGAAGCACATCTTCAGACTTCCATCTCTGGGTCTTTCTGCAGCCCCAGAACATGTTTATTGAATGAATTAATGCATCTTCAATGAATGTAACTGTTACTACTGTGTATCATCGGTTTGTTCAGTTAAATACGTATCAATGGACAAGCTTTTCCTTTCCTACATAAACATTTTGTTTTTTGGTTATCTTGTATCTCCTCACATCCCATAGCATTGCAGTGGTTCACAGGCACTTAACAGAGAAAGGGGACACCAAGCTGAATTTAAATAGAAAAAATAATGAAATATATATCATCTTTGGGGATAATGTCATTTTCTGTTTCTTCCTACAACTTGAGCCCTCAGAATTACTCGTAATGGGGTGTTTGTGTCATCTGATTGCCAATGATGGCTGAGTGAGTGAATGCATATTTGGAGTGACCTGGAATTCTGATGTAGGTAAGGGATTCAGAAGGATTATGTTTAGATTAATTTTTCTGCAGAGTTCTCCAGCAGAGTCCTAATCAAAAATTGGTGGTGGTGGCGGTGGCAGTGGCAGCAGCATTAAACACAACAAAGGCAGAACGGATCCTTATTTGCATCATTCAGTCCAGTGGGTGCCGTTAGCTACCATCCTAGAGTGGGTGTGGAATAAATTATATGTATAAAATTTTTTTGAGAAGAGGAGGATGAGCTGGTCACATGTGGCATTTTCTCCCATGTTGAAATAACATGAGATGGAGAACATTGTGTGTTGATGTCTATCTACAAGTTGATTTTTGTCTTAAGATAAGCAGAGCCTCCCTACAACAGGCCCTGAGTACTGCATCACCTTCCTCCAGTTTGAAAAACTGACGGGGGTTCTTACCAGTCTTTGTTAATTCCTGTCTCCGGAAAGAATGGTTGGTAAAGGCACATCCGTATTCTGACATGTTGAGAAAGAAAGGATACATGCTTGGGAACAGAAGTTGAGGCTGTAAATTGTTGGTGGTCTTACTAGTATTGGGAGGCTGTTTTATCCCTGGCATCTAGCTGCTTGTATGGACGCTGGGGTTCTAGAAATAAGTTTTTACTCCTTTGGCTATAATGAGCTGGGCATTATCATTAACTAGAAGGCTGGATTGGAAAGGTTTGGGAAGCAAAGGTCCTTCTGACATTCAACGCATCTTCCTTTCTGGTCTTTTTTGGAGCAGATTTTTCTTCTGTGCTCTCTAGGAAGCTGATGTGGTTCCTGTCCTCCAACTGACCAGTACCTAGAATGTCAACAGAATGACTCATGTCCCCAACATCCTGTCCTTGTTCTGGAGAAAGGGAACTGTTTGCCTTTGGAAAACACAGTGCTTACCTCTGGAAAAACCCCAAAGCAAGCATAGCTTCAACACAGTTTTCCTTAAAGCTCTTGTGATGTCTTGTGATTTTTTTTCCTTGTGACTTTTTGTAATGAAAGTGTTGGTTTTCCTGTGTCTACCTTGCGTGCCAGGTGGTTGAGAATTAGGGAGCTTTAGGTGTTGGAAAGGACCCTAGAGACCAACTGGTCCAACTCCTCTTTATGGTTTTAGAAACAAAGGCCAAGTTGAAGTAAAGTGACTTGAGATCTAGAAACTGGTCAGTGATAATCAGGACTAATTAGTACCTGGGTCTCCTGATTCCTGGTTCTGGGTCTTTGATTTTTATGGTTTGCAGTAGGTTTTTGAACAGTTCACTTGGCTGCCTTATTGGAAGTTCTATCTATGCAGAATGATATTGATATGGGTGGATATTTAAAACTACATATATTATAACATAGTAAAGTCTTTAAGAATACATGATATACATTGAGTTGTTATTCAGAAGCTAGGGGGATGTAGAAGAGTAAGAATTCTTCTGATTTTCAGGACATTCTGTCATAATTTAGCCTTAAGACAGATTTTGGGCAAGGTATATATATCTCTTGTGACTACAAAAGGAGGCTGGATTAGATTAGTTTCATTTGTTGTTTCAGGCTCTGAAATGTTATGATTCCCTATGTCTATAAGTGTATGCTGCACATTTTTTTCCTTCAGTAGTAGAGAATGTCTGCAATGTGGTTAAATCCTTATTCTTTAATTCCAGTATTATAGAATATGGGTTCCATGTAATTTACATTCATGTTGTTTTTCTTGTCAAAGAGGGAACTGAGATAGTTATCTACTGTGTTCAGTAGCATTTTGAGTGGGGAGAGAGAGCTATAGTGTAAGCTTGAACTTGAGCAGACATTAGCACTCTGTTAGGTTACAATTGGTGTTAACAGTAGAGAAAAGAATCAGAGGAAGAGGAGGAAAGAGACTGGTGTGTGGGAGCTAAGGCCCATTATTTTGTTATGGGCTTCTTCCCCTTTTGAGTGACTTAAATGATGTGATTGAAGATATTTGATAGCTCCATCAAGATGGTAGTCTCAATTCCTTCTACAGCCCACACTTTCTCCTCCTAGATTTGAATTGTTATGATGGTAGCATAATTTTTGACAAATGATGTTTGTGTGGAAGTGTACCTTTTATCTGAGTTGAGTCATTGCTTTTGATATTATCACCTCCATTTTACAGATGAGCAAATTTAGTCTGAGAGAATGGTTAAATTTAGAATTTAACCATATGACCTTCCAGGCACCACGTACTGTTCCACTTTAAGTCTAAGACGTTTCATTTACATTTTGTTCTTACTGATTTAGAAAAGTTTATTGTTTTCATTTTCTCACATTACTTCCTGGTGCCTGGCATAGGACTATAACTGAAACATTTTTATAAATGATTTAAAGGTATTGAATGTGATGAACTGGAAAAGAAGAAAAAAGCTTCCTGAGTCACCCAGACTTCATCCTGGCTCTGTCACTTTGTAATCTTGAGAGGAAAGATTAACTTCTCTAAGCATCAGTTTTCCCACCTGAAAAAGTCAGGAAAATATTATTTTCCATACTGGGTTGCTGGGACGATTAGAAACCGAGCATCTGAAAACTCTTTGCACAGTGCTTAAGGTAATTAATGAGTGTTTGTCATTATACTTATGTTGATGTTAAATTAACATCTTAAAGAACTCTAAAATATTTTTCACTTTCTGTTTTTGTTTTTTTTTTCTTTCCCCCTGAAGCTTCAGAATGTCATTTCCTCTAAATGCCTGCCACCCTCAGGGAGTTCTAGTAATAGGGTGAACATAACATCAATGGAATATGAGGAGTTACTATTAGCAGATGCTATTTGTTTCCCTTTTCATTTCTTTTTTTACAGTCGTTTGGGAGAAACCCTTCCAGCCCTGGGCGATGCGGTGTGTCAGTGTCTGCCTTTCTGCCGACTCCTGACAGCGCCTCCCTTCAGGGGTGTGGGTGGAGCTCTTCATGCCTGCCCCTCCTGCTCACATTTCTCGGTTCACTGGAAAAGTCCCCAAATCTTTTTGTCTGCTCAGTTGTGGCCTAGTAGCCAGAGTGGCTCGTGCATTAAACGAAGAGGAACCTATGTTTCTTCTCTTTTCAGCATTTTGGCTGAATTTTGAATTTTTATCTGCCCCATTGAGTCTGTTGGCTCTGGCTGCTGCTGTACCAAGCCCTCTTTCTGGTGTTCATAAACCAATGAGAGTACAATTTCATGGCCTGGGTCAGGCTTGTTTGTTGGTTTCGTCTTAATTAGAAGCAAACCTCTTTGTCTTCCCTTTTCTTCATCTTCCAGGGAGAAATGGATTTTCTAGGCTGAGCAAATTAATCATAGTGGTGTCTAATAAAAAACAATCACCACTGCAGTACCTGGCACACAGTAGGTACTCAGTAGCTGAAAGAAACAGTTCCTGTAGCTCTTCCAAGGTATCCAGCATTTTGTGCAGGTAGGCTGGGGGCTGCTGAAGGATCTGTTTGTGAAAGACGAGAATTAGCTTAAGTAACTTGGGTTGGAAAAGTCACTCTGCCTTCTGAGTGACATATGGGGGCTGGAAGGTGGCAGAGAACAGGGTTGGAGAGTTTCTCTGGTAGGTGGATTAGTGTTGTTCCCAGCTCAGAATAAGGTACATATTTGAAAGTTACTTAACACAGAGCCTTGGATTCTGCCTGTAGGATAATAGATATTGAGTAGTTGTGATAAGTAATCATATGTAGCACTTAGGTCTTTTTATCTTCAAAGAACTTTTTTAAAAAAAACACTTTTAAACACAATGAATTCTACCTTGTATCTTTATCGTAGCCCTAATGTTCTCTTCTGTGTCTTTGTCGTATTATGTTTCTTAGGACAAGTGAGTAAGCTTTGTCAATTGGTTTATAAAACATTTATGCATTTAAAGCTTCCAGGGAGTGAGAATTGAAATTACAGTATCTGGGGCTTCATATTTGCTGGCAAACTGCTGGCTTAGCATTTTCTTCCCTCTTGTCTGTTTTTCCCAAGCTATAGCAGAGATTAAATGAAATTTAGGAATTGTGTGTGAGATTTTGTTTCTCCTTGAAATACAGATGCTCCTAGACTTACGGGTTTTTTTTTGCCCTGATAAACCCATTGTAAGTTGAAAATATTGACAATATTGTAAGTCAAAAATGCATTTAATATAGCTACCCTATGAAACATCCTAGCCTAGACTACCTTAAACATGCTGAGAACACTGACATTAGCCTATAGTTGGCAAAACCATCTAACACAAAGCCTATTATAATAAAGTGTTGAATATCTCATGTAATTTATTGAATACTGTACTGAAATTGAAAAAACAGAATGGTCGTATGGGTACTGGAATTATGGTTTCTACTGAATATATATCGCTTTTGCACCATTGTAAAATTGGAAAATTGTAAGTCAGGGACCATCTGTAGTTCTGTCAGGATGGGTGAAATGCTTGCTGTGCAGTGCATTGATTTCTAAAGTCAATCCTTAGCAGATACTTTAAAACAACAAAGAACTAGAAGTTTCCTGGTTAAGAGGGAAGAAGGGTTTGCAATTGGCTTCATAAATTTCTTCTCAGGCTTTTAAAGTTATGAGTCAAGAACCTTCGAAGCAGTGTTCGTAGGTGCATCCTTTCCTTCCTCACCCCATATTTCATTTATATAACAAGATACTTCAAAGATGCTCCAAAGAAATAAAGACAGTATAATTCCAAATGATTAGCTCAAATCCGACTGCCACATTCAAGGCTTAAAAAAAATTCTCAATTGCTGTGAGGGATTAGAAAAATGGCAGCTGGCAAAAATGCCTTCAGTATAAAGATGATAAGACGCCACTTATTAATTCTTTATATAAGCAATGGTTTTTTTTGGTGAGGATATGGAGAAAGGTAATAAAATCATGGTCTCTGCTGTGGGTAAAACTAGTTTGAGAGCCCCTCCCCTGCTGCTTTTTTCAGAAGTTTAAAAAGGAGGTCAGGAGCAGAGAGTTAGTTTCCCTGACTGGGGGAAGTTAAGGAAAGGAGTGTGAGTGAGGTCATGGAGAAGGCATGGTGAAGTTTCACAGTCTTGTGGATAAGTTTCCCATTTGATATGGGATATAGTTGAGAGTTACATCAAATGGAGTTGCCACCAACATGACTGCTAATGGTGACTCTGGGTACAGAGGACATGGCATAGTAGTAGTTATGCAGTAATCGGACCCTGATTAACGATGAAGCTGATGATGGCATTGATACTTTATGGAGAACTTTGTATGTGTTTTTCCCCCATTTAATCCTTACAGTCACCATTTTCAGATGGTAGCTGGGAGTAGTAGATAATTTTCCCAGGGTCATATTGCTTAGGGGCAAAGCTGGGATTTGTAACCATGATGCAATACTGCACCTGGTGGATGTAGTCAGGGTTATCAAAATAAAGAAAAATTGACCCAAAGATATATTTTAGAGGCAGAAACAATAATAGCTTAGTAATAGTCTAGGTGTGTGAACTCGAGACAAAACGAGTAGGAAAAAGATGGTTTTTAAGTGACAGTTTTGGAAAAGAAGCAACGGGGGTGGCAGGAATGAACAATACAGTTCTGTCTCGGTCATGTTTATGGACTCTTCTTCCTAGAGAACAGCCAATAGTCTTTCATCAGTGTTGATTTCATCTTTCAGCCTTCAGAAAACAGCTGTCAATCCAAGTGCTTGCTGTCGATATGGAGCACAGGTTGTGAACACAGTGCCTTTGTGCCATGCTTTGGTCACATGTACAGGTGTTGACTCTAGCAGCAGACCAGTACCTACTCCCAGTGGAGCTCAAATTCACACATCACACCATCACATTGTCTTCTCATTTAGCCAGTGAAATGATTGGCGTCTCACTGCAGTAGTACAGTGATAGTCATTGATTGACAAGACCTTCTCTGGGAAGGACTACATTTATTCTGATTTCTCCAGATCAGACTTTTAGAACCAGGAGAGGAAGTCTGTTCATGGTCAGAGTTCTTGCTGAGTCAATGTAGTATTTTGAAAGCTATTGTGCCAAGGCCCCAGGATTCTCAGACCTGGCTGAGCAACATGTAACTGATCCAATTTCTCACTGACTCAGGAGGAATGCTAGCTAAATCTTGAATTTGGTACTGTGACTTCAATAGTGGGCCAGTCAAGGGGCTCACGCCTGGTGGACCACCATCCCTTCACCCCCACCCCACCAAGGTCTGTCTGTGCTTGGCTTTTCGGACTCATGGTGAATGCTTGAACCTTTTTATTCCCTTAACATAAACTTATTCTTCTGGGTAAAAAAGTGAATCCTATCCCCATGAAGGATTTGCTTGATTGAAATGAGACCCCCCCTTGGGAGAGAAGTATAAATGTTGTGAGCAGAGTGGCCTTACGGTAGCTTGCTGACTTCCTAGAGGGGTCGTTGTGGGAGGAGAGCCCTGCTAGTTCCCTTTGCCCCAAATTATTTCCCCTCTGTGCTTGCTACAGAATCACTAAGTGTACTGATAGCTCTTAATTACTTCTAGTTAAAGAAGAGCAAGCCACCTGGTCTCTGAATTAATTAGAGCAATACTCTTTAAAAGAAACATCCTCCTTTCCCTCCTTCTTTGCCCCCCAGCAAAATATTTCCTATTAGAAAAAACATATGAAGCCATTGGTTAGTTTTCACTTCCTTTCCTAAGGGATAGTCAGCTAAATATGCTGTCCTGAGAGAATTTGACAGAAGCAGATAAGATTTTTGATAAGAGTTGAAGAGAAATTCTGGGAAGGGAAGGTAAATTATACTCCCTAATAAAAGCCCTAACAAACAGCAGGCATAATTGGTTGTGTATTTGGGGGTGTGTGTGTCAGTGAAGTGGTGTGTATTCTACATACCACCAGTGGGAGGAAGAATGCTGAAAAAAGAGAAGTAGGTGCTTGCTCAAGACAGGAAATATACCACTTCCCTTAGGAATCTGCCCATAGGCCATCTTTGCTTATATTATCCATGCATTTCATTGGCAGTACTCTCCTGGAGTGAGAAGTGGTGTATGAAGTTGGTCCTAAAATCCACTCCTCCCATCTCCTTCCTAAGAGAAAGTTAACCCACTTTGGGCTAACTCAAGAGCCAGCCAGTTATTTTTGCCCATCACTGTAAGTAGGATTACAGCTCACCTTAAATATTGGGGAAAAGTCCTGATCATTTGTTCATTCTATTAGCTAGGGCCAGGTGTTGTCACTGTCTCTAGCACCGCTTCCATTTCACTCCCATTAAATCTTAGCAAATTCCTAGCACTCTGAACAGTGTATTTTACTTGAATGATTCCCATGTGGCCAGACTTCTGGGAGCTGAGCACATGGTACCCTTTTATTGGGTGCCATGAGGTAACCTTGGTACCCTTTGGACATTCAGCTTTCCTTTGAGGTTATAGCTAATTCTCTGATGAACATTTAAGTGGGTGGGGCTGTGTGTTAGCCCTACTGTGTAGCTTTTGTGATCCAGGGAGGTGTGACCCCATTGTGGTATTCCCATAGCTGAGATCATAAAAGCATCCCAAGTGTCATTTGGAAGCCAAACAGTAGGTTACAAACTCATTTTGGGTTAATCTCCCTCTCCCTAAGCTACTTCATCTCCTTGAATGCTGCTAACTGTAAGCTTTTATTTCCTTTCCTGTGTTATCACTCATTAAAGCCTTCTCTGACCTGTATAAATGAGACTGGCTTTTTCCTCTTAGTATTGTCTTCGAGCACTTGGCAGGTGGCATTTGGAGCCAGAGCCTGATGAAAGTTGCCCTTGTGTATTGTTTTTATAAGCTAAATGAGAGGCACAGAAAGAATACCAAAAGATAGACTTTTTCCCTAGGGTAGGAGGAAAAAGGAGGATCAAAAATTTGCAGTTTATGTATGAATTTTGGTGGAATGCCGTTTAGAGGGAATATTTTCTGATTCTGTCTCTTCTCCCTTCAGTCTTATATTTCCTCTTACTTTCTTCTGTATATTTTATATATATATATATATATATATATATATATATATATATATATATATATATATATAAATTAGAAAAAAATTGAAACAGGGCCAGGTACGGTGACTCATGCTTATAATCCCAGCACTTGGGAAGGCAGAGGTGGGCAGATTGCTTTAGCCCAGGCATTGAAGACCAGCCTGGGCAACATAGCAAGACCCCATCTCTTAAAAAAAATACAAAAATTAGCCAGGTGTGGTTGTGTGCACCTGTACTCCCAGCTACTTGGGAGGCTGAGGTGGGAGGATCACTTGAACTCAGGAGGTGAGGCTGCAGTGAGCCATGATTGTGCTGCTGCACTCCAACCTGGGTGACACAGTGAGACCCTGTCTCAAAAAAAAAGCTAAACTGAAATGGAAATTATTTCCATATCTTTTCTTAACCAAGTAGTCAAGTATTTCTGTTGCCATTAGTTTGGACCATATGAACTTGCTGCTGTTATAGGTCAGAAATGGTTGAATAGCAGCAATCTCATGGCTCAACCTGTTGAACCATTAACCCCAGGAGGGTTAATCAGCTAGCCCCTTTCTAACCCAGCAGATAGAAAACTATGACAAAACTATTTGACTCTACTTTCCTTCCTTCTTATCTTCCTCATCTTAAAAAGTTAACAGATATAAAACATAAAAGATATCATTGGCAAGTCAAGGTGACAGTTTTTGGGGGTGGGCAGGTGGCAACAGACACTAGGACACTAGGACAATGAAACCCAGATTTTAAAACAAGGATACAATAGAGCCAGCTTCTGTAGAAATTAGTGTATTTATTCACCAGTCATTGTGTTTAGTTGTCTGAGCTACATTGTATTGTCCTTGAGGAGTAAGAATTGTGCTATTTTTCATTGCATTCCTGACATGCTTAAAAAAAAAATGCTGCTACAATCTACTGTATGTAGTTGATTGATGCCGGGAAAGTTTGCTGCACCTAACAATGGTCTTTATCCATGAAACACTCCATTGATACTTTTAGAACTCATTACTGCTAACCAAACAGTAGTGGTTTTATTACTATACTAATGGAGCCTGGTACTTGGAGGCTGGGGCATGGGGGAGGAGGAGAAGGTGGGGCAAGGAATGTGGGTAGGACTAGTGGATCCCTTTCCATGATTAATGGTGTCCCCCAGAAAAGTAGTTAGGCAGTTTCCAATAAAACAATGTGATAATCTAGATACAATGCAGGGTCTAATGTGCATATGCAAGGATGCACTAAATGAATTAGCCCTAACAGGGAGGAACAAGGGCTTTCTAAATAAAGAATCAGCAAGACAGCAGAGTTTTCTATGGCCTTCTCCAATAAAGTGATTTGCTTTCCTAACACTGCATGGAGGCAAACAAATGAGTTGTGAAAGATACGGATACCGATGGACACAGCACCATGATAGGCTTGGCAGACTCCTCCTTGTGGGCAACAAGACAGACCCATGTGGTGACTTTTATCCTCTTGCATGCTTTTTGTGATGTACTTGAGTTGTTCTTCTTCCTCACTGTCTTTGTCCATTTAAAAAGGATTTTTGTTTTTAGGTTATTTTATTTGGAGTAATGCATCTGTTTGCCATAAATGTGATTATTGATGTACACGAGCTTATGTTTGCTGTCTTACAGTTTGTTTTCTATTTGATCTACCTGTTTTATGTTTTTTTTTCCTCCTTTTTGACTTTGGATTAGGCACAGATTTTCAGTCCATTTTTCCTATTTCTGAACCTGCTAACTACACAGTATTTTACTCTTCTTGTGGTTATCCTACAGATTATAGGATACGTCTTTGATTTACTACAGTCTAATACAGACTCTTTCACCTCTTTGTTTTTTGTATATTGCTTTCCTTTGGAAAAGCTCATGATTCTTAATGAATCTCACTGGGGGTGGAGTGATGTTACCCTTATTTCCTACTTGAATCTCTCTCATAGTAGCTCTTACTTGCTGAACCTGTTTGTAACTTTCATTAAAGTTATTGCCCAGTATCACTTCTCCGTGGACATGTGTTAGTCAGAAGGGGACATCCTCACCGCTGAGCTGTGAGCTCCCTAGAATAAAGATGGAAGCTTTCTGGTTTCCCATTGAGGCTGAAAGCTCTTTCATAGCAAGGACTATCCTGTCTCTTTCTAGTATGACATCTGGCCCACAGTAGCCCCTCAAGTGGAGATTTGAATGACCAGGTCCACCTAAACCAGATGGCCCTGGCATCTGGAGAGTTCGAGGCCATTTTAGCTGGAGAGTTCGAGCTGGAGAGTTCGAGGCCATTTTAGGTAAGCTCAAGTCTTTACAACTCTGCACCTTCTACCAGTCCTTCCTAGCTGTTTCTTTTGGATGAAGATGATTCTTCTTTTCCTAACTCTGAGGTTGCCCTCTTTCATGTGCATTCACATTAACTGTCAGCCATACCTGTGTACCTCAACACTCACTGGTTGCTGCCTGTAATACTCTTACAAAAGATTTAATGAAGTGATGGAGACCTTGGGTGTCTAGCAACTGCCATTGTTTGTCAGGGGAATGTGAGATATATGTGTGGGAAGGTCCCTGAGTTCCTCTTGGACTTATCAAAATATCACAAAATTCCAGTACAAAGTATCTTTCCACAGATTCAGCTGTGCTGTGGGTCACTAATACTTGGGTCATTTTAAGCTGTGGTGCAGAAACCTACAGCAGAGGTGTGAATCTTCTTCCCTTTGGCAACTTTATGTCAGTTCTGATACATTAAAAAAAAAAAACAAAAAAACCCCAGGGATTGATCATGTTAATGTGAACACCCACCTCTCAGTGATGGAGGAGTTTTTGAATCATGCAGGTTCTTGGCTCGGAGACAGCATGGTCTATACAGAAGCAGCTTGGATTTGTCAAGACCTCAGTTCACCACGCAGCTCTGCTGCATTTTGAGTACCTGTGGGTAAATGACCTCACCTCTTCAGCCTTATCTGTACAATAGGGATGATAACACTCAGCTTACTTCACAGGCTTGTTGTAGGGAGAAGGTGATCTATTGTTTCCTAAAGCTGTTTTTGAAAACGGTGACTCACTCTACAGATATGATTTGTGTCTTCTGTTTTCTCCTGCCTGATGTTTTCCATTTTGGCAACTTAGAATCTAGGCATACCTCAGGTAGAGCTTGCTGACACACTGGTCTATTTTTGAGGTGGGTAATACTAATATTGAGTTCAAGAGAATTTTTTCCCCCCTCTGAACTATGCTATAGTTGGTATCTACTCCTAGGATATTAAGTTTGTTCCAAATAAGCCAGTTGTGGGCTCCATGCTATGCCATAGAAGTCAGAGGAGAGATAGTGCCGCCTTTAAACATTGTAAACTTTCAGAGAAAAGTTTTCCCAAGATAAATTAGCAAGTAGTTTCTTCACCAAAGGGACATGGTTGATGTGAATTGATTCTCTGAAGAAATATTTACCATAGCTGCTTCTGCCAAAGTGAATGTGGTCACCAGGGCAACAATGGCAGCCGTCTTTATCCAGATAAGTGCAAGAGCTGAATTCAGATGCCCCTTCCTAGGGCTGCCAGCTCATGTGAAGTTTGGCATGCAGGAAATGGATGTTCAGTGTTGGCCTCACTGAGTTTTGGAAAAACCCCACTTATTGGAGCATCTGCCAAGCATGGATGGAGGAGGGCTTTTCAGGATTGCAAAACTACTTCTAGAGAGACTGGTGAGTAGAGGGATAGTGTTATGGACATACGGCTCATTTTCCAGAGGTACTATTGAAACTTTCTTCGGTAACCATAAGGGAAGAGGCAGAAGTCTTCTCATCTTACCAGGATGCCTATGAGAGCTGGAGGTTGCTGGTGAAAGAGGATACAAAGATACCTCCAGAGACAGGGCAGGGAGTGTGGTGTACTTACCACATTTCTGGAATTGACTTGGGAAGTGGTGTTCACTTCTTTTATCAAAGCAAAACTAGTAACTAATAGTAACTACTGACTCATTTATTTTTTGTCTTCAGCTTTTATGAAGAATGAACTGACTTTCTAATTTCTATAAGAAACTGCACCAGAGTTTATCCCCCACTGGAGAGGGCTGCTTAGATGGTTGGCAAAGCTTCCATAACATCTCAGTTTCTCTAACATTTGAAGTAAAAGACCAAAGCTAGAATCAAATATGTTACTTCTTTCCATTGCCCAGCTGCAGCTTTTACAAATGCATCACAGTTGAAAGTGCCTGAATCTAGAGTTGTCCATGCTGACTTCTAGCCAGGCCAGGCCAGTGGCACTTCTGTGATTTGGAGGAGACTTTCAATGAAATTAGATTGTAGCTGCTATATTTAACTTTTAATTATACACTATTGGGATGTTTTAATTTCTAAAGTGTCACAGCCAAGGCATGAAAATGTGGATCAAGTAGGCAAATGGAATTAAAAATACAACAACATAACAAACTCTAACATCCACCAATTGTGTCTCAGGTAATTAATTAGAGCAGCCTGTAGTTACTAACCTGTGTGGATGTTTCACTGCTCGGGAAGAATAGTCCCAGTGTTTTCTAGATTAGTGGACTGTTCCAAGGAGGGCTGAAATAAGTTTCAACTTGAATTTGTAGATCTGGATAGTCAAACCTTAACAATACAGGCATAGGTTGTCCTCTGTGGGTATCTGTAGTGAATTACAATTCTGTATTAACTTCTACACGATTACTTATCCTAGTCTCATTAGGGAACACGAAATTACCTGAACAAACCATAAGGTAGCATAGACGTTCAAATCTGACATGTGCAAAGTTCCTTAAGCTAATTAGAAAATACACACATTGATCTGTGAATGGATGCCCTTCTGCTCCTTTAGGGCCAGTGATTGAGAGGTGTCTGTTGGAGGTTGGTGTTGAACTTGTGCTTGAAGTCTCCGGATACAAAACTTCACGGTTCTGGTTTAAGCAGAAGTCTTCATTGAATGACATCGATGTGGAGAGAAAATTCCTTGGCTTTCTGTCAGCTGAATCTGCTGATTTGTAAGACTCTTGGGGCAGGTTAACAGCCTTGTTGGTTGTTGTGCTGTGCTGACAGTGGGACCAAGCGGGGATCAGGAAATAGTCTAGGGCATTGCAAGGTTGGATTTGCTTACATTGAGGTGTTCCTGTGATCTGTGCACATCACCCAAGGTGATCAGGGCCTTGAGGCTTAGGCTGAAAGGCTGGCTTTCGAGGCAAAAGATCAGAAGGAAGAAAACATGCTGGCACCTGATGTATATCCCCTTTTGCTCTGCTTCCATCTACGGTTGCTGCCTGCTCCTCTGACATGTAACTCACCTCCTCTGTGCCTCATATTGTTAGAGCTAAATTTCCCACTGAACCCAGACTGTTATTTTTGACCTGCCCTGCCTATTTATTTGTGCACCAGTGAGTGTGTGAGTAAATGCATTATTTTTATTATTATTATTTTTTCTTTTGAGACAGAGTCTTGCTCTGTTTGCCCAGGCTGGAGTGCAGTGTCATGATCTCGGCTCACTGATCTCGCTGATTGAACCTCTGCCTTCTGGGTTTAAGCAATTCTCATGCCTCAGCCTCCCGAGTAGGTGGGACTACAGGTGCTTGCCACCATGCCTGGCTAATTTTTTGTATTTTAGTAGAGATGGGGTTTCACCATGTTGCCCAGGGTGGTCTCGAACTCCTGAGCTCAGATAATCTGCCTGCCTTAGACTCCCAAACTGCTAGGATTACAGGCATAAGCCACTGCACCCAGCAAATGCATTAATTTTTAAAAATTATAGCAGCTCTTTTGGAAGAATTGAAACATAGAAAAATTACCCCTTAGTCCATTGCATTTACATGGTGATTTTCTTTTTCATTTCATTTTTTGGCCACGTTTTTAATTTTTATTTTTTGCTGTGGTAAAACGTTAAGATAAAATTTACCATCCTTGCCATTTTTAAGCATACGGTTCAGTGGCATTAAGTACATTTGTATTGTTGGTGGTGCAATGATCTTCACCGTCTGTGTCCAGAACTTTTCATGTTCCCAAACTGAAACTCTCTACCCATTAAACAGTAACTCTTCATTCCCCCCACCCCTTCCCCTGGTAACCACTGTTCTCCTTCTCAGTCCCCATGAATATGCCTATTCAATGTAACTCATAAGTGGAATCAGGGAAGTTGTGTCCTTTTGTGTCTGGTTGATTTCACTTAGTATAATGTTGGTAAGGTTCATTCTTGTTGTAGCATTTGTCAGAATTTCATTCTTTTTTAAGGCTGAACAGTAATACTCCATTGCATGGATAGAAACCTCATTTTGTTTATCTATGCATCTATTGATGGACATATGAGTTGTTTCTACCTTTAGGTTATTCTACATAATGCTACTATGAACATTGGTTACAAGTATCTGTTTAAGTTTCTGCTTTCAGTACTTTTGAGTATGTAACTGGAAGTGGAGTTGCTGAATCATATGGTAATTCTATGTTTAGCTTTGTGAGGAAGCATCATACTGTTTCCACGGTGTCTGCTGCACCCTAGCAATGCACGAGGGTTCCGAGCCCTCCATATCCTTATATGCTTGCAAAGGATATGTGTCTTTTCCTTTTTTTTTTTTTTTAATAATAGTCATTCTGATGGGTATGAAACAGCATCTCATTGTGGTTTTGATTTGTACTTATGCATAGGTTTTTTAAAACTATGTTTAAACAGAGTGTACTTATTTTTCATCCTTGATCAGTTAATATTTTGTCATGTTCTCTTTTTGCCTTTCAAAGGACTTTTTTTGTTTTTTATTATATATGGACAAATTATAGTTGCAAATACTTAAGGGGGTACAAAGTGATGTAATGATGTTTGAACTCAATGTGGAATGATTAAATCAAGCTACCTAACCTATTCACCTCAAATATTTAACTTTTTTATAACATTTGAGATTTTCTCCTAGTGATATCGAAATGTACAGTATGCTATTATTGTATTTACCATGCTGTGGAATAGCCCTCAAAAAAGGAAGAAATTCTGTCATTTGCGACAACATGAGTGGAATTAGAAAACATGCTAAGTGAAGTAAGCGAAACACAGAAAGACACCACATGTTCTTACATATGTGGGATCAAAACAATCGAATTCATAGAGGCAGAAAGTAGATGAGTGGTTACCAGGGGCTGGGGGAAATGGTAACGTGATGGTCAAAGGGTACCAAGCCTCAGGAGGAGTAAATTAATTTATTTTTGAGATCTAAAATGACTAATTTTAATAGCTTTTTTCTGGGATCCATCCTGAAGTTACCAGTTTTCTGAAGAAAAGCATTTGAACCAAGAATCCAAATGTGGGCTTCACTACAGAAAGGAGAAACACAGGGCAAAACTGTGTCTAGGCGCCCCTGAGACCACCCCAGGAGGACTGTTGGGCTCCCTGTGACCTGTTTTGGAACTCTGGGGGAGCTTTATCAGGGAATACACTTGCTGGAAGCTGCAGAATATGGGAGAGACTCCGATTGTAACAGGCAAGTTTCTGGTGAGACAAAAATGGATTAAACCAAGACTAATGCCAGGCATCAGAGACAGCAAAATCATCCAATTTATCATCCTTCCCTCAAGGCTGAGAGGTTTTTAAGTAGTTTGGAAAAACTTGGAAAGGGATAGGGAAAGCTTGAGAATAATTTAAAAACTTGTCCCCTGCAGGCCAGTTTGCTAAAAGCCGAGTTTTACCAAAAGGCTAAAGCAGTAATTAAAGCAAAAAGCCTTTGAAAAGGAATCTTGAACTACCCCATTAACAGAGATTACAGGGTATGGTTAGTAAACACCAGAGTATTTAAAAGAGAGTAGTGACACAGAAATGAATGCCTTGTGAAAAGACGAATTTGGTCACCACAAATTATAGAAACTTTCAGAATATACAGAGAATGCCTGTAAGCCAAATGGAACTGTTGGTAGAACTGAGTTAAAAAGTGTTTTCTGTAGAGTTTCATTTGTAAACGTGATTTTTAAGAGTACAAGCTGAATATTACTTAAAATGCCAGTAGGAAAAAAAGTCACACCCCTTTCCTAGTAACTGCTTTTTGAACCTGAAGTTTTTGGAAAGAAGCATCGGTTTCTGAGTATGATCTGAAAGTACTGGCTTTAATAAGGTCTTTCTCCGAGAATTGTTGCTTATCTTACAAGGCAGAAGTGACAAGGATGGTACTCAGCACTGGGGCATTGGGTATCAATGGTGAGCTCATCTCTGTTTCAGGAAGGAGCTGACCAGCGACATCTCATTCCAAAAATTGCCAGATAGATGCAGCACTGAGCTGCCTCCCAGGTCATCCCAACTGATTAATGTGGAGATCTGCAGACTAAAGCAAAGAGAAAAGTGATTTGAATGGACCTGAGGGACTTTATCCTCCACTATGAGGTTGCAGGGGGTGCCTTCTGTGACGGTACCTTTGTAAGTTATTACAAACCTACTGGTGGAAAAACCTTGACTGAGTTCCACTCTGAATCCCAGTTGTAGAAGCATCATGAAATTGAGCACAGGAAAGACTAGGAGTAGGAAGAACTGGGTTTCGGACTCAGATTTGCCTGTTATTCGCCTGAGATGTCTGGCGTTGGTTGCTTGCCTTTCTGCAAGGATTGTAGGGTACCGTCCAACGCATCTTGTATGTGGGGACATTTTGGAAACACATAATACTGTGTAAGCATTGTTATTAGTAGGTAAAATGGTAAAACTGAAATGAAACAACGCCCTGCCCAGCCCCGCCACCCTAACAACTCATTTCCCCTTTAGGCATTTTCTTGTCAGTGGGTACAACACTTCTGTCAGTATCTTTGGCTCTGAGGAAGTCAGTGGAATGAATGACTTCAAGTCTTTGAAAAATAAATTCATGGCTTACTGTGGGCAGTAATTTGTTTTATCCCAAAGCCGGTAATGTGAGGTATTTGAACCAACCACAAATTAATTATCCTACTATATTTGCAGCAGTGTTAGGGTTACAGGTACAACCTAAGCACCATTGCCATATCATTCTGTTTCTGGACAATTAATAACATGCAACCGTGTTGGGACAACAAATCAGTGCTAACCTCTCTGGGGAAACTCAAGTGCAATTGTGAGATGTAAATCTCCATCCACAGGCTCTGCAAAGGGGGAAATATAGGAGTGGCTACTTACTATGTGAAATGCACAGACATGACTAAGAGTAGAGAGTTGTATATTCTGCCTCCCAAAATCCTCCTCATGTGGCTTTCTCCAAAGCCTTCTCAGAGGACACTGAATTCACCTAGGAACTTCGAGAAATGTGAGATGATTCAATTCTGTTGGCAGCAGTGCCTTTCCTGTTACTGATTACTGGCTACCCGGGAGCTCATTTCCTTTGTACTGAGTCATGTGCACTCAGAGAGATATGACCAGGGAGTGATGTTATAGAAATTGCGTAAGTGTAGAGAAAAGGTTTGGTTCCCTTATTTTGCATGATGATCTCTCACTGTGCATTTTATTATGTTTATATTTAACTATGAAGTAATTGCTATTACTGCACTACTGTGTTTGATGCCTACCCTGTGTCAAACATTAGGTATTTTACGTTTATTATCTCCAATCCTAAGTAATGCCTTCAAGCTAGGTAGGTTTATTGATGAGGAAACCGGTGTGGATAGGTCAAAATAAACTGTTTTAGGCCATGCAGGCTGAATTTGAAATCATCTAATCACCTTTGTAAATCTGACAGGGCCTGAGCTCTTTAGGTCAAACCTGCTGCCTCCCATGTTTAGGGGAATAGGCTTAAGAAGTTCAGGGAAAGTACTTGCCTGTTGAGGCATGTTTTCTTAGTTACAAAGGGCTTAAATTGTTTTGTGGGTATGTGAAACATTCTTCCCAGAAGCTGAAAGCCTCCTAGGGATTCCCTCGTTCTGTGTTTTGCCCATTCTTTAAGTCACGGATGCCCAATGTGAAGAGATCACATATGTTCATGATGCCCCGTGATCATCATTGTCATGCTGTTGCCTGAAGGGGGACCAGGAATAGATTGGCATCCTGGATTTTGTGACTTAATAGTTGATTCATTGGATAAATGGTTGTCTCATTCTTTTTTTGTTAATGGCTTTATTGAGGTATACTTTAAATGCCATAAAATTCACTCATTTTAAAGTATAGACCGAAATGATTTTTTTGTGGGGGAGTTTTCCTTGGGAGACAGGGTCTTGCACTGTCACCCAAGCTGAAGTGTAATGACACCATCTTGGCTCACTGCATCTTCTGCCTCCGGGCTCACCTCAAGCCATCCTCCTATCTCAGCCTCCCCAGGAGCTGGGACTACAGGCATGCACCATCACGCCCGGCTAATTTTTGTATTTTTTGTAGAGACTTGATTTTGCCATGTTTCCCAGGCTGGTCTTGAACTCCTGAGCTCAAGGAATTCACCCGCCTAGGCTCCTAAAGTACTGGGATTACAGGCGTGAGCCACCGCAACCGGCCTTGAATGATTTTTAGTAGATTTACAGAGTGGTGCCACCATTGCCACAATCTAATTTGGAAATACTTCCATTGCCCCAAAAGAAACTTTGCAACAGTTGTGTCAGTTTTAAACTGCTCTTTTAAGGTACCCTTCTCTGATGTGCTATTAGGTTCTCTAGCTGGCTATGAAGAAGAAGAAATCATCTTTGAAAATTATTTAAGTAAAATTTTTTTATTTTAATTTTTGTGGGTACATAGTAGGCATATATATTTATGGGGTACATGAGATGTTTTGGTACAGGCATGGAATGTGTAATAATCACATAATGTAAAATGGGATATCTTCCCTGAAGCATTTATTTTTTGTGTTAAAAACAATCCAGTTATATTATTTAATTTTAATCAAACAATATAGCACTCACCATATGTCAGGCACTGTTCTAAGTGCTTTGTGAAGATTAACTCATTGAATTCGTTGATTCCTCTTGACACACTTTGAGAAAGGTACTCTTAATATTTGTATTTTACAGATAGAGAAACAGAAGCATAGAAAAGGTAAATAGATTGGCCAGTGTCACAGAGCTGGTAATGATGGAGTTGGGAATCAAAACGTGTTATTCTAAGCACTCTAAAGCACCTGATGAGACCAGAAAGAATGGGGGAAGCAGTAGCTAACTAGATGGATGGAAGGCATCAGGAAGAGTAAAAGCCAGTACCTTCTAGGAAACAGCCAGAGCTTCAGATAGCCCTGGGTCTCAGATGCCTTAGTACAGAATAAAATAAGATCCGATAAATCCATCCTGGTGGTCTGCATGGCATTTGTCAGTAATCTAGGATTCCTCTGTCCATTTACCCTCCTCTTCTTTGCCTTGGTATCATAGGGAGCAAAACATGCTTTGATGGACTTTTGCTTTCTATATTGGACCTCAGAGAGCTAGAGTGATGTGCTTTTGAGGTCCCTTACCTGAGGGAGTTGGGGGTTGGGGGTGTCTGTGTTCTGGTCAAAAGGTCCTTGGTGAAGGTCTGAAAAGCCTGGTCTGGAATGATCTGTGGGAGGAACTGGGCCCATTGCCCCATATCCTTAGCCCACCTCCTTCCTCTTCTTTTGCAAATGGTTGTATTATAGTTGGTGGGTCTGCCCATTAACCTTGCCTATTTTGAAGCCTGGGACCTTTTCTTTGTTTAGGGGGAAGGCCTTTTGATCTCCTAGTGTGCTAGGATTCTGGGGAGGGAAGCTCATGAGGCTGGTATAGTCATTAAGTTCAGCTGTTCACTAAAAATTACCTTTCTCTGAATTTGGAAGATAGCAACCATGATAGTAATTCCCTCTCGGCCTCAAAGGGAAAATGACCACTCTAGTTTTTGTTTAGCATTCCCCTGTCCTTAGGGCACAAAAACCTTGTGGAAGTATTCGGTGGTACACATGAAGGAACCCGGGCTGGGTGTCTGTCCACCTTTGTATTTAGTAAATATAACGGATTAGCGCGTTTTGGTGGGAGGAAAATTTGACTCTTCATACTTAATGTGTAATGTACTTGGGATTTATTAATTGATTGATTTGCTGCTTGTGTTTTTTGGGCCTACCATCTTTTTTTTTTTTTTGAGATGTAGTCTCATTCTGTCACCCAGGCTGCAGTGCAGTGGCATGATCTTGGCTCACTGCAACCTCCACCTCCTGGGTTCAAGTGATTCTCCTGCCTCAGCCTCCCGAATAGCTGGGATTACAGGCGTGCGCCACCATGCGCGGCTAATTTTTATATTTTTAACAGAGACAGGGCTTCACCATGTTGGCCAGGCTGGTCTCGAACTCCTGACCTTGTGATTCGCCCATCTCGGCCTCCCAAAGTGCTGGGATTACAGGCATAAGCCACCACTCCTAGCCCGGGCCTACCATCTTTTTATTCTACCAAGTTATGCCCCTCCATTTGCTTCTGGCAGACTTTCATCCAGTTCAAGACCCTTTTAACTTATCAAAGGTCACAAGAAGATGCTCAAGAGGGAATCAAAGTGAGTATGTGGAATGCAGGGTATTCTGTCAAAACTGTTAGAATATATTAAAAATTGGAAAAGCCAAAGCTTGAAACACTATGTCTGGTATAACACATTAGTTGCCCATAGGAACATTTTGATCAAGTGATGGCATTGATACAAGGGCGCTGAGTTTGTGTTGTTAATTCACTTTTAACTCTTCATGTATCATTTTTGTTCTAGTTGTAAACTGGAAGAAATTTTTGGAGCTGAAAGGAACTTTAGCAAACCTTCAAAATCAACCTGCTTATTTTACATAAGTAGGCATTGAAACCTAAGAATGGTCAAGTCAGTTTTCCAAACCCCTGTAAAGAGTTAGATGAAAGGAGCAGTCCAGTTTTCTGGGTTAATTTTCTGGTGCTTTCGCATCCTGAAAATCCAATATGGGCCTTATTATAAAGCTATAGACGGGTCTATGAGATCTTTCTAGGTAAGAGTGCTATGTGCTATTTCAGTAAAGGAATTGGAGACAGAGTTATTTGAGATGGAGTAACTGCCAAGTGGTCTTATAATTTCCCTCCATTCTGTCCTGGTGATTAATCCTAAATTGGACTTCAGAATTCTCAGTTCAGTGTGATAAAAATGTTAGTAAAATCTCTGTACATGGCAGTTATAGAAACTTGTTTATTACATAATCTTTTTCTGACAATTCTGTTCTTAAATATCTTTGGCTTAATTTTCAAACAAAAACCAAAAATAAAAATAAATGATTGGTAGTCCTTCTAATACTTGTTCTAATTATACTGCTTTTTAATGATCAAAAAAGTATTTTAACAAAACAGCCATATATCTTAATATGCCAGAACCACTTAAAGTTCTACAGTCGTGTTTATACCAGGTATTTTTATTGTGAAACATGCCCCAAACACATCTTGAGCGGAGCTTTAAGTATGTCTTGTCTATAACATTGGAAAGAGATATGAACCCTCCT
This sequence comes from Homo sapiens, assembly GCF_000001405.40. Lineage (NCBI taxonomy): Eukaryota > Metazoa > Chordata > Mammalia > Primates > Hominidae > Homo > Homo sapiens. The sequence continues at coordinate 152,425,766 of NC_000002.12, forward strand.
TTGGTTAATTGAAGTCAAGGTGTAATGCCTTTGTGGTTTCCCATGTGTTTCTAATCAATAGTTCTTGGCGGTTTCCAAACGACTTCCCCCATCCCATCTCTCTGGTATGAGCACTTCAGGAAACAAACTGTATTAACTTTGGCCAGAATACACAGAGAGGGTTGCAGGACCTTTTAGCAATTTTCTGTGGAGGATTCTCTGACCTGGTAGGTTGAATATCTCCTCTGTTAGCCTTTGGGTATACGTTGTGATAGATTTATGGTAGGGATAAATCATTTCCAGGATGATGAAGAAGTTTTAACATCTACCTCATTGTGTTATATAAAAATATTTAAGTGTTATGGCATCTGAGTAAATGGAGATGGGTGACAGGGAGAAAGGGAGTGAGGAAGAGAAGCTCAGGGTTCTTTAGGCCACAATGGACCTTGAGCTGTGTGTCATTGGCTATTTATTTTTGTGTGTCTGTGGCTGAAATGCTCTCCAGAATAGCTGTAGGAATAACAGCTGTTATTAGGAGTAAGTCAGACAGGGTACTTGTGTATTTAGAAGACCTTTTAAGCACTGGTAGCAGCCTAGACAAGCAGCCGGTAGAGATATAAGACAATGGCCCCTCGGTTGTGGTTGCCATAGCCCTTAGTATGTTTTATCACTTGCTTAGAGTTTTGTTCCAAAGGCAGGAGCCATGTGGCAGTGCACTTTCAGTGCCTCAAGCATTGTTTGTATGTATAGTTCTTGAAAATTCATCTCACTTTGTCACGTCACAAGATGAATACGTACTCAGACTTGATGTGAAATGCTTTCTTTTGATCATCAGTGCAGACACAGTGGTTCGACTTCATTAGTCAGAGGTGGGGCCCAGATACTGATGTTTTTTCAAAGCTCCCCAGATGATTCTGATGGGCAGCTGATACTGAGATTTTTTTTTTTTTGAGAAACACAGAAGCATATAAAACAACAATCTGTTTTGCATATATGCAGTACTTGGTATTTAGAAAAGCTGTTTATAGCCTATTCCTATTGTCAACTTGAATTACCATAAGGAAATATATTTAAAGTTTAGCCTTATCACCTGTTTGCATTAGGCAGTGGTCTCTAAGAAGCCTAACAGGTATTTGTAAGAAAAGTAAATTTTAAGCACAACTCATCCATCTAAAGAAATACATAAAAAATCAAGCATTTGTGGCCCATACTCTTCCTGCCATGCCCGTTGGTCTCTACCTCATGGCTCACATGGCATGTAATAGCGAGTCAGTGTTTTTGTTTTACAAAATCCTCTTCCAACTCCTCGTAGGAGAGGATTGTATCAACCTGGTTTGTTTCTCCTACTCTGATGTTGGAACGGTTAGGAGCAGGAAATCATTCTGATTAGGTCCCAAACTAGCATAAAATGAAAATCAGTGCTAGTAACCCCTGAGTCCTAAAAGATAACTTACAGGAAAGAGGGAAACCAGATGGGAAGTTTAAAAGCAGGAGAAGTTAATGCTTTAAAATCATTGTTTGGCTGGGTGTGGTGGCTCACACCTGCAATACCAGCACTTTGGGAGGCTGAGATGGGTGGATCACTTGAGGTCAGGAGTTCGAGACCAGCCTGGCCAACATGGTGAAACCCAGTCTCTACTAAAAATAAAAAAATTAGCCAGGCATAGTGTTGTGCTCCTGTAGTCGCAGCTACTCGAGAGGCTGAGGCAGGAGAATCGCTTGAACCCTGGAGACAGGTTGCAGTGAGTTGAGATCATGCCACTGCACTCCAGCCTAGGCGATAGAGTGAGACTCCTTCTTAAAAAATAAATAAATAAAATGAAATCATTTTTTGTTGTTTTAATTTCCATTATTGTCTTTTTTTTTCAACATAACATCTCTCTTAAAAATGAGACTAAAACTTTCAAGGTAATATGTGAAATGAAAACATTTCAAAAGGGTAGAACATGGGAAGACAAGACTTCCTCCTCTTCATGTAAATTCTATCCCCCAGTATTAACGTTTGAGATAACCTCTATGAAGCTTCTTATAAATCCTTCCAGAATCGTGTATGCAGTCAAGCAGGGCCCCTGGGATTAGATATATGGATTGTATTTAGATTATAGTAGGAATGACTCCCCCTGGGTTTGTGCAGTGCACATACCCTTGGCCACACGTGGTCACCCTATATGCAGAGTATACTCTACCTTTAAAACAATACAACATAGGATTACATTCAGTGTACTGTGCTATACCTTGCCTTTTTCAATTAACAGTATATAATGGAAACTTTGCCATTGTCTTTAAAGGATATTGTCACACTGCCAAATTGCCACATTCCCCCTTTGTAAAAGGCAACACCTATTTAAATTACCAGTGGTGTATGAGAGTACCTGTCTCAACCCATTCTTGCCAACTTTGCATTTTATCAAACTTGAAAAATATTTGCTGATTGGTAACATATTCATTCCAAAAATGTTTTAAGTGACTTCTGTGTGCAAGGCTTCTTGCTCTATCCTGCAAAACAAAAGCAAATCAGAACCGTGCTTTCTTCTTTTCTAGATGTCTGTGGTTTAATGGCAGTGAGGGACAAAAAGCAAGCAAACCACAATTTACAATTATTTTATGTACAGATTTATCATGGAAACAAAGGGGCAGCTGTAGTAAGCCATTATAGTTTAATGTAAAGTTTAAAATGCCATAGAAATATGGGTTATTGCTCTTTGTGTTGCCTGCAGTATTTTTCTTCTCATTTGTAAATATATTTTCCATTTAGTTTCTTGATGTCTTCTAGGTTAGCTTATTGCATAATTTAAGAGCCTTTTTCCTTTTGCTGCATCAAATATATGGTAGATAGCCAACTTTTTAAGGACTCTCTTTTAAAAACCTTCCTGAAATGATACCATTTTATTCTTTTTGTAAAGACCCCTATAGAATATCTAGGGAGGTTGAGAAGTTTCTAGTATTTTGAAATAAGAATTTATAGCAAACCCTGTGTTTTGACTAATTGTGTTCTATAATTCTGTGATGTGGCTATTGGTCATAAGTCATTAGTGACTTTGGATAGAGATAGTTCGAGTGGTGGGGTAGAAAGTGTTTCTAGTTATAATATGTCATATACCTCAAGGTCTAGTCTAATGTCTGATGCCATTTTTCTGGTCTGTCTAGAGATTCATCTAACACTGCTGCATGAAAATAGTTAAAGCTTGCATGTTCTCACTTACAAGTGGGAGCTAAATGATGAGAACACATGGGAGCATGGTGGGGAGCAACACACACTGGGGCCTGTTGTGTGTGAGGAGGGAGGAGGCAGGTGGGAGGAGGGAGAGCATCAGGAAGAATAGCTAATGGATGCTGGGCTTAATACCTGGGTGATGGGATGATCTGTGCAGCAAATCACCGTGTTTACCTACGTAACAAACCTGCACATCCTGCACATGTACCCCTGAACTTAAAATAGAAGTTGGAAATTTAAAAAAGCCTTAGAGGAACAAAAAAAAAAAAAAAAAAAGAAAGAAAATGGTTAAAGCTGAAGACAGCACGCAGTGTCCGACCAAATGTGTCCATGCAGAGCTGTCCCTTTCTAGGCCGGTGCCCCTGCCTTACATTGTGTGTAAACTCTTGATCCTTTTCTAGAGCCTAGTGAAGGGTCTAGCTGTGGGAAGTGGAGCATGAACTGGAAATAACTTCCTGCCTCTAGCGATTCATTTTTCTTTTCAGCACCATTTCAGCGATAGAGGTTTTACTGAAATTTAAAGAGAGAAAGGCTAAAAGCTTAGTATTTCAATGTGCCAGCTATTGCTGACTTGCAGTAAAGAACTGTTGCCGAATTAATGTGGTTGGTATTTACTGACAGATCCCTTAGATAGCCCACTTCTTTTGTCTTTTTTTTTTTGTTTTCTTTTCCCTTCTAAGACTTCTGTGGCATCTATCTTCAATTTGTCTTCAATTTTGGGGAAATGCTCTTTCTTTTTTAATTTCTAAGTTTTTAGAAATTGATGCTCTCAGATATGTCTGAATTGACACAGTATGATGGGGATCTAAGACCTGCTTTTGTGCCTGGGAGCCATGAACGTTACACTAAGCAGTCGAAATTTCTGTGCTGTAGTTTTCTTCTCTGTAATATGAAGGTGCTGGGATAAATAATCTGACATCTTGCTTATTCAGCTCAACAATTCTGTGCATATATTGCATTTACACATCTATCTTGGATTTTTAAAAGATGTGGCATAGGTGATGGGTTGATAGGTGCAGCAAACCACCATGGCATACGTCGTTTACTTACGTAACAAACCTGCACATCCTGCACATGTACCCCTGAACTTAAAAACAAAAAACAAACCAACAAACAAAAAAAGCAGTGGCAGCAGATGTGTGCTTTGAGCAGTTGGTTATATTGAAATTTTTATAATACTGGTTTTATCAAATTATGACTAATTATCCCTTCACTTGCAAAATAAAGTGGTTTTCATTTTCTATGTGGAAGTCAAGAGACTGTACTGTGCTTGAGTTTTGGAAATGAGTTCTCACGTTAGTCCATTTTAGAACTTGCGACCAGGCTATCCTTTGTCTCTTCCTTGACAGACAGCAGTGGGTTGCCAACGTGCCCTTGTGTGCACACTCACCTTTTCTCTTCTCTTTATTAATGTTCTGTTATAGGCAAAATGAACATTGTGCTGAAGGTGTGTTAACTCATTTAATTGGAGATGAGTGAAATATCATTTTCTAATGGCCTTCTGCATGCCTTAGAGCCCAGGCCTATGGGGTACGTTGAAGACGTGAACATTGTAATGCAAGTTAATGTTTATATACCTACTTTCACTTCCATTCATCTCTTTCTTTAAAGGTTGATTAAAGATTTATTTCAGGCCATGCACGGTGGCTCACGCCTGTAATCCTAGCATTTTGGGAGGCCGAGGTGGGCGGATTGCCTGAGCTCAGGAGTTCGAGACCACTCTGGGCAACATGGTGAAACCTCGTCTCTACTGAAATACAAAAAATTAGCGGGGCATGGTGGCACGTGCCTGTAGTCCCAGATACTGGGGAGGCTGAGGCACGAGAATTGCTTGAACTCGGGAGGTGGAGGTTGCAGTGAGCCAAGATCATGCCACTGCACTCCAGCCTGGGTGACAGAGTGAGACTTGGTCTCGAAAATATATATATATATATGTTTATTTCAGCAAATTCTGGAATTATGCCCTCCCCTCCCCCCTTTTTATTTTTGCTGATTGATGTTTAAAAGTGGACCATTAAAAAATGTAATTCCAAGATTGCCTTGCATCTGTTTTGAATGATTGTGTTTTGCTTTACAAGGGGCAGAATGACTTTTGGGGCCAAATGCTCAGCTGACTTTTTGTTCGCTGTTTTCTGCAGGGATCTTGAGAATAATGGTTCTTTTTAAGGCCAATTGTTACTTTCTTTCTCACACAAAGGAAAAAAGAGACTATCTTTAGGAAACACTGCTTTAAATCATCTTCCTTGAATATTAATTCTCTGTTGCTTCCTCCAAAAATGGAGAAAATAATCCCTACCCTCATAGGCTTATTATAAGGCTCAATTATGATAATGGTGTGAAAACTTTGAAAATTAGACTTCAGAGAAATTGAGTTAATCTGGGATTATTTATCAATGTCTTAGTAACCAAAAGTTTAAAATGTGTTTTGTTTACCAACTGGTTGCATGTACATGGTTAATCCAAAAGGCTCAGCTTTTCAGCAAATGGAAAAAGATTAACTTCTTTATGGATCACATTATGAGATGAAACACATTTCATTCTAGCTGCTGAAAAAATAGCAACATGTTTTTGAAACCATTGTGATTTTGTATTGCAGTCACTAAAACATCAAATATATCATTTTTATGTTAAAGTGCCCTAATTTGTGTTGTTACATAAAACTTGGAGTACCTTGACCAAATAGAAGAAATTAATGTGCCGCGTGTCTGTTTTAAAGATGAAATCTGAGCCCAGTGTGAGGCTCATGCCTGTAATCCCAGCACTTTGGGAGGCTGAGGCAGGAAGATTGCTTGAGTCCAGGAGTTGGAGACCAGCCCGGGCAACATAGGGAGACCTCATCTCTACAAAAAATAAAAAATAGACAGACATGGTGGCACATGCGTGTAGTCCCAGCTTCTTGGGAGGCTGAGCTGGGACAATTGCTTGAGCCAGAGAGGTCAAGGCTGCAGTGAGCTGTGATCACACCACTGCACTCCTGGTCTGGGCAACAGAGTGAAACCCTATCTTTAAAAAAAAAAAAAAAAAAAAGATTTGAAAATTTAAATCTTGAGAAGGATTCTGAAGATTTTTGAGAAAATATTTTATTCCTCTCTCTGTTATCTGTGTGTATGTGTATATACACATACAATTTTATGAAATGTGGTTTATGTGATTGTTTTCAGTATTTGGCTAATATCTATGTAAAAGAAAAATGGGCCCACAGGCTGAATATGTGTTTTCTCCTCATAAATAGGGGACTGGTGGTTGGTTGCATTTCTTTTTTTTTTTAACAGTCTCAGATGATTCTGTCTTCATTTCCACTTTGCTCCCATTCTGGCATTGCCTGTGTGGATTGAGCATGTGAAAGCTTGACATCATGATTCAATCATTCTCTGATTTTGCAATAATTCAAAGCAGAGCGGAAGCATTGTGAAAGAATCATGCCAGTTTTCTTAAGGTCTGATACACCCATCCTAATTTACAGTATTGTTCTAAAGATGCACCAGGAAACACACATGCATGCACACACACACCCTAGTGAGACATCTGAGGGGATTTGGCTGCCTCCCGTTCCTTTCCTGTCTCCTCCCTTTGTTTCCAGATGCATCAGCAGATGGCCGTCCAAAGCTCTAAATTTGTACCTTGTGTGACCTTTAGCCTGGAGAAAGGCAAATTTATTCTGAGGATAGACTTCCCTGCCATTGCAAGTAGACCTTCTGTCAGTTGTTATAAATAAACTCAAGTCTTTGGATGTTCCTTCTGAGGTTGAATTGGCATAGGGGGCCGTTAATTAAACTGTAGCCTTTCTTGGGACTCTAACAAATTTTAAAGATGAGTAAGACAACATTGGAGGTACTCCCTGATAGTCCTGCAGTGTAGGATAATACAGGAGAAGCTCCAGGATCCATCTCCTGAGAGCTGGCTTTGCAGCGTAGGATAATACAGGAGAAGCTCCAGGATTCATTTCCTGAGAGCTGGCTTCAAAAGAAGTTTTCAGGTTGCATGGCAGGCATTGACATGGACTTTGGAGTCAGGCAGACCCGGGCTTGAGTTCTGCCTCTGCTCTATACTAGCAGCGCTTACCTCATGGAGCTGTTAGCATTAAATGAGGAGGTATTTATCTATCTGTCATTTCCCAGAACTGATCCAGGACCTAATAGGCGCTGAATAAATGGTAGGCCACTTAATTTTATATCACAAGAGCACATTCTTAAATCTTTATTCAAGGACAGGAGGCCCTGGAACTAACTAATGAAGGAAAGGGAAATTGCTGTGTGCCATCAAGCAGAGGATCAGAAAAAGAATATGAGAATAATTTTATTAGCACTTACAATTCACTGCGTTTCAACTATTGCAAAATAACAGTATGCAAGAGTGTAGGTTGTCTTACAGAAATGATGTGCTCTTGTTTGTGGCAGCTCATTTTAGGGGAGAAGTCATCTAGGTTACCATGTGTTTGTAGAGCAGAAGACTTAAAAGTGGACAAAGGAAGTTGGCATTATTCTGGAGGATAGAAAATCAACCCAACTTCTCTTCTCTTCCCACCACTGGACTCTGGGTGAGCTTGAGAATGGGAAGTCTTTTCTGTTGCCTAGTGAGTCAACTCTTAATGTAGTCTACCGTGGACATCAGGGTTGGTCTGAATGTAAAGTTGCATGCCCCTGGACACAGTGCTTGGGTGAGAGATGACAGAGGAACAGCTGGACAAAGTAAATGGGGTGAGAATAATGGCCTGGAGGTCCTTGGGGAAAACTTGTCACCACCTTAGGTTGGCTGTGACTATTTACTAATATGAGCTGTGATCAGAGGCTGAGGGATAAAGCAGGCCAACATTTCCTTTTCTTCTTATTACTGATTTCTTCTAGTTCTTCCCCCATAATTGGCCCCAACCTTCTAAAGAAAAGGCTCTGCAGACAGCAGTGGGGGAAAATCAGTCTGATGTAGTCTGGAGAAAATCTTTGTCCTGCCCTGTTTTCCTGTAGCTTTGAAAATCTCAAATGCAAGGCCAAACAACGAATTATTATTAACGTGATAGAGGAAACTGGTACTATTAATGTCATGCAAGGAGAAAGCCCATTTTGAGTAGAAACAGAAGGACATTTATGAGGGGAAAGTTGGCTGGGTAGGGCAAAACTGAGTAGTAGAAAATTTAACTGTAATTATTCCATTGAATTTTTTTAGAAGGACTCTTCAAATTATTGAAAGTTGCTTAGTAATTAGCATAGTAACCATTTACAAAATACACTCTGACCTAGAGCAACAGGGAAGGGAGTCAGAGAGACAAGTTTTGTGCAGACTGTCAGCTACAGCAGGAAAGTATGCACGGTGAATTTCCACGTTAGGTCAGGCCCATGTAAAATTTACAAATGGCAGGGGGTATGGAGGAATAAAGGCATTAGCATTGCATATGACCTGGTGGCCCTTTGAAAACTGTGTTTGGGGTTTATGTTTCTAGTTGCAGCTAAATCTGAATTTGAGGTTTTAATCCTTTTGAACCAAGCTAGGTCTAAGAATTAGACATTTGATCTCATGCATCTTATCCAGCACACAAAAACTTGAGTGCTTCCTTGGCTTGGACATAAGCTGGATCCCAGCTGGCCCCTGATTTTAGTTTCTGTGAAGTGATTAGTGATTAGGTGGCACCATGGTAAGGCAGGGTGCTGTGGTGGCAGGGTCTTCCCCCCATGCAGAAGGGCCCCTGCAGAACACAGCAGTAAGTTTTTTAACTGGCCTACTCCTGCTTGCCCCAGAGGGCTGAGAATTGGTTTTTAGATAGCTGATTTGTTTGTTATTGGCTCTAATTAGGCAGGTAGGCTTAGCTCCTTTAATTATTCATGCTACTTTGCGGAAGCTTAAGCTACTTATTCAGAGTTCCAGGGCCAGGACTTGGGTGGGAATTCTTTGGCAGGGCCAGCTGCAGAATTAGCATTAATGTGATACTAATCCCTGGGATGGCCCCTCAGAGCAGTGTACCCAAATGTTTGTTTTTCACATCTAGAGTCCACAAACATGTGCTCAGTAATGTCCAGCAGGCTCTAGCACTCAACATCTAGATGGCATGGTTTATGGCCAAGGAGCTTTGGAGCATTGGTCAAAGTCTCAAGCAGAGAGATCAGAGATACAGTCTAGAAGGTATTCTTATATTTAATCTCTCTCTGGAGGCATTGGACTCATATGGCCTAAATTTTTTGACTCAGATACCTGTACATACATGTACACCCCTCACCTTGCTCTCTTCACACACTTGTTTAAGGGAAAATGAGGCCAGGCATGGTGGCTCACTGCTGTAATCCCAGCACTTTGGGAGGCTGAAGTGGGTGGGTCACTTGAGGCCAGGAGTTTGAGACCTGAGTGGGCAACATAGCAAAACTCTGTCTTTCCAAAAAATCTAAAGGGCAAATGGGACAGATTATGTAAAAATCATTCAGAAAATAATTTGTATGCAGCAAAATTAACTATATTTAGATATCCCATGTTGGTTATTATACCTGGGTATCTTTTTCTTCTGTCACTTATGCTTAAGATTTGTCTTCACGTATGGTAAATACCTGCATACCATTACTTATGAGATGGCTTTCCACATAGTTAGTGGGATGTACACTGATATTAGGATATTAGGAAGAACCTCAGACCAAGTATAAATGGCTGAAAAAAAAAAAAGCCCTCACAAGTGATGGTGTATTGGTAAAAGTGGTAAAAAGAGATGAGAAGGTCTCTAGAGCGTCTCTCTTGAATATAGAGATTCTAGCATTTTAATTTTGTTCAAGGTGGGATTGACAGATATAGCTAGTTGAATTTTCAGGAAGTAATAGAAAAATAGTTTAACAAACCAAATTGCTAATTATGTTCTCAGCGAATTGCTGTAATATTCTGGTGTTTTATTGTGTGATATTTTATAGGAGTTAGAAGGATCTTGACTGTCCCTTTCTAGAAAAAAGTCAGGGTGCAGAGACTTTACGAGGTGGCCCCCACCACAATACTACCTTGACCCAGCCTGGACTGCTGGTTAGAGCCCCAAAGATTGTTCCCTTCATTTTAGGTTTCCTCTATGGTGCTATAGCATGTATACATAAAACATTGTTTATACCACTAAAAGACGTGCTTAGTTTTTTTTTTTTCTCCATTTCATTCACTGAAGATACCTCAAATGCAAAACACCACGCGGTATTGCAATCCCGTGCTTGATAAGTTCAGGCCTTTTCCAACTTCCTCACCCCATTGCTTTTTTTATTTTTCTTTTTTTTTTGAGACAGGGTCTGGCTTTATCACCCAGGCTGGAGTGCAGTGGCACTATCTTGGCTCACTGCAGCCTCCACCTCCCAGGCTCAAGCCTGCTGACTAGCTGGGACTACTGGTGCACACTACTATGCTTGGCTATTTTTTCCAATTTTGTAGAAATGAGGGTCTCACTATGCTGCCCAGGTTGAACTCCTGAACTCAAGCAATCCGCTGACCTCAGCCTCCCAAGGTGCTGGAATTACAGATGTGAGCCATCTCTCCTGACCTACACATACTAATGTAAAAGTTGGGAACTACATGGTATCTACTATAACACATCTCAAAATTTCAGTGGCCTATTGTGACTCTGACCTAAAAGCTCAGCATAGATGTTCTTGGCAGGTGGGTTGCATATTTCTCTCTTTTTGTGCCTTACTATTCCCTGGGGCTTTGGAGTCCTCTGAATCTAGCTGGCCTATGAAAAAGAGAGGATGAAAACTCTCCATTTTGCCACCTTTGCCTGGAAGTGACGTATATCACTTCCTCCAGTGTTTCTGGTAGTGAGAAATAGTCTCAGTAACCCATCTAGTAATTGATAGAAATGGCCTGGTAAATGTAGTCCTTGGCGGAAAGCTCCTCTCCAGTGATAAGTTCATAGTATGAAGGGGGAAGTGGGAATTTTGGTGGACAAGTAGACCCCTCTGTCCACGATATTTATATGTTCCAAGAATCTAGATTGGGCAATGTCTTAGTTTGGGCTGAAATAACAAAAATACCATAGACTTGGTGGCTTCAACAACACATTTCTCACAGTCCTGGAGAGTAGAAGTCCAGCATCAAGGCACTGGCAGATCTGGTGTCTGGTGAAGGTATGCTTCATGGTTTGCAGATAGCTGCCTTATTGTCTCCTCACATGGTGGAAAGAGAGACCACTGGTTTCTTCATCCTTTTATAAGGGCACTAATCCCATTCATAAGGGCTTTACCCATATGAATTAATTATTTCCCAGAGGCCCCATCTCAAAATACCATCACATTGGAGATTTAGAGATCACCATATGAATTTGTGGGGTGGGGAAGAGGGACAAAAACATTCACTCCATAGCAGATGATATGGATACTGTGGAGCTAGACATTTGATTTGCTGCTCTGTACCTGACATGGAGCAAATATACCTCTTGGGGTATATTTCACCACTGGCCATGCCTGTTTGCATAGCTTGTTGTCAAGATTAATTGAGAAAGAATGTCTGATAGTATACTGAGCAGAGAAACTTACTGTAACTGCAAAGCAGTGGTAGAAGAATAATAATGCACCCCCCCTGCGGTGAAAAAGATGCTCTAGCCCAGCAATAATGGTATTGACTTCATGAAACCACTTCTGACCTGCGGCAGATTGCTGGATTGATTTAGTGCTGCTTTTTTTTGGAAACAAGCCTTGATTATGCCTTTTTACAGTCTATCAGTTTGTGTGAAACTGACTATATTTTACAGTCTATCGGTTTGTGTGAAACTGAGAGCAACCCTGGTGACTCTCATGGCTAGGATACCATGGTACCTTGATAAGAATTCCAGATTCAAACAACAGAAACAAAAGTGACACAGTAGTCCCCCTCTTGGGCAGTCTTCAAGCACATCTTGAAGAGTTATATAGTTGGTCTTTGAATATCACTGCCTTTTGGCTGTTTCTTCGATTTATATAAAAGAGGCCAATTTGAAGCCATTCACTCAGTACTGTATCACTCACATCTGTTGTAAAAGGCATTAGAATCTGTGGAGTGAGGAAAAAACAGAGCCTTTATGAAATGTGCGCTTGAAATGAGAGATGTTTGTCTTAAATTTGGACAGGATAAATAAGAGACTTACATGGAAACTTTGGAAGCTGTTTTAGTGAAATTTGCCCTTAAGGTCTTGTCTTATTCCAAAATGATGAGGCAGAATGCCCAAATGTTAGCATTTGACATGTGAAGAAAAGGAAAAATTGGATAAAAAGTGAAGAATATGTTCAAATTTCTCTATACAAGCATTAGAGAATATAAGAAGGCCTGTTCAGCATTGGGTTTAAATAGGGAATAATTAGGAAATGGTGTAATGTATTATTTACTCACTGTTTTTCTAGGGACAGTCATTCCAGAATCAAAATCAATTGGTCAGCTTCACCTGGTAGCTAGAAGTAAAAGCATGGCAAATTCAGATGCCCTCAAGGGCCACGCAGGTAACCTTAAGTGGGTGATGCAGGTTCTAAATTAGAGTGGGGAATGGACAGATCAAGTCCCTGGAGGAAGAGGGAGAAAGTAGATATTGAAGCTTAATGCAGAAATACAGGACCAGTGTTGTTACGTCTTCAGACTTTTAAAGGAGACTGAAATATAGGTGGTTTTTTTATTTTTTATTTTTTGAGACATATGACTTTTAATGTCAGCTCGGGTGTTTTGAGGTACTGTGTAGGTCAGTGAAAAATTGTCTGCTAGTCTTAATTTTCCTGAGAGCTACCTGTCTGTGGCATCTATTTTAGTGGCCAGGGAAAGCAGATTTGCTTCTTGGCGCGGGATGGACAGGGAGGGCTCTTTGGTTTAGCAACATATTCTCTGAGTAAACAATCAGGCTACATTTTTGCAGTCATAGCGTCAGGGGGCTGATGCCATTTTTAATCACTTGTAAAGCTCTAGGGGCTATATGGAGAACCTACTGTTACTTGATACTCTTTCATAAAGTAAAATTTTATTTACTTTATAAAAATGCCATAATCATCAGTTGCCGGCACTTATGTTTCTAGTACCCGAGATTAGGAAATCAACAAAAATGGTTTATTTGGGATTGGAAACATAACCAATTTAAGATCTCTTTAGTTACTTGAAAAGAAAGTAGAAATAAAAGGCATTCAGATTCTTGGCTGGCCTGTGAAGTGGAAGGAATTCAGTTTAATTGTGTGTGTGTGTGTGTGTGTGTGTGTGTGTGTGTGGCAATAGCTAATTGTAATGCAGGTTTAATGTCCCTATCTTTTTAGTAGGTTTGGCTTTTGGAGAAAAAAGTTGCTTGGTGTAGAAAATAATTATGTCATATATGAAAATGGTCAAAAATGAAATATAATCAAGGGGAGCTGTTAATAGTTTTGCATGTCTTTAAAAAACTGCTAGTTTTATTGAAAATTTATCAAACTTAACCTTTGAAAATAAGACAGGTTATTATTTTCAAGGTTCAAGGTTTATTTTTCCCAAGAGAAGACAAGTTTTGTTGGATATGTGTGTGTTTTGGTTTTTTAATCAAGCCAGGTTTCATTTTCTTACTTTTAAGTAATGGATATATGGTAATTAAATAAGAAAACAGATTAAAAAGACAATTTTTACCTAAAAGATTTGTTGAAACCTGAAAGTGACCTTTGTAAGTCACCATCTTTTTTCTGAACCTTCATCCATAAATTGGGAACAGTTTCCTCTATCTTGCAGATTGTTCTTTAGCATTAAATGAATATCTGTGTAATGTGCCTGTTGCAATACTTCCACGTAATAGGGACTCATTCCTTTCTTTGCTCTCTTTGATCCTGAAGACATCAAGGAGGGTGCTGACTCCCCATACTGATCCTAGCTGGGGAAAGAATATAGCTTGGGCTACTTTTGTTTTGGGGTCATATTTAAGTTAATTTGGTCTAGTATGCCGTGTCTGTGGTTCTTGGGCATCAGCATTTACCCGTTTTATGAAACTCTCTGTAAATTATAGCCATATAGCAGGTGCTTAGAGTGGTCTCACCGTTAATACATTTTTAAATCACATTTGTAGATTCTGGACAGAAAAGTCAGGACCTTAACCACCAGTAGAAAGCAGGTAATGAACTTGTGTGTACTGCCAAGTGACCTCTCTACTGAGAACATCTAAGGATAAGCCACAAAATGAGAAGTGGACGTGAAACCCCTTTGGATCAGCCTGCCTTAACTAAATGGAAGAATTGGGGCTTTACTGCATGTTTATTATTATTTTATTTTTGGTAGGCACCAGGTCTCGCTATGTTGCCCAGGCTGGTCTGAAATCCCTGGTCTCAAGTGATCCTCTTGACTCAGCCTCCCACAGTGTTGGATTAGAGGCGTGAGCCACAATGTCTGGCCTTTACTGCATGTTAATTTGGCGTTTCAGCAGCCAACTCAGCTGGGAAGTTGCTTGCTTGTTGGGAAGACATGGGCAAGAGAAAAGTTTGATAAATGTGCATGCTGTGACTTTATGCTTGCAAAAAACCAAAATCTCACAGTTGTCAGTACAGCCATAAATGCTAACATCTACTTCTGCTTCTTGACAAATGCATTGCTGATAAGGACAAGGGAAATGGCCCGCTTGACTGTGTTTAGGGTCAGGAATTCTTCCCTTTGCCTTAGAATAAAAAATAGTGTTTTCTTGGAATGTTAAGATTGAAAGTGTCTTCACCGGATTCAATTTCTGTGACATCAGTTCTAGAAGCCCTCCTTGATGTATATGGGTAGTTCACAACAGTGAGTAACTGTGGTTAAAAAACAAAGAAGAGTAAGTTGTTACAGGTAGAGGCATGTAGAGAACACATTCTTATTAGTGCCGGAAGTCCTTATCCAAGAGTCTGCATGCAGAACACAGAGGTGAATTTCATTCTTTTTCTTTGAAGCATTTTCTTAATCTTTTCACATCAAAATGAGGGAGGACTTTTGTGGGAATGATGAAAACACTACTTATGAAAGATTGTTAAGTTCTTATTTGAGTCTGAAATATGACTAAATCTTGCCAGCCTATCAGATGCAGTTGAAATGGGAACCTCTGCAAAACTGTGGGAATCAAAGAAAAACTGCCTTCACCTTGTCTTTTTCAAAGAAGGGGATGTAGGGAAGGCAAGATCCTCTTCATGACTTTTTGGAAGGGTGATTTCTATAGTCTTAACAACATTTGTAGACCATGTAATATGTGCAGAGCACTAAATGGGTTTATAGGTAATGAAATTTTAGACTTGGAGTTGACCTTAATTGTAATTTTATTCAACCTGCTTATTTTGAAAATGAGACAATTAAGAGGAAGTTTACTGCCTCTTTAGGAAGTTAAACAGCTACACATCTTTATAAATATTTTTGAGTTTTATGATGTAGCAAGTGATTGATACTCACAAGCACACCCAGCACATTCAAATACAGAGGATCTACAGAGCATTAACAAGTTCGCTAGATAATAGTGATACATTTTCTAGGAAGAGGTGGGATTTGAACCAATTTTAGTAAAAAGGGGAGGAAAGACAGAGTGGTAGTGCATGCATGTAGTGCTAGCTACTTGGGAGGCTGAGGCAGGAGGATTCTTGAGCCCGTGAGTTTGAGGCTGCAGTAGGCTATAATCATGCCACTGCACTCCAGCCTGGGTGACACAGAGCAAGACCCTGTCTTAAAAATGGGGGACAGGAGGCCAGGCGTGGTGGTTCATGCCTGTAATCCCAGCACTTTGGGAGGCTGAGGCAGGGGAATCACCTGAGGTCGGGAGTTCGAGAGCAGCTTGACCAACATGGAGAAACCCCATCTCTACTAAAAATACAAAATTAGTTGGGCATGGTGGCACGTGTCTGTAATCCCAGCTACTCAGGAGGCTGAGGCAGAGAATTGCTTGAACCAGGGAGGCGGAGTTTGCAGTGAGCTAAGATCATGCCACTGCACTCCAGCCTGGGCAACAGAGCGACACTCCGTCTCAAAAAAAAAAATTGAGAGAGGGACTTGGAGCAGTAGAGTTAAAATAGATGAGAACTGCAATAGGAAATGAGAATTGGTGGTGTGTGATAATTTGTGGGATCAGATATTGAGAGTGGGAGTTCCTACCAGTGTGTGTCTGTGTGTGTTTGTTTTTTAAAATAGGAAATGGTGGCTAGGGGAGTTTTTTGTGTTAAATCTGTGTTGTTGGAGAGTTTTTGGTTGGTGAGGGGGGCCAGGGTGACCAGATGAGGAACCGACAAAATTTAGACACCTGAGAAAGAAAGGGAGGAAATGGACTAACATATTCTCAGGTAGTTAACCTCCTCAGCGTCACCTACTGGTCCTTCTGAATGTTATCAGTTCCCTTAATGAGCCATGCTTCTCACTTCTGTCCTTTTTCTTTTTTTCTTTCTTTTTCTTTTTCTTTTTTTTTTGAGACGGAGTTTTGGTCTTGTTGCCCAGGCTGGAGTGCAATGGCGCGATCTTGGCTTACTGCGACCTCCTTCTCCCGGGTTTAAGTGATTCTCCTGCCTCAACCTCCCTAGTAGCTGGGATTACAGGTGCCTGCCACCATGCCCAGCTAATTTTTGTATTTTTATGAGAGATGTTTCACCATGTTGTCCAGGCTGGTCTGAAAAGCCTGACCTCAGGTAATCCACCCACCTTGGCCTCCCTAAGTGCTGGGATTACAGGCGTGAGCCACCACACCTGGCCCACTTCTGTCCTTTTTCATATGCTATTTCATTTACTGATAATACCTTTCTCCGTACCCCCACCCAAAGCTTGAGTTATTGTCTGTTCATTTGTGTGTTTAGACTTTATTCACCCTTCATTTTAGGATGGTTGTTTCTATAATACATAAAAGATATCTACAAATTTGACCTTTAATGTAGGAACAATGACAAACCACTGAAGGCTTTCCAATCAGGAGAGTGATGTGAGCAGATTTATATTTAAAAGCAGTGGTTCCCAAGCTTTATGTTGCATCAGAATTGTCTGAAGGGCTTGTTAAAACACTAATTACTGGGTTCCATGCTCAGTTTATGATTCAGTAGGTCTGGGCTAGAGCCTGAGAATTTGCATTTCTAACAAGTTCCCAGGTGCAGTCTGAAGATCATACTCATTTAGAGGGATCGCTCGGGCCGCAGCAGGAATGAATGGGCATTTGTGGGTGGTTGGGCAGGACAGGAGCAGGGCAAATGACCTGAAAAATGTATCACTATTTCAGGTAAGAAATAATGATGGAGAAAAGTGAGTCTGTCCAGAGATACTTATAGACGGTAGTTGATTAGAGACGAGAAACGAAGGAGGTGAAGCCGGGGTTTCTGGCATGGGGAACCAGATGGGTGGTGGTGCCATTCACTGAAATAGGGAGCACTCAATGAGCAGATTTTCTGAGAGAGGTCAGGAAGCAGGATAGTGATGTGATGGTGTGTGTGGAGACCTGCAAGTCTGTCGGTGCACTAGCCTTCACTTCAGTGGGGAGAGGCTTCTACCACTTTGGGAACCATCAGTTTGGGATTGATAGTTAACCCATTGGAGTAGATGGGATTAGCTAGGAAGGTAGGTGAGAAGAGCACCTGGGACAGAATGCAAAGGGTCACAACTCATTAAGGGAAGCTAGAGGAAGAGGAGAAGGAATTGTTAGAGAGGGTCACAACACCAGAAGTGTACAGTGCTATTGTGGAGACCAAGAGGAAGATGTGTTTAGAAGGGAGGAGAGTAGAGCTGGGCGTGGTGGCTCACGCCTATAATCCTAGCACTCTGGGAGGCTGAGGTGGGCGGATCACTTGAGGTCAGGAGTTCAAGACCAGGCTAACCAACACAGTGAAACCCCGTCTCTACGAAAAATACAAAAGTTAGCCGGGCGTGGTGGCCGGCATCTGTAATCCCAGGTACTTGGGAAGCTGAGGCAGGAGAATTGCTTGAACCCGGGAGGCAGAGGATGGAGTGACCCAAGATCACATCATTGCACTCCAGCCTCGGCAACAGAGCGAGAGACTCCATCCAAAAAGAAAAAAAGAAAAAAAAGGAGAGGAGAGAAACAGCATCAGTTGCTGCTGGGGAATGCCAGGAAATTAAGTACTAAAGAGGGTTCAGTTGAGTTCACAACATGGAAGTCCGTCGTGCATTCACACAGTGCTGACTCAGCCTGCTTTGGGCCAGGCTCTACGCTAGACACTGAGGGTTCAACCATGACTGAGATTTTCTTCCAGTGGCTTGGAAGAAGCAGAAGGCAGCCAGCAATGGGTTAGGAGGGTCAGGACAGAAACTGACTATTTAAGCAGTAAGTTCCAGAAGACTGGAAGGAGAGAGGGCAGCCGAGTAGAGGGTGGGGTAGCTGGGGGATTTTCACGATGATGATGATGATGGAAGAGACTTGAGAGTGTTTAAATGTAATAGGAAGATTCAGAGGGAGAGACTGAAGATTTGGAAGGGAGAGAAAAGCTGGATAGAGGCATGTCCATGGGAGTATGGGATGGGAAGGAGACCACCGCCCAGACCCTGCATGGGTGGTCTGCATGACTATCCCACAAGAACCAGCTTGATATTTAGTCTGATTTGAGGGTGCTTAAAGGCCCCATTCGGGTTTGCCTCACTTAGGTGCCACATAGCCTTAATTTCCAGCATGAAAGATTTATTCCTTTGGACTACTTTCATTTAGAGATATGCAAGATATTCCTGGGGCAGGCAGGATAACACATTACAGAAATAGACTCTAACGAGCAAGTAAATACTTAGCTCCCCTTTATCCTAATGGGAGGTAGTGAGCTTGCGTGCTCAGGAGGAAGAGACTGAATCCTGGAGTCTGTCCTAGCCTGCCTAGTTTCAGTTCTGATTTAGTGGAGACAAAAGGCCCTGTATGATTTTAACATAGTTGTGGCAGCTGTTTCCTTGAGATCAGTTCAATAATGGTATTAAAATATGATAGAGTCGATTGAATGTTCAGCAAGCCTATGGGTAACTCAGTGTCCCCTGCTCCACCATGTGTGAGGTTACAAATGAGGTCATATGACCATCAATATTAAAATGTTGCCAGTAATTGCGCCCACTTAGTTGGTAGGCAGGATCTCAGTCCTCTTCATGACCCCTCTTGATTCTCTCTGAGGGCATCATACATGGTTCACAAACAGTTCTGTCGTTCTCCTCTGGCAAAGCCAGTTGGGGGAGGTATCTTGCTGTTGGCACTGTGGTTTTCCATAAAGATGGAAAGCATCTGCCCAGGAGTCTCCTTGAATCCCAAGTTGCAGAACTTTCAAAGAGCCAGTTTGTGCTGATACTATTGATCCTGACTACATCAGAGTCTCAATTCTTTAAAGAAATGGAGTCTTTTACACTCCAGTCTGTGTTTCACCTGTGTGGCTAACGTGGGCAACAGTGTCTTCTTCTTCCACTGTCTTCCCCAATTCTGTGATGCTTTTCCCTGTGGAAACTGAGTCATGCAGTGGACACCTGGGAAACGCCCTTGAGATTCTGCCAAAGTAAGAATCTCACTTTTGGTGAGTACTCCCCTCCTCCCAGAATAAGAGAAGCCTTGTATTCTGTAAATTAAACTTCAGTTTAAATGTCCTAGACCACTATTGTCCAATGGAACATTTTATAATCTGTGCCGAGTAACCACTAGCTGCTGAGTTAGTGAGTGTTGAAATGTGGCTAGTGTCACTGGGGAACTGAATTTTAAATTTTACTTAATTTTAATTACTTTAGAGTTTAATAGTCACAGGTGGTTAGACAGTGTAGCTCTAGACCAGTGGTTTCGAAATTTTATCATGCATCAGAATCAACTGGAGGACTTGTTAAAACATAGATTGCTGGGCCCTGTCCTCCCCAAAGTTTCTGATTCAGTTGGTCTGGATCAGGGGTTGAAAATCTACATTTCTTACAAGTTCCCAGGTGATGCTGCTAGCCTGGAGGAAGCCACATTTGGGAATCACCACTGTAGACTTTGTTCTAGTATTTAATTAATATGCTAACTCACACAGATAGAATTGCCATCAGCCAGTCGTCAGGGTTCCGGGTCAGCTGGTTGACAAGCAGCCTAGTACCTCCCCTCCTTTCCCATCCCTAAACCACACTGGCTTCTTTTTTCCAAAAACATTACAGCTCATCTTTAAGGGTGATTCATGATACTTTCTAAACAGCCACAGTAGCTGAAACATTGGACTACTGGGGAAATTCCAGCCTTGAACAGACTTTGGTTTTCATTCCAGTTTTACTAATTTGTTCTCTAATCTTACAAGAAATTAGACCATGTGTGTGGCGCATGTAGGCTGTGAGTAATTTTATCTTTGCCAAGCTCATACTTGGCATTATAGTCAGTGATTTCTGTGTCCATGCTGGCTAGCCTGGGCTCAGAGGGACTGTCCCTAAAATCATTTTTTAATGAGTAGCTTTTTAACCCAATGGCAAAATCATTTTTAATACTTACAAATACGGTCTAATAAATATTTTTTTTAGAATAACAGAGCACTGTCTTATGGGTGATTGTTTATACAAGGTCTTTCTCAAAAGCATATTGGAATATTTACAGATGAAATGACATGCTGTCTGAGATTCACTTTAAAGGCCTGGTTGGGGGATGGTAGCTGAAACCAGATTGCAAAATGTTGATGATTGTTGAAGTATACATGGAGGTGCAGTATACTATTCTTTCAACTTTTGTGATTGTTTGAAATTTTACATAATAGGTTAAAAAAAAAGCATGCTCTTAGAGAAACTAAATACAGCATCTTTGTGAAGTACCAGGTAAATAATTGACATTAAAAATGAAAAGTAGTTTGTTGGTTTTGTTTTAGGGAATTCAACTGGATAAAGAATGTAATGGATGATCTAAAGGAAATGGAAGAGAATAGCAATTGTGTAAATGTAATACATTATAGACCATTGTTAAGGAAGAATCTGCAGATATGCAAAGGACTTCGTATGTGTGTATGGTGTTTAAGTAGGGGAAATACACCCCTACTGATTTTTCTGTATACCATTATAGATATCTCTTCTTAACAGTTCGCAACACAACTGGTGCTCACTGTGATGTGTCAAAGTTTTATTTGATTTGGACAAAGGCAAAGATTTTATAAATTTAATAAAGAGGCAGGAAGGAGGGAAGGAAGTGGTAAGTCATACCACTGGAGTTCATAGGCAGCTAAACTTTTCTGGGTGGCCCAGTTTAGATTTTTTTAGTAAAGAGATGATATTTACCCTGAAAGAGAAGAGTTTAAAAAAAAGAGACTTTGTCAATCTTCTAAAGGTTGTGTGAATAAACTCACTTTTTTTTTTTTTGGAGACAAGTTTCTTACTTTGTTGCCCAGGCTGTAGGGTAGAGTGGTGAGATAATAGCTCACTGCAGCCTTGATCTCCCAGGTTCTAGCAATCCTGCTGCCTCAGCTTCTCCAGTAGTCGGGATTATAGGCATGCACCACCACACCTGGCTAATTTTTAAAAAGTTTTTACAGAGATGAAGTCTCACTGTGTTGCCCAGGCCGATCTTGAACTCCTGAGCTCAAGCCATCCTCCCACCTTGGCTTCCCAAAGTTTTGGGATTATTGGTGTGAGTCACTGTGGTCAGCCATCAACTTATTTTTGATTTAGAAAATAATCTCAGATTTTCTTCAGCTAGATGGTAATTGAAGTTGAGTATTTTAAATTTCTTTGACAATTACAGGAAGCAAAGAAGTGGTTTTATTAAATAGCAGTGAGCTTCATGCCATTTTACAGTATGTAACCGAGACCCATGTTTTCCTTTTGATGTAGTCAATTTGTTACCATCTTTTTCCACTTTGAAATGTCTCTTTAAATGCATTTTCACCCCATTTCTATCTTACATCACCTTCACCCCCTAGTGCAATCCCTACCTCCCTCTGCCTGGATTACTGCTGCTAATAACTTCCTTACTGGATAGTCTTCCCTCAAGAAGTGTCCTTTCCCTTCCCTTTCCTCCAGTGATTTTCCTTTTCTTTGACTGTCGTTTGGACCAAACGACTTAGCATCCATTTGTTCTTCCTTGTGTGTAGCTTTTTGTTTGCCAGTTACATAAAAAGTATGCCTGTGTATTACCATATGATATGACAGTAGGTATATAACAGTGCTGGTCTTCAGTTGAAAATATTTATAAAATGTAACAAGACCACTAGTCTCTTTAGTTTTTAATACTTAACTGTAATTTGATAGAGAATAAATTTTCCAAAGGTGGCATCTTCATTGATGTATTACTCACAAGCCTGCAGGTTGAACTCATGGTCATAGATGAGTTTCCACATGTTTTCTCCTATACCCATTGAATTCGTCAAAACATACCTGACTGTATGTGTAAGGGAGCTGCTTAAAGATTTTGGCAGTATAGGTTTTTGCACCTAGCATTTGCTGATTTCTTAAAAAAAAAAAAACACATAATAACAGAAGGCTATTCTGTATCTATTTCAGCACTGCTGAGTGTTTAAGTATTTATTGCTTAATTTTAAATTTTTGGATAAAAGTATTGGATAAAAGTTGCTTAGAAGCAACTTTTAGGGAGTTGCTTCTGAGAGTGTGTTCAAAGGGTACCTTTGACTCTTGTTGGAGTTTGAGTAATGTTCAAACAAGAGTAACATAAAATAATCCTCCAGTGATCTGAAATTGTTAATTGTCGGGATAAGCATAGACTGTCCTCTTAGTTCAAACCAACAGACTGAGGAACTTGTTCATAAAACTCTCTTCTTTGACTTGGAAAGACAGATTAAATGTGGAGTAAAACTCCTCGGGGTTTTCTCTTTTTTGGACTGTCAGTATGGCATAAAAGGAAACCTTCTGTAAATTGAATACTATCTGAAACCAGATGCACTCATCAAAGCATTTGTTGAACTCCTATGCATTAGGCTCTGTAATTCTCGTGAAGCCTTGCACCATTTTCAGCATTGAATTTAAAAGTAGGTCAGTGACCACAGTGAGGTAAGAAAAACATTTTTTGCAAAAAGAAAATCCTTGGAGAGTGCTGCTTTGATAAGACGTTTAAGCTTTCCCTCAGATAGCTGATTACATGCGTGTGTCCGGATTTCCTACATCTCTCATGCTCTTGTCCCTTGAAGAGTCTCTGAAATACAGAACTGTTTAGTGCTTTTAAGCCATGCACTTTGTGTTTGTCGAGAAGAAACCAAAAGACCTGTGCCTGGCAAAGCCATGTTGAAGCCTCTAATGTCTAATTGTCTGTTGGTTAAGATGGCACTCAGTAGTCAAGACCCAAAACACTGAACTCACCAAGCAAGCACAACAGAAGGGGTGTTCAATATTTCTCTTTTTGTAAATGCTTTTGTGCCTCTTAGTTGCTAGAAAGGACTAGATGATGTCTGTTTTAGGCACACTTCTTCCTTCTTTCTCCCTCTGGTTTCTCTCTCTTTAGTTTCTCTTTCCGGAACTATGGGATTTTTGTTGCATGATAGCCTCTTAGATGTGTGATCTTCATGCTTAATATGCAGTGATATGCAGGGAACAGATTCTGGGACTACTTTTTTCCTTTTTTTCTCTGCTCATAGGCCTTGGTGTATGAGATTCCTTTTCAGGATTTTTCTACCATCTAATGGATTTCTGCAAAATTAATTAACAGTGTAAAGTTTCTCAAATTTTTTTCCTGACCTCTCCCCTTAAAATAGTCTGTAGTTTTATGGCAGGACTTGGGGGGCTCTCATCCTTGCAGGGAAGCACCGGTCAAGGTTCTCATGGTAAGTGCCTCTTTGAGAGGTTTAAAATTACATGCTTTTAGCTTCCAGAGAGGAGGGAAAACCTTCCCTTTAGGTCCGTATCATTTGAGAGGAAACTTGGGGTTGAATAGGCTAAATGTTCCTACTTGTGGCCTTGTTTTCACTGCTTGGTTACCTAGTGCAAACAGATTAATGTAAGAGTTACGGCTTTTTAGAATACAGACAGTCGTCAAAAAAATCCAAAGACTTTAGAAAATGGAATTTGCTTGTAGAAGAAGCTTCTCAGATACTGGTGTCAAACAGCTTTGCTAAAGCATTAATGTGGCTACATGTTTGACAGACTGCATAACCTTCCTACATTTTCCCAGAGTAGTCTAATGAGTTATCACCACCTTTATACATTCCATCCTACATAGAAACCTTTCCTCATTCAAACAGATTTCAAGGAAAAAGGTCATACCCTATTCCAAATCTACCTGTTGCCTCTTCTATACTCTCTTCCACTTTTAAGTCCTCTGTAACAACGGCTCCTTCTGTCACCGACATAGAAATATTCCAGTTTTTGAAATAGGCCCGCAAGGAGTTTCAATCACTGAGAGCTTGGGGAATAAAAACTAATTTTAATATTTGCATTAAAAAAACAATTAGACAAATATATTGCAGAAAATTATACACATTTCTAAACCAAATGCATAAAGCCTGTATTAATCAGAACTTGTAGTTAAGCCTTGTTTTTTTCTTTGCTTTACATTAATAAGAAAGAGGCAAGACACAAGAAAAACTGAAGGATTTAACAAATCAACAACAGTTTCCCTTCTGATTAACATAACGAAGTGAGGACAGAGCCAGCTCAGTTCTCTCCTTTTGCAGTGTTCCGTGGAGCGTGGAGACAACAGTACCTTCAGGTACTAAAGGCTTTTCATGTTTTGTAGTTACAGCAGTTAGAAATTTAGTAAGACATTTCAGTGTTATACTTAAAGATGAAAACTAAAAAGCTTTTCTGATTTTAATTAGATTGTTTATTCGAAAAACCATTCATTCTCCTAAAATTTTTGTTTAAAAAAAGATTGGCTCATCTTCATTATCCAGACTGCTGCATATACCATGCACAGCCAGAAGTTGCCATAGTTAGAGGGGCCAGGAGCAGAGCCATCCTCAGCTCCTCCCTACTCCTCCCTTCTCACTTAAGTCAGCCCCATGTGGCATCTCCTCCTGCTGTCTGACCTCCCATCGCAGTCTCCTCTGCCTGACTTCACTGTCTCCTGCCCAAGCTCTCACAAAAGCTCATAGCCTCTTACCTGTCCACTCGTTCCTTAAAATCATTGACGGTTGTCATCTTTACAAACAGGACAAGATCATGAGGTGATGTCCCTGCTCCATGTGTCCATTACCCATGGCGGTGGATTTTGAAGGTTCTTCTGGGATGTGGCAGGTCGCTGGGTCTCCAGGTCATGCCCTTACCCCATCCTCAGTTGGCACAGCTCTACTTTTGTTCTGCCTTCTACGCTTGGAGTAAGATTTTGTTGAATAAAACATTCCAGGTTGTAGAAAAGTTTGAAAACCATGGGAGGAGATAACTGCTAAAATGCTGTGTCTTTCCCTGTATTCTGTTGGAGGTGCTAACTTTGAACTCTTGGACTTCAGTTTTTTTTTGTTGTTGTTGAGATGGAGTCTCGCTCTGTTGCCCAGGCTGGAGTGTGGTGGCACCATCTTGGTTCACTGCAACCTGCTCCTCCCAGGTTCAAGCGATTCTTCTGCCTCAGCCTCCCAAGTAGCTGGGACTACAGGTGTGTGCCACTATGCCCGGCTAATTTTTTGTATCTTTAGTAGATACGGGGTTTCACCATGTTGGCCAGGCTGGTCTCGAACTCCTGACCTCGTGATCTGCCCACCTCGGCCTCCCAAAGTGCTGGGATTACAGGCATGAGCTACTGCACCCTGCCTGTGTTCACATTTCTGACACTTCTTCAGCTTGAGGGGTCCATGCTAATTGGATCCTTATTGTGACCAGTGTTTTTATGCATACTAATTTGTTTAATCTGTACCTGATTGACATAGGTACTAATATCAGCACCGTTTTATGGATGAGGAGACTGAGGCACAGAGATAAACCACCTTGCCCAGGGTTCTATAGTCAGTCAGTGGCCAAGTTAGGATTCAGAGGTTGGAGGTCAGCCCGCTTGCTCCGGAGTCCACACTCTGAAACACTAGACTCTCGAAACAAACTGAATACATTAACATAATTAGGTGGCTTTTCCAGACTTTTGAGTGGAAGAAGTACAGCCACTGGATTCCTCTTTCTACAGACTTCAGTTTCGATTGTGGGCTGAATGTGCCCTCACATTTTGATAAGCCTAGGCCTGTGTGGGGTAAGTTTGGAGGGAAAAGAATTAGAGCAGGAGAGAATACACTGTAGAGAAAAGAGAGGAAAGAGGTCATTTTCCCCAAACCCGAAAGAACCCAGGCCCGTGGGCTCCCTGGCCTTGATCTGAAGTCTGGGAGCCATTGATTTGTATGCCCATTTCATTTCTCATGCCAGGACAATGCCACAGTCACTTTGACCTAATTGTATGGCTCCCCTGTTCCCTTCACTCTTTTCATCAAAGTGAATACATTTGTTGCTTTGGCAACTCGAGGTGTTAGAATCTTTTTTCTTTCCCCATCCCCGAAAGACAGTTGAGGGACTTGCTCCCCGAAAGACAGTTGAGGGACTTGCGTGATAGATTGTGAAGAAAAATCTGGGAATCATTTAAATTAGATTTTCAGGAATATGACTTATCTAACTCTGAGAAGCTGGGCAGAAGGCAGCCTCCTCGCCTGTTGACTCCTTCCTGCCTCTGCTAGCATTTCAGAACAACAGAAGCTTGCCTGGATCTTTTCTCACACGAGTTTTGGTCCTGGAGTCGCCATTGGAAGTCTAGTCAGGGTTGTCACCTTACTGTTGTAGGCAGAAACCACTACGCAGTGGGTTGAAGGAGCAGAAACTTCTTGGCAAAGGCGAATCAATGTGGGTTGGTAGGAATTTGCACTCCTCCCCCCCCTAGTTTTCTTAAAAACACTCTTGTAATGGGACAAATGTGACTGCTCAGAAGTTACCACAGGGGCCTTTTGGAATATTTTCATATTCCCCCATCTGTGGGAAGTGAGGGGCTATTAAGTATGTGTGTGTGTTGGTGGGGAGCAGTAACCGAGCAACTCCTTTGCTGGTGGGAGGGGATGCCATGGGCCAAGGGATTCCTTTGCATACCTTTGTCGAGGGCCCGATGGGGAGGGCTGTCGATGGGGAGGGCTGTCGTACCAGGTGAGATGCAATTAGCCATGGAAGCAGCAGTGTTTGGATCTCCAGCTCTCAGTCCAAGTATAAACCAGAGTTAAGCCTCAGTGTGGTGCTGGATTAGAAAGGAAATATGGCTGAATGGCCGGGCGCGGTGGCTTATGCCTGTAATCCCAGCACTTTGGGAGGCCAAGGTGGGTGGATCACGAGGTCAGGAGTTCCAGACCAGCCTGGCCAACATGGTGAAACCCTGTCTCTACTAAAAATACAAAAATTAGCTGGGCGTGGTGGTCAGCACCTGTAACCCCAGCTACTCGGGAAGCTGAGGCAGGAGAATCACTTGAACCCTGGAGGCAGAGGTTGCAGCAAGCCAAGATCGCACCAGTACACTCCAGCCAGGGTGACAGAGCAAGACTCTGTCTTGGCGTCAGGGGGTGGGGGTGGGGGTGGGGATTACAGAAAGAAAGAAAATACGGCTGAATGAAAGGTCAGGAGTGGATTCTGGGCCCTGACTGACCCAGTGTGATTCACAGACTCCTTCATTAGGAGCAGTCTGCTCAGAAATACCCTTTGCGTATATATTTAAAAGAGCTTTCTGTGTCATGTTTGAACTGTGACTTATTGGGGATTATTAACACTTGGTGGGGAAGGGAGGGAACAAAGAATCCTCAGCCCTTCATCTTAGAGGAGGGGACGATCCAGTTTGTGGATTGCCAGGACGCTTGTTTTGTCCCCTTCCTCCCCTGCTGCCCAGCCTTCTGGCTGTATTACTGCTTATTTGCCTCTTTGTTAGAGGGAGAAACAAAAGGAGTTCAGATTCAATGCCTGCTTTTGTTTTTGGGTTAGCAGCTTTGGTTGAAGTTTAGCTGAATGAGAGAGGAGAGGGAAAGGTAAAGACTGAGCTATCTGTTAAGGTTATTGACTAATTTAGATTGTATGCCATTCTGTCCCTTGCATGCTGTCTGCGAGGGCACAGCCATTATAAGCAGAGAGTGAAAAGGGAGATTGTGTATAACAGAAAGCCAAGGCGTTAGAGCCTAATTGGAAACAATACATGCCCCAAATGTGCTCTCGTGTCCTAGCCAAGAACATGGTTTCAAAAACATGAGAAATAAGGATAATGAAATGAAAAACACTTTAGAAAGCTTAGATACCTCAGGTATTGTATTGTGGGGGAAATGAAAAATTAAGTATTAGATTTATAT
Organism: Homo sapiens; assembly: GCF_000001405.40. NCBI lineage: Eukaryota > Metazoa > Chordata > Mammalia > Primates > Hominidae > Homo > Homo sapiens. Next base: position 152,453,984 of record NC_000002.12, read on the forward strand.
GTTTTCTGGCTGGGCGCAGTAGCTCACGCCTATAACCCCAGCACTTCGGGAGGCTGAGGTGGGTGGATCACTTGAGGGTCAGGAGTTCGAGACCAGCCTGGCCAACATGGTGAAACCCTGTCTCTGCTAAAAATACAAAAAAATTTAGCTGGGCATGGTGGCAGATGCCTGTAATCTCAGCTACTTGGGAGGCTGACACAGGAGAATCACTTGAATTTGGGAGGCAGCGGTTGAAGTGAGCCAATAGCATACCACTGCATTCCAGCCTGGGCCACAGAGCAAGACTCTGTCTCAAATAAAGAAAAAAAGTGGGTTTTTTCTTTGCAGTTGGGAAAAGAATATGAAATAAAGTGGCAAATATGGCTCATTTGATTATTTTCTTAATCTTTATTTTTTCTCTTGTATTAAATTTAAGACTGTAGACTTCCCACTAGATCTTGGAGACACTAAGGTGAAAATCTTCACACATTAAGTTGAAAATATCTCTTTTGGGTGGGTGTAATGTTTCACTTGTGAAAGAACTGTTAAAATCCTGCTGGATCACGGGTAGCATAGGGTGCAAAGGCACAGAAAAAGCTCATTTTTACTGAAGGAGTTTTAGAGCCTATGTCAGGTGACAAACTTTGTCTATTTCTGCCACCTTCCTGGAGTATTTGCTCCATTGTTGGCTTGCTGTGAAGGAATGTGGGCAGAAAGGGATGCTGGGAGCTCTTCATTAAGATCAAGGCCTAGTTCTTCAAGGACTACTGAATGATTGGACCTTTCATCAGCATACAAGAGGAAGGGATTGAGAGTGTCTGTTCATGCCATTGATTTAATTGGTCAGAGAAAGGGCCAAAGAAGGGGCAATAACCTCAGAGAAGAGCACTGACTGCCTGTAGCTGTTCTTACTCTGATTCTCAGGGCATTCCTGGAGGAGCTCCAGATACTGAGGGGAAGCTTGCATCAGTGCTGCGTCAGGGTGGGAAAAGCCCATCCTGATACCTTACTTTGAAGTAGACATGTCATTGAGAGGGTCCCCAGGCCTTTGTGAGGAGTCCTGGATGGAGGAAGAAACTATGCCACACAGAAGTCCTGGGGATGTTCAAAGCTGGCCTCAGAGGTTTTCTTTTCAAATGAGCATCCCTGGAACTGGGAGACAGCTCTTTCCTACAGAAGCTGAGAAGGGGAGGTCAGGCAGGGAGGGCAAGGGGAACACCAGCACCAGAAGGCAGACAGAAAAGAAAAAAATGAAGCAGATGGGAAGTACACTTGGAAAGGGTGGGAACAGGGTAGGGGCTGGCTACTTAAAAGGCAAGAGGATCAAGGCCTCGAGGAGAAAAAGCAAATAAAGAAGGAAATGGAATCAAATCAGATGAAGTCCTTTTAGGGGAAGGATGATGTGAACGAAACAAACAAATCAACAGAATGAGGAAAGGCACGGGTGAAACCACCAGAGGAAAGTTCCAGCCAGCACACAGGAGGGAGGAAAGCTCTTGTTTGAAATGGAAGCTGATGCTCTAAAGGAGCATTCAGGGTTTGGAGCAACATTTAGATATGGGGGCCACTGAAGCTTCCATTTGTTTACTGAGCACCTACCACAGGCTGGGTGCTGTACTAAGACTTAACAAAATAAAGATGAATACAACACAGTTCTTCATGGGACTCATAATGGATGACAAACATAAGCAGGTAGCTTTTAAACATTACCATAATTGTAGTGATATGGATATATATTTCATGTCATATCATATTTTTCTTTTGTTTTTTGAGAATGAGCCTTGTTCTGTCACCCCGCCTAGAGTGTAGTGGTGTGATCATAGCTCACTGCAACCTTGACCTCCTGGGCCCGAGTGATCCTCCCACCTCAGCCCCCTGAGTAGCTGAGACCAGAGGCAGGTGCCACCACACTTGGCTTATTTTTTAAATTTTTGTAGAGACGGGGTCTCACTACGTTGCCCAGTGTGGTCTTTTAACTCCTAGCCTCAATTGATCCTCCCACCTCGGCCTCCCGAAGTGTTGGGATTACAGGCATGAGCTGCTGCACCTGGCTTCATATTTTTCTTCATTGGATGATGCCCACAAAGTTTCAGTGCAATGTATGTCTTGACTAATGCATTTGAATATAAAGGTAGAACATTAGATAAATGCTAGAAGGGAAGGTTTGAGTCAGAAATTTTGTCCTTTCTCTAAGCTCCCTAAAGGTGTAAATTTATTTGACAAGCTCTTATTTTGATCAAATTTTCTTTCCAACTATCCTCTCACTAGAAAGAGGAAGAAGACTTTGTGTTAACTCAATTTTTTAGAATTGTGGATTTGGTAGATGAGGTTGAAAAGGTAAATAAGTGATCACCTTGATCTCTTACCTGTTTTAGTGAGTCAGAAGCAAGAAGAGTGCTAGAATGTTGATTGATTGTTTTGTGGAGACAGGGTTTCGCCATGTTGCCTAGGCTGGTCTTGAATTCCTGACCTCAAGCGGTCTTCCTGCCTTGGCCTCCCAAAGTGCTGGGAATATAGGCATGAGTCACTGTGCCCAAGAATGTTGAATTTAACACATTGTCTGAAAACTAGATGAGTGGCTTCTTGCTTCTGAAGAATGTGATGTGCTGCTTGATTCAAGACCGATTTATAATATGCCCTTCAGTTTACTCTTCTTTGTTACAATATGGAGAGAAGTGGTGTATTTTGAAAACATTTGGGGCCGGGCGCGGTAGCTCACGCCTGTAATCCCAGCACTTTAGGAGACTGAGGGGGGCGAATCACGAGGTCAGGAGTTTGAGACCAGCCTGACCAACATGGTGAAACCCTGTCTCTACTAAAAAAAATACAAAAATTAACCAGGCGTGGCACCTGTAGTCCCAGCTACTCAGGAGGCTGAGGCAGGAGAATCGCTTGAACTTGGGAGGTGGAGGTTGCAGTGAGCCAAGATTGCGCCACTACACTCCAGCCTGATGACAGAGTGAGACTCCCTTTCAAAAAAAAAAAAAAAAAAATTGCTACAAAGGAATCCCCTTTGGGGGAGTTTCATGATTAAAATATTTTTGAGTGACACTATACTTGCTACCAATTCTGGTTATGATAATGTGTAGCTTTTAGTGCCCGAAGAATGGAGTTGACTGTTAAACAGTCTGGTAAATATTGGAAATAAATTAGAGTTGTGGACAAGAAGTAAAGAAAGTTATCAGAGTTGGATAAGGAATTTGGAGAGCTCAGAGGGAGATGGTAAAAAAAAAAAAAAGTTGAGAAATTAAGATTTGTTTGTTAGTTTATTGAATGTCTACTATGGTAGGATCTAGCAAAATAAAGATGAATACAACACTTCTCCATGGAACTCAGAATGGGGTGACTAACATGAACAAGTGGCTTTTAAACATTCCCATCATTGTGGTGATATGGATTTGCTCTAAGACTTCCCTTGTTTTTCAAGATAAGTGAGGCTGGGAGAGAAGTCTTTGAAGCTGATGTTAGATGAAGATGTGCTAACTAGACTGGTGCCTAACTATCCCTTCTTCACACCTGTGACTTTAAGTCTCCAAAGTAGTGACACTTACCACACAGACTTCAGGGTCCACATTCAACTTAAGAAATCTCTCTCAACTCTTTGTGGTGGGTGGATGTGGATCTGAGATCACAGTGTATAGCAGAGAAGTCCTTTGTAAGAAAAAAATGACCAAAAGATGTATGTTTTCTATTGCTACTGGAACAAATTACCACACATTTAATGGCATGAAATAACACAGATTTATCATTTTATAGTTCTGGCAGTCAGAAGTCCAACATGGGTCCCACTGGGCTAAAACCAAGGTGTTGGCAGGGCTGTGTTCCTTCTGGAGGGCTCTAGGGGACAATCTGTTTCCTGGCTATTTCCAGCTTTTAGAAGCCACCACCTTCTTTGGCTTGTGGCCCCCTTCCTCCATATTCAATGCAAATAATGTCAGGGCAAGACCTTCTCATGCTTGCATGTCCCCAGTTTTTTGGCTACAACCTCAGAAGGTTCTCCATCTATGAGGATTCATGTGATTAGATTGGGCCCACCCAGATAATCCAGGATAATCTCACTTTCACAAGGTCTTTAACTTTAATCATATCTGCAAAGTCTCCTTTGCCATGTATGGTAACATATTCATAGGTTCTGGGGATTGGGATGGGTATATCTTTAGGGACCATTATTCTGCCTATCAAAGAAGGGGGGCTTGGCCCTTTCTGTAGTGCCTGTGGCTCTCTAACCCAGTTGAATGGGCCTCTATATTAGTTTTCCTTCAGATTTCTATACCTGTACCATAATTGCTAGACAGCCCCATTTGATATATTATTCCCTGACTCAGAAATACTCCTTGGCTTGGCACTCAGAGAACTCCATAGTGGGGTCCTTACCCCTTCTTATCTTAGTCCGGAGCAATAACTCTGTTCTGGTTGGATGTGTTTACTCACTGTTGCCCTTCATTCCCTGTTCTGTTGACTGCACATTTCTGACTCCCTGCCTGGGTCATTCCTTCCAAACCAGAATGTGCCCTTCCCTTATTTCTGCCCATTCTTTCTATGAAATCCTGCGACATTGGCCATCCTCACTCCACATTTGGAGTTTATCATAATTACCTAGTACTGTTATTTAACTTTCACAAGAATGCATTTGCTCTTTCCATCTATACCACCATCCTAAAATACTTGGTAAAGTCAGTCTTGGGATTTACCCTCAGAGACACTGATTACATGTTCTGGTATGGGGTCAAGAAGTTTGGCATGAAACGGCCTCTGTGGGTGATGCTGGTATAGGTGGCCCCACGTGATGCTGTGCGGGAAACTCCTTGAGGGAGGATAATTGACCTTTCACCCAGAGTGATAGGCATCATGCTTTACATGTAGGTGGAGGTTATTATATTTCTGGGAAACGATACCAGTTTTCTGAAGGCAAGTTTTAATGAAGAGAGTGTGTCTTGTGGGAAGTGTGTAATAGAGTTAAGGGCACCAAACTGTGCACCATCGTTTTGGAACCAACTGCTGAGTGTGAAAATTCAAAGGTGTACAGAGAGTCAGTCTATGTCCCAGAGTGGACATGGTAAGACAGTACAGTTGAGAATTGGTAATAACCATTGTAATGGCAAAATCACCAAACCTCTAGATTTTTTTTGTTTACTTTTTCTGTGTTTCAGGGACTTTATGCAGATTATCAAAAGCAGAAATTTTGTCATGGAAAAGATTTGAAAAAATGGAAGATGGCCAATTTTTGAGAACATATGGAGAGAACTCTCTGCTTTCAGTGCTCATTGTGATAACTAGTTCTTCTTGATGACTGGAATGCAAAGAACACCCAAAGATCTGAATTCGCACTGAACCAAGCATTTTTGGAATGAGGTCTTTCATGAATATGCCATGATTTTGATTTCTGCTTTTGTTAAGACTGCAATGGAGCCTTTGTTATTTTCTTGATTCCCTGAAGAGTTCTAGATTCCCTGAAGAGTTGAGTCTAAGTGATTGATTTATATACAAAATTGATTTTGCCTTTTTACGTTATTTTGGGATCTTATAGCATAAAATAAAACTTACTAATAGGCATATTAAGCAAAATGTTTTTTGTTTCTTTCAATTTTGTGCCTTTTATTACTTTTCCTATCAACTTTATAGACGTTGAAAGGGAAGACATCTGTTTTCATTGAGAGAAGATCTTTTAAAAAACGAGCTATTTCAGAGTTCCTATTATAATAGGGTTCTACCTATTGTAAATAAAAGAAGTTAATCTGGGCCAGATGAGGTATTAAAAATAACAGATAACTATGTGAATACACTAAAATCTATTGAGTTGCATACTTTAAATGGGTGCTTTGTATGGTATGTGAAATATATCTCAACAAAGCTGCAAAAGAAAAAATACATAAATAGGTAAAATGGAAAAGAAAAAAACCCCAGATGTTTCTGTGAGCTCTTGGAAGCTGTCACAGTGGTGAGACACTTGTTTTAGAAATCACCAAAATTTTCGTTTGAGTCCCTAGTCACCAAATAAACATAGGAAATTTTTTCATATTATCTTTTGTTGAAAGAAGAGCTATTTTAAGATAAATCATGCTAGGCACTTTAATAACAGTGTTTGAGTCAATTTAAGTCAGTTCTCTATTTAACTATTAAATATAAATATTCTGTGAATCAAGTAGGCTGTGAAAATTTATGTCCTTTTCGCAGTGGGCTCATTTATATACGTAGTGGGCATATTATGTTCATTTGGTGGTCTGATGATACCTGATTGAAATAACCCAAATGGGACCAATAGGGACAAAGAATAGCATGTTCTATCCATGTAGAACTAAATTGAAATATTGGTAATTAATGTGTTTATTTGGTTTCATATGTTTGAATTTGTTTTTAGCAGCCATTATATGGTACTGTGTCCTGCCAGATAAAAGACTGAAGAAAGTTATCATCCAAGTTCTTACCGTATGCCTTGCTTCTGGATGAAAACTGATTTGTCACAAAGCTCAGTTAAAATTCACTACAGTGTAATTTTAACAAACTTGAGAGTGGTCAAAGTATTTTGGCCTTGTAATGAATTGAGCCAGTATTTGTTGAATATCTTTCTTTCCCACAACTGCCCTCTTCATAGAGCAGGGGTCCCCAACCCCCGGGCCACGGACCTGTTAGGAACCAGGCCGCACAAGGGGCAAGTGAGCAAAGCTTTGTTTGTGTTTACAGTGCTCCCCATCACTTGCATTACTGCTTGAGCCCTGCCTCCTGTCAGATCAGCAGCAGCATTAGATTCTCATAGGAGTGTGAATCCTATTGTGAACTGCACGTGTGAGGGATCTAGGTTATATGCTCCTTGTGAGAATCCAATGCCTGATGATCTGTTACCGTCTCCCATCACCCCTGGATGGGACTGTCTAGTTGCAGGAACACAAGCTCAGGGCTCCCATTGATTCTACATTATAGTGAATTGTATAATTATTTCGTTATATATTACAATGTAATAATAATAGAAATAAAGCACACAATGAATGTAATGTACTTGAATCATCCCCAAACCATCTCCCCCTTGCCTCCCCACTACCTGGTCCATGGAAAAATGATCTTCCACGAAACCGGTCCCTGGTTCCTGGTACCAGAAAGGTTGGGGGCTGCTGCTGTAGAGGATAAGAAAAGAGTAATATGACCTCTGCCTTCAAAGAATTGATAATTTGGAACAGAGCTGAACAATAGAAATATGTGAACCATATGATGAACTTTAAATTTCCCAGTAGCCACGTTAGGAGATAAGAAAGAAACAGTTCACCTGGTTAGATAGATGGTGAAGAAAATGAGAAAAGAACAGATTTCGGAATTATTTTTAATGTATTTTATTTAACCCAGTATATTAAAATATCATTCCAACATGTAATCAATATAAAGATTACTAGTGAGATATTTTACTTTTTTTTAAACATATGAAGTCTTTGAGATCTGGTGTATGATTTACTCCTAATGCACATCTCAATTTGATGTTGAATTTTTGTTGGAAATATTTGATCTGTATTTAGATTATAAAATTTAGAGTCAAAAAAGTAGATTCACATACCACATTTGTTCCAGTTATACTTAAAAGTTTTTCAATAACTGAGTCAAACATGTTTTAAAATCTGAATTAAAAATTAATTTAAATTAATATTAAAAATTCAATTCTTTCTTCACCCTAAACATATTTCAAATGCCAATAGCCTTGTGCAGCTGGCAGCTACTGTATTTAACAGCACAGATATGGATGTTGAGAGAAGACTTTTCTACCTTTAATACTTAAATAATCAAGGTGATATGTAATTACAAAAAGAATTTTGTTCTTCTTTTGTATAGGATGGTTTTGTGCTACAGACTAGCTAGAGCTTCACTGTCTAATAGAACTTTCTGTGATGAAAATGTGCAATGTTGGCACAGTCCAGTCCAGTAAAGGTAGTCACTAGCCCTACATAGCTTTTTTTCTTTTTAATTTTTTTGAGACAAGATCTCTCTTTGTTGCCCAGCGTGGAGTGTGATGTGCAATCACTGCTCACTGCAGCCTCAACTTCCAAGTCTCAAGCAATCCTCCCACCTCAGTCTCCCAAGTAACTGGGACTAGAGGTGTGTACCATCGTGCCCTGCTAATTTTTAAATTTTTTGTAGAGATAGGATTTTGCTTAAGTAATCCTCCTGCCTCAACCTCCCAAAGTGTTGGGATTACATGTGGGAGCCCTTGGGCCTGGCCACCTACGTAGCTTTTGAAGACTTGAAATGTGGCAAGTACAACTAGGAACTGAATTTTAATCTTGTTTATTTCAAGTGTGAGTAGCTACATAGGGCTAGTGGCTGTCGTACTCAACTAGAGACTCATAAAGGAGCCACAATTTGAATTAGTTTAGGCAGTGAGAAAATGATTAAGACATTAGGAGAATAGCTTAGACCAGTGGTTTTCAAACATTACTGCACACTGGAATTATAGGGGGATTTTTAAAAAAACCTCTGATTGTCTGCCACTCCCACACATTCTGGTTTAATTGATGGAGATGACCTAGTCATTCGGAGTTTACAAAGCTCCCCAGGTGATTGTGATGTATAACAAATTTGGGAACAGATCTATGCTTGTATTATAAATTCTCCACAAATCTATTTCCTTGCTATTCATATTATATGTAAGTTTGCTAGGAACAAGAACAAATAAAGAAGGAACCACATCAATACCTTGTGTTTGCTAGATTCCTAAGACTACTACATATATACTCTTAATTGATCATACCCTGTGCATTAGATGGGGTAGAAATGATCCCACTTGGCTAACAAAAAGAGATTCAAAGGTTAGTTGACTTGCTGAAGGTCACATAGCTGGGGGGTGATGGAGTCCTGTCTTAAACCTGGATCTCATGTTTCTGCCACCACATAAGCAGAGAAATGTAGCGTATCCAGCTTCCTCCAATTCGTGGCTTGTTTTCTCTCTCTTCATAATAGAGCCCTTGTGCTTGGATTTATAAAGAATGTTTCTTTTGATATTTAGGGGGAAAAAATCTCATTAACAATTGGATGTTTGTAGTCCAACAGATTCGTTATCCTCTAAGGGGCACTGTGTTGGGTGTTAGCAGTTCTCTGCTCTCTTCCTGGTACAACATATGATCTTGGTGACCTTGGGTTAGCCAGTTAGCACGTCGGATTTCTAGTTGTTAGAAGAGGAGTTATCAAACCTGTTTGTTCTATCTCTTAAAGGATTGTTGTCAAAAAATATCATTGCTTTGTAATGGAGACCAACATTTATACTTCTGCAGTTATACTTGCTCCTGAAATAAATTTTTTTCTTACCTTTTTGAAATAATAGTTTTTAAAATTGAGCCATTTTCATATGTTAGACATGAATTAATTCAACCCTCACAACAGCCCTGGGAGATAGGGCCTATTACCCTTCTCTTGGTGATGAAGAAATCAAGGTTCAGTGACTTGCTGAAGGTCACACATCTTATTAGAGACAGAGCTGGGATTAGAACCAAGGTGGTTTTGCTTCAAAGCCTATGGTATTATCTGCTCCAGAGAACTAAATCATACCCTTGTGGCCTGAGTGCAATTTGCCTTTAATAGGATGTTTACTGCCTTCTGCATTACTGGTACCAAGGGGTGGCAAGATTTCACTAGTGACTTTGAAGTTCCCCTCTTAGACTTGTAATAGATGGTGGATATTTCCTCAGTCTTAGATAAAATAAAAGCATCTTCAGAAAATATTGCTACTCATGTGTCTCAAATTTAGGAGCAGTGAGCTTGCCATGCAAAGGTAGCTTTCAGACCATCCCCTTTCCCTCTCCCCTAGTTTTTCTAATAGGTATCCTAGAGCTCCCGGTACTACTCAGCCAGGATTTAATTTGAAATGAGTTAGTTTATAATGAATTGAATGTTGTTTTTTTTTCTCCCTGGCTTTTCCCATTTGGAGAAAAACACTTCAAACCTAGAACAGGTATCTGCTTTGTTTGATGGTTAATTTTCTTTCTTCCTTTGTGTGTGTGTATGTGTGTGTTTTGAGATGGAGTCTCGCTCTATCACCCAAGCTGGAGTGCAATGGTGCAGTCTTGGCTCACTGCAACCTCTGACTCGCAGGTTCAAGCGATTCTCCTGCCTCAGTCTCCTGAGTAGCTGGGTTTACAGGCATATGCAACGATGCCTGGCTAATTTTTTATTTTTTTTGGTATTTTTAGTAGAGACAGGGTTTCACCACGTTGACCAATCTGGTCTTGAACTCCTGACCTCAGGTGATCCGCCGACCTTGGCCTCCCAAAGTGCTGGGATTACAGGTGTGAGCCCCCGCACTCAGCCACTGATGGTTAATTTTCAAATGTATCTTCCTCCTCTGCTTTTCTGTGGGTGCCAACAAATAGAATGGTGGGTTTGTTTGTTATTCTTAACTCCTTTGGCTGGCTTTAAACATGTTCTCTTTTTAGCCTTATTTTTCTAAAAGCTTAGTGCAGAAATTTCTTGTTTGGCTTCCACTCTTCAGGGTGTGATAATTCCCAAGGTCTCTCTCTAGCTCCTCAGGAATGTACCCCCCTGATGGACTGAAATTTGTCCACTCCAGTGAAATTGTTTGGGGGAGAAGGGAGCAGAGTACACGTTCAAGATGTTTTCTCCCAGCATTTGTCTGTTGATGAGCTTTTGTAATTTCCATTTCACTGTCCTTGCCCCAGAGGATAACCTTGGATCTCAGTGTAGACTAGATTGAGTGTAAAATGAGTTAGCACAAATGAAGTGGAAACAGATCAGCGTGTGAGGAGGAGGCTCAGACGCTAAATCCTCTAGTTGGGTAAAGTTGAAAGCATTTTCCTCAGAGCCTCCCTGGGAATGCTTGTCCTATTTCTCAGAGAAATAAGCTACTGTGTGCATGTTGTTGCTGTTGATGCCTTTGACATTTGTGCTTAGCGAAGTGGAGGGTTCTGTGGGGGATACCAAAAAATTGCCCTAATCTCTGTCCTCAGGAATCTTATTGAGAAGGGGAGATGACCTGATTGCTAGACATCCATCTAGCTTCCCTCTGCTAGGCACGAGATGTACAAAGGTTTAAAAAGAGCCATGAATGCTAACTTCTTGGCTTACAGCTTAGCAGGGAACTCAGCCATGACTTGTAATACAGTGGGATCAGTACTACCATGGCAGCATCAACAAGAAACAAGTGCGATCTCATAGCCCTGCGCAAGTAGTGAACTACCAGCAAAGTCGGAGAGGCTTCATAGAGAAGGGGAGTTGAGCAGAGTTCTGAAAAGACTCCCCTCTGACTAGTGGGACAGGGCATTCGTGCAGGCAAGAACACCCTGTGCGAAGGCACTGAGGTGTGAAGCAGCCTGGTGTGTTGGTGAGTGCTCCACAAGAGCCATGTCAGACCTCAATTCAGTGCTATTTTGTGTGTTGCAGGCAGGAGGTTCAAAGGAGCCCGAGAGCAGGAAGGCTGACCAAGCCAGATTTGGAAATACTTGGCTGGGATGTTCCTGGTCAGTGGGCTATTTGGGCAAAGTGGTTAAAGTGGGACAAAGGCACAGGGAAGGAATCCATGGAGGGAAGGGGAGAAATGGCTCCTTTAGTATCTTGAATGAGGCTTTTGGATGTGAGTCCAGGTACAGTGCTATAGTTTAATTGCTTTTGCTTCTGTTTCTTTAAGGATACATTGCACTTAAACCCCAGTAATTATTCCAGATTTTGTTAGTGGATATATCCCCACCCCCCATCTGGCTCAAGCTAAGCAGTTGGCATAAGTAGGGGAACAGAAGGCTCAGAATTGTCCACTGGAAGTACTCGGCTTTTCTTTGGAGAGATCAGGTTTCTTCCATGGGAAAATGATGTCAACACACTTATCTTAGCACTTTGCCTCGAGGGCACCTGTGGGCTTGCGCCTAGAGCAAAGGAAAGGGGTTCCCTAAAACTTCCTTTCTGTTTTGGGAACATGGAGATGTGATAGAATATCCCTGATAAAAGCATCAGTTTATGGTGGAGGTGAGAGTTTATGACCAGGACCAGAAAGTTGCTAGAAAGGTTGCTAAGTGGAGAATTATGGTTGGTTATTTTCAGGAAGCAACTTAATGTTGTGGGAAGAAGCACTGGACTAGGATTTGGGAAATTTGAGGTCTAATCTTGATTTTACCTTAACTAATAAGATGATCTTGATCTTTCTGAGCCATGGTTTCCTAACAGGCAAATAAGGAGACTGGTTAGGAGACTCAAGAGAGCATATAGCAGGTGTGGTAAACCATGCAGCACTTTATAGTGTGAGGACTGTCTGAACCCTGTCACTTGGCGCCTCCATCCGGACACCACGTGTGCCCTCCTGCCCGCTGCGGGGGAGGACATGCCCCTGATGGGTCTGGGCTGCACTGGCCTCTGGGTGACTCATTGGCGTTTTGTAAACCACCTTATCTTTGAAGAAAATGTTTTCCACTACTAGTAAAATTTCTTTCTTTTCTGTCTTTATTTGTTTCTCTTTAAAGTTTTCTTAAACTGAGCTAACTTCAAAGAAGTATCTGGAATTCTCTTCTTCCTCCTTAACCACTTATAGCCCCCTTATCCCCAGTCATCATTGTAGTATATCTAATTGTTGGTGGATATAATGTGGGCCACTTTGGATTTGAGTAGTCAAAATCAGAGCCTGGCTAGTAATTGGGTTTGAAGGAGAGTTGAGCTGAAGTCATCTCATGAAACAAAAATGGCAAAAGACCATCCTATTAACACTGGACTTCCTTTGTCTTCCTTCATAAGATCCCTCAGGCTTTCCTTAGTATTAAGGAGCAGGGGGAGAAGACGGTGGCATATACTGCCCTTTAAATATGGCATTTCTGAACTTAGCTCTCCTTGTACTTTATCAAGTGAGTTGTCTTCCTCTCTCAACTAGATCCAAAGAAACATGGCAGCCTCTGCAGTCCCCGTGAAGTGCTGTGAGTGGGATGCCAGCAATAAAATCATGTCTTTCTATGGATTTTTGGTTGGTGTTCTAAGGCTTGCCGCTTCTCTTCCTAATAAGCCTGCACCGATTTTGTCCCTGAAGATTTGAGGCTGTGAAATATTCTTCCTTCTTCCTGCCTCCTCCAGTCTGGGAAGCTTCACTTATAGCCAGAGGGCTGAGTGAGGTACAGCTACTCCTACAATGAGGCAAGCCTTAGTGTTCTTGGCTTGCTTCACTGTGTTTCTGACACTGCCTTACCTTAACTCTTGAGTAAGCCCCGTTTCCTGGGCAGAATCTCACTTCTCCTTTCTTGCTGGTCATTTGGCTCTTTTTTTTCTGACAAGAGCTGGATCTTGCTTGTTTACCATCTACCCCAGCACCTTATTCTTTTTTCTTGGAAGTGCCAACATATTCCTCTACGTGCTGAACCTGTTCAGTAATTCTTGTTGGATTGTCATTCCTTTGGCAAACTGAAATGAAACACACAAATCTCAAAATAGATGTAACCAGACTCCTCAAACTTAATAAATACCGTATGTGCTTACACTAGGAATCTTGCTTGTCCCGTTTGTTAACGGGTACTTCACCCCACTCTCCTGCCTCCTGCTTCTTCCCTCGGCCCCTGTTTCCTACAAATCGAAGGCTGACAGAGCTTTTCCCCTGTGAATGCTGCTGACTTTACCAGCAGCTCATCCTGTGTAGTTACGCTGCATCTTTTGATGCCGTGCACTCGTTTGGATAGTATATGCTGTTTAAGGAACTGTCTGTGCTTGTATTATTTTGTTTGTGGAGGATGTAAATGATATAGGGTTAATTCTGATTGCCATCTTCATAGTGAGCTCGCTGTGGACTTTATCAGTATGTACACAGCATATGCATGTGTGCACACAATAGGTTTTGCCATGGAGTGCTTCTTTCTTCCGAGAGCAGGCCTGGTCAACTGTTGATGCAAGCAACAACATTTGTTTATTGAGTTCTTAATCTGCCAGGCACTGTGCTAAGCTATGTGTGTTTTAGCTCATTTAATTGTCAAAATAACTTGGTTAGGTAGGTACTGTTGTCATCATCACCCCATTTTAGGAGGACCTGAAGCATGGAGTTGTTAAGCTACTTGCAAGTGATCAGAAGATCTGGATTTTCAAGCTGGGCAGTTGGCCTCCAGAGCTCAGGCTCTTACCCATTTCTAAATCACTGCTCCTAAGTTGCTAAGGCAAATGATTGAACCAGGAATTGGTTTAGCCCCTGAATGACAAAGCATAGAGTAGTCATGGCTTCAGTGTAGCACTGATACCTTTATTTGAGGGATTCTGAAGAATTCTGACTTTATTACAGCCCTTGAGGCCTTTGATTAAGAAACTAATTCCCCTGATACATAATGAGATTTCTCTCTTGTTTCCTCAAAAGTGAGTGTGTATAGATCTAGGGCTGTGCCGTCCGATACAGGAACCACCAGCCTTTGAGGTTGTGGAGCACTTGAAATGTGGCTAGTGTAACCTAGGAGCAAACAGTTTAAGTTTATTTCAGTTCAATTAATTTACATTTAAAAACACTTCAGTTACTGGAAAACTTTTTCTGTATTTGGAACAACTTGGGTATGTGAACCTGTTTTTTTTTCATTTGTATATTTTATGAAATCTAAACATAAGTGTATCTGCTGAAAATTTAGCATGTGAATTACAATGTGCTGTAAGTAAAAATACACAAGATTTCAAAAGCTTATTTTGCATTTTTTCCCCTACTTCATTAATAATTTTATGTTGGTTACATATTGAAATGATATACCTTATTTAAGCCAGTATATCCAAAACATTATTGAAATCAGTTTCTTCTTTTTACTTTTTAATGTAGCTACTAGAAAATTTAATTCCATATGTGCTTCTCATTTTAATTCTTTTAGACAATGCTGTTTTAGAGCATAGATGTGAATACTCCCCTGTACAACAATACCTTACTGAAGCAAGTGCTCAAAAGATAATTATTGAATAGGTGATTTGAGGGTGGGAGCTGGCTAGAGAACTCATTCAATGGGGAGAGATAATGGAACCTGATTACTTTGTTGAAATTGGTACTTTAGGATATAAATGAAGTAATAATGATGCATAATAGACTCCACATAACATACACAATGCTTTATAGCCCTTTCTGTAAATTACCTCTTTGACTCACAACGTGATAAAATGAAAGTGGAGAAAATTAACATGAGCCAATTACTCTTGTTCAGATTGAGTTTCCTGTTTCTGCCATGAGCTGGAATACACTGACGCTGTTGATTCGTTTTTCTTCCTTTTGGGTGGATTTTGCAATTAAGCATATGAAGCCCTCCAGGACAGGCCTCCTCCTGGCTTCTTTTGCCTTCTTGTCTGCTGCTCACCACTTCCCTTGTCATCTGAGAACCTTTGCATACGTGTCATTTCAGCTCTTCCTGATATCATGTGTAACACCGAGGAGGAAGTCAGTGCCTCTGGAATCAGAATTAAGTCTCTGCATTGCCTTGGGACACCCCATGCCTTGAGAAGTGACACAGCTATTGTCAACACCTCTCATTATCCACCTACTTCTGACTACTTTTCTCTAGCCTCCTTGGCTAGTATCCCTTTTCCCACATGCTCCCTAAATGTTTGTTTGCACCCACAGCTGCACCCGTCTTCTGACTCATGCCATTTCTTTGTTATTCTGCATGTTGCCTGAGCCTTCCTATTCACTCTCAGGACTTCTGCTCCCCCTTGCGTGGCCTGTCCAGTGGTTGTCAAATTGGGGTGGAAATGCTGAACCTCCTGTGTCCTTATGCTCCGCTTGGAGAGGTCATCAATTGAAAATTCTTTGCTTAATTGAGCATGCAATTAAGAGTAAGGAAATACATGTTCTGATCTTTTTCTTCTGCTATGTTTTCTGGTTATAATTTTTTTAAAAAGAAAATAATGTCTCCGTCCTTTAGTTTTCCCACCTTGTAAAATGGGAGCAGTATGTGCATCCTAAGGCTAGTCTGAAGAAGCATTATGCCGTCATAGAGAAACACAGTAATTCTATGGTGTGCCGTATTTGGCTGTATACTGCATTTTAGAGTAGTTAACTACCATTGGATTTGAAATAGTACATGAAACTGAAACACTGCATTTATTAATGAGGGTAATTTATTCCTAGGAAACCTTTTTAAAAATGAATGTCTCCTTTAAGTGTTTGTTGGTTTCCCCTTTCCTGACCATACCCTCCCTGCTTTGTGTCTGTGTTATTTCTTTTAAAATTTCAAATAGATTTGAATAACTTAGCTTAAAAGATAGCCTCTCCCCTCCCTAATAAAGGACAAAGGTGGCTATTTTAGAGGTGGGTGATATTTGAGGCTGAATAATGCAATGTTTACGGCATACACAGGAAGTGGGAAGACCTGGGTTCTGGTTCCATTTCTGCCTTTTCAATCATTTTGTGAGCTGAGCAAGTCCCGTAATCTCAGGTGATGTGTATGTCCCTTAGCACAGGGCCTGTTCTCTAGTAATTGCTCAATAAATATTAACCATTATTATTGGTTGTCTTCTGAGAATATCACTTGAAGATTTAGATGAAAGTATTTGGAAGATTGCTGTCTACGATTTGTCAACCGTGGCTGACAACTAGGACGTGGGAAAGTAGAGAAGAAGCTGATAAAGATGAAAAGCTCATCTATAGAAAGATATTGAAAATTTATTTCTTCTAGATTACAAAATGACATTAGATATTATACCCTATGAGAAAAAATACGCTTAATCAACCCATTTTCCTCTTATGGCCATAATTAGTACATAGTCGCATCAATAAAGATTGACAATATAGCCTTCTCATATTGCCACTTCTAGATCCACTTGTAGGCTTAATTTTGGATCATATGCCGGATTTGAATTGTATTATGGAATCACAGAGATTGTCATGGTGATATGCAGTTCCAGGAAGGAGTGAATCGTATGTTCTGGTTATTACATGAATGAGAGACCTAAGAGCTCAGTTAGCCAATTTAACATCTAGTCAAAGGTACTGTGGCTAAGGGATTAAATATGGTTCTCATTTGAAAGTGGGAGCAGAGCAGGAACTTTGTAGTTGTGTGTTCTTTTAATAAAGGCTATTAATTTAGTTTTTTAAAAAAGAATTGGCCTCCTACCACCAGCTAACTGTCATTGCTGTTCATTTCTGTTAGTATGACCAAGCCCTGTTCTGTGGAAGTGTTACAGAATGTTTGGCTTCACATAAGAGACCTCCCTTTCATGTCTAAAGAGGCAAGGAATGTAATTTTAGGTTGTTTGGAAGATCTAATTTTCAAAGCTGTGTGATTTAAAGAAAAAAAAAAAAAGCAGAAAAGTCCCGTACGCTGTCGTTTGCTTAGTCTTATCTGAGGTGCCCTTACATTTTGCTCTTTGTACCGTTTGAACAGCCAAGGAATATTAGTTTAACTCCTAGGTAATTTGGGACCACGTTTTGTCTTTTGGAAAATGCAGTTACAAATCAGTTTTTTACAAAACAAAGTGAGGCTGTTCAGCCCTTCATTTTGATCCTCTGAGGAGTGAGGCTGTTTAGATTGAGCAAGTAAGATGTATTTATTCTTGACAAAGAAAGCCAAATTATTTACCAGAAAGCTCTTTTAGTTTCCTGTACCTAGCACTTGACTGCAGGGTGCCTTAAAAAAGCAAGGGACCAAAAATAAGCAAAAGAATGAGCTCTCAGTATAGTCCACGTGGGGGTGGGCGTCCGGCGCCTGGTTCTGTAGCAGCCCCACTCCAGAACTGGAGCCAACATTTGTTTCCTTGTGGTTACATTTAGAAACTTTTAACCTTGGCTTCTCACACTCCCTGAACTTTATAAATAGGAACCTCTTCATATACTAGATGGCTTGGAGGCCTGTTACGAGTTCGTTTGAGGTTCTGGATGATGGTGATGTTTGGGAAATGGTGATGTTTGCTAATAACACTGCCAAGACTTTTCTTTGGAAACGGAAGTCCACCTTGGTGTGTTTTTTTAACCCAGTGTTTCTCAGGTGTAGAAGCATAATGAAAGCTTTTGAAAATTTCAAATTCCAGGCTATACCCTGTACTGCCTGGATCACAGTTTCAGTAGTGCGACTCCGGTAGCAGTATTTTTTAAAGCTCCTCATTCCAGCAATAACCCAACACTAACAGCTGATCACATCTGCTCTAATCTGAGACTGGATTGTGCACTAGCCATAAGGAGCTTTCTTTCAAATGCAAAATGATGGCATAACAGAAGTGTTCTTATTGTGATACTATAATCAAACAGAGTGATTTCATTGCTTCGATTAATATAGTCTTTCTACATTATAATAGCACAGGCTTGATGAACCAAGCATATCATAATTATCCTTTATTGAAATAGAAACCTCCCAGCAGTGTCCTGAAGGGTCTTTAAGTACCTTGAGGTAGTACCTTCTAATTACCATTAATAAAAGATCAACAGGTTTTAGATATCCAATTAGTGTGTACGAAATTATCCTGGTCACTTATGTCTCAGTTTGTGCTTTTTTGTGCAGGTCCACAACCCTATGTTAATATTTTTGATTGAAAAGCTTCAAAAAAGATTTTTTTCTTTTAAAAGAACTCATTTTATTTACAAAGCCTGGCCAGACCTGAGCTCACCTGGCAGCCAACCTGACCTCAGCTAAAGGGAAGCTACTTACAGTCTTTATCCCAGTTGTGTTTGAGTACAAACATCCTAATGCTTTGACTATGGGATACTGCCCCAGATATGGCTGCCTTAAGGAGTACAAGGCGTATGCATTATCTTTATTACCTTTCCAAATTCCCAAAGAATTGTGAATTGCAAAAGACATCAGGCTCCAGGCAATTCAGATAAGGGACTGGTGGACCTGTGTTGTCATCAGGCCAATTCCAGGGTCTCATTTGCAATCACATAGTTTTCCTGCTCATTCCAGCCCTCTGCCACTGTGTGACCTTGGGCAAGTAACTTGACCTTTTTGAGCCTAAGTTTCCTGTCTGTAAAGTGGTGCAAATGATGATAATCTGTCTTAAGGGTATTGTGAAGATTAAGAGAAATAATGTGCACAGAGTGTTTTAAAAATAGAAGTTTAAGGAACTCGTGAATACAAGTTCTTCCTTTGGGCACTGTGATGGCACATGGTAAACCCTGAAATATAGGTTCCTTTTAGTAAGTGAGAGGTCCACCTTGAATTACAGTGATACACAGTAAAGTGTTGTTTTCAAGCTGTGGGCCAAGATTGGGTTTTGGAATCTGTTTATTAGGTTGTGACCTTGAGATCATTCTATATGGAAAAGAAATACAGTAATAGAATAAAAAGTATTTGTGCATTTCATCAAAGAAAGGCAATCTTTTTTTCAATACTTGCACATTTGTATATGTATGATACATATCTTTTTAAGAGTTGGGGTCTCACTCTGTCTGCCAGGCTGGAGTGCAGTGGTGCCATTGTTCACTGCAGCCTCCAACTCCTGGGCTCAAGCCATTCTCCCACCCCAGCCTCCCAAGTTGCTGGGATTACACGCATGAGTTACTGTACCTGGCTTTTATATGTTTGTTCTGAGTCATGATCCTAGTGTTGTGGGAGAGACAAACAAAAAGAGGTTGGAGTAGATTTTTATTAATAATAACAGAATTATTCTGTTCACTCTTTCCAGGGAATATAGATCTCTGTTTTTCATGGTCCACTTATTTTTAGTGTACTGAGATGGTCTAATACACAAGTAATACTCACATGGTGATTGAGATAATTGAGAAAATCATGGGGCTGATATTAGTCAAAAGTTCCTTTTGCATATACTGTCCAAAAAATCAAGGCCCAAGATTTCATATTGATTCAAATGATCTGAATAGTTGCCTTCACTCTTTATTTCATATTGCATATGCAGACCCAGTATTGAAAAGTCTTCATAGAAAATATTGACAATACCCTTCTGTTAGGACAGTCTTAGCATAAGAAATATGTACAATGAATATCTTGGACCATGGAGTATTTGTGTAGTTTATCACATTTGGAATTTTCTGCCCCTTGGAGTTTGTTTAATCGTAAGTCAAATTTATTTATTTACTTACTTAGAGTCTCGCTCTGTCGCCCAGGCTGGAGTGCAGTGACGCAATCTTGGCTCACTGCAACCTCCACGTCCCAGGTTCAAACAATTTTCCTGCCTCAGCCACCTGAGTAGCTAGGATTACAAGAGTGCAACACCACACCCAGCTAATTTTTTTGTATTTTTAGTAGAGATAGCGTTTTGCTATATTGGCCAGGCTGGTCTCAAACTCCTGGCCTCAAGTGATCTGCCCGCCTCAGCCTCCCAAGATGCTGAGATTAAGGGCATGAGCCACTGCACCTGGCCCAAATTTACTTAAAACCAAACTTTTTCTTGTCCCATCTCACTTGCTTACCCAGTGTTACCTGCTCATCCTGTTCCTGTGACACTGACATCAGGAAAGCCACTAGCTCTGTGATTTACAGTTGCCTTTTGAGTATTGGCTGAAGAGAAATTTTACCTCTAAATGTAAAGCTTTTTAATTAAATGGAAAATGAGCTTCACTTACTTTATATAATTAAGATGCAGTCAGAGCTGGGTGCAGTGGCTCACGCCTGTAATCCCAGCATTTTGGGAGGCTGAGGCATGTAGATCACCTGAAGTCAGGAATTCAAGACCAGCCTGGCCAACACAGTGAAACCTCATCTCTACTAAAAATACAAAAAATTAGCCAGGCGTGGTGGCGCACGCCTGTAGTCCCAGCTACTTGGGAGGCTGAGGCATGAGAATTGCTTGAACCCAGGAGGTAGAGTTTGCAGTGAGCTGAGATTGTACCACTGCACTCCAGCCTGGGTGATGGAGCAAGACTCTGTCTAAAAAAAAAACAAAAAACAAAAAACAGATGCAGTCAGCACTTATTTCACGTACCTGTTTAGACTGTGCTTAGTTGCCAATGATTGATAGGCATTAGTTGGGTCTGAATGGACCTATGGAGCCATGGAGCTTTTATTTAACAATTCTTTATCTGATGTCTGGGAAGCAGAGGAGAACAGAGTCACAGAGCCGTTTAAAGGCATAATGTTGTCTTATTTTTATCACTAAGTTGATTGCAAGGTTTTTGTCTTTTTGGAGGCTATACAACATAGTGACTGGAATAAAAACTTCAGTTGCACCCCTATAGCTTGCTCTCCAAGGTCTAAGTGACTGTGGGCAAGTCATTTCGTCTTCCAAAACCTGTTTGCTTATCTATAAAGGAGGAAAATGTGGGTACAGAACTCACCTTGAAGAATTATGCAAAAAATAAGTGAAGTATGTGTAAAACCATTATTGGAAACTGGTAACTGCTATTCAAATATAAAAATGAATGGTGATAGAATACTGGAAAATTTCTGAGAATAGGATCTGTATCTAGTTTATCTTTGGACCCATAAAAATATAGCTAACATGCTTTGTAGCAGTTCATTAAATTCTGGAAGTTAGTTTGCCTGTGGATGACTGAAAGCTGTTAGTTTTATTTCCCTTTTTGATATTTAGATGTGAATATGGAGAGGATGGAGATAGATGTCCAACCTCTTAGACCAAGTTCTTGACACAGAATATGGGACTCATCACGGTTAATAGTAATGTATTGTATATTTCAAAATTGCTAAAAGAATAGTTTTTTTTGGTTTCATTTTGTTTTTTGTTTTGTTTTGTTTTGTTTGAGACAGAGTCTTGCTCTGTCATCCAGGCTGGAGTACGGTAGTGTGATCTCGGCTCACTGCAACCTCCACCTCCCAGGTTCCCGCCATTCTCCTGTCTCAGCTTCCCGAGTCGCTGGGATTGCAGGTGCACACCACCACACTGGCTACTTTTTTTATTTTTAATTTAGTAGAGATGGGGTTTTGCCATGTTGGCCAGGCTGGTGTTGAACACCTGACCTCAAGTGATCTTCCTGCCTCAGCCTCCCAAAGTGCTGGGGTTACAGGCATGAGCCACCGCGCCTGGCCAAGAATAGATTTTTAACATTCTTACTACAAAAAAAAGGCAAGTTGGTGAGGTGATGAATTTGTTAATTTGCCTTATTTAATCTTTCTACAGTGTATACATAGATCTAAAATGACATTGTACCCCATAAATAGACACAATGATTGTCAGTTTAAAAATAGGAAAATTCTGCTCCATCATAGATTTAGCACTTTGAGCAATTATGTTTCTAGTGAGTCCAGGTATCCCTGAGTAGGGTGGTATGGTTTTAGGGTGAGGGTGCCCCTTGATGCACTTCACCTTCTCCTCTTTTATGAATACAATGACTATTCATTTCAAAATTCCTGTCTCAGATGGTATCCTGAGGAGCCTTGGATGATGTCAGCAGTGTGGCTTCCTTTCAGAGAGTCTGGTTGGCATCAAAATGCACCAAGATTGCACTATTCTAGGAATGGCTTTAAAACACCAGCTCTGTTTACCATTTGATGATATATTTGTATTACTTAAAGCACCAGCTATGTTTACTATTTGATTATATGCTTTAACCATTTATGTTTGGTTTCTATTTATTGTTCAGTAAAGGAAAAGCTAGTAGTACCAACATTTTGTAGAAGGCTGGGCATAGTGGCTCACTCCTGTAATCCCAGCATTTTGGGAGGCCAAGGTAGGAGGATCTCTTGAGCCCAAGAGTGTGAGACCAGTCTAGGCTTCATAGCGAGACCCTGTCTCTATTTAAAAAATGAAAAAATTAGTCGGGCATGGTGACGCTTGCCTGTTGTCCCAGCTAGTCAGGAGGCTGAAGGGGGAAGATCAGTTGAGCCTGGGAGGATCATTTGAACCCTGGAGGTTGAGGCTGCAGTGAGCAGTGATTATACCATTACACTCCAGCCTGGATGACAGAAGGAGACCCTGTCTTAAAAAAAAAAAAGAAAAAATTGTAGATGAGAGATAGTTTGGCAGTCCTCATGAGAACCCCCCATAGTGGGCGGAACACCTTGTGTAAACTTGGTATTGTTTCTAGGGTTTAAAAAATATTAATAATTATTATACTAATTCTCAGATTATATTATATTAATTTCTCAGATGTGCAGTTCTCAAATCTGAGAAATAGCTCATAGGAAGAGTTCTAAGCTGTGAGGTTGAGTCCATTTTCTGATTCATTTGGGGGCAGAAATTCCTATCTGGGAAGTTAGAATGATCATTTGTGTAAGATCTTATTTATCGTCTCAAGCTTCAAAGCAGGATTATAAGCACTTGGTTTTCAATGCATGAAAATGCCCTTGGTTAGAAATAAACAAAAAGTATGGGAATCTTAACTTTACTGAAAAGATAGGGCAAGTAGCTTGGAACCTCCCTATTTGGAAAGCTTACCATAGAGATCTAGCACAATTAAGCAAAAAGTTAGTTTCCATGAGGATTACCAAGAATTATAGTGCAGTAAGCCACAGCAGACAGCTAGCTGCTGAAATCTATAAAAACTTATTTAGAGACGAGCTTACTCATCATTAGCCTTCACTTTTGGAGCTAGAGTTTTTATTAGTTAATTTCATTAGTAAAGGAATACTCCTACAAACTGGGGAAGTCTCAGGTGCTCAGATTCTTCATCTATAAAATGAGGATGTTGGAAATAAATGACTTTTGAAAAATCTTCCAAAAAACCCCACAGTGTCTAGATTTTGGTGCTGTTTTACCCCCATCCCAAACTTGTTTCTTCTTCCTTGATTTCCTGTCAGCTCTGATTGCTGTAGATCCTGGATGATGACAAATTGGTGTCTCAGAGTAAGGAGCAAACAAGACAGGAGCCTCAAGCAGGCTGTCCGTTGATTTGTTGTTTGGGTTTTTGGTCTATTTGCAGCTTCTCAGGTCCTAGCCAATACAAATAGGTGAGGTTCTTATATAATTTTACACTGGCAAATTAGAACAAAACAAAACAGTGGAGGGAAGCGGGAGATGGACATTGAGTATAGGTTGGACAATAACGATAGAAAAGTGGTTTGGATTCTTTATAATTATGGTCTGACATGGTTCCAGTAAAGGTGTCTTTGGTTAAATTAGGTAATACGTGGTGTATATATATACACACAAACTATAGACACATGAACATAGCAGCTGCTAAATTTAATGCCCCAGCGTTGCTTCATACTACATGTAGATTTTAATGAGTCAGCACAGCCTGCTAAACCAAGCTTCTGGCACCGAGAGCCTTTTTAAAACTCATCTAAACACTATTATTGATCATTCACAAGTGGTGGTTAAATTTTTTTTTAAATAGCAGAATCTTTGTTACCCAAATTAAAAGTTACACAGAACCACAGTATATAAAATAGTTAAAAGCCAAACACTGCCTTGTTCCTGGGCTCCCTGGGGCCTCCAGGGGACTTTGAGAACTTTGGTTACATTGTTTGAAAAATTCTGACTAAAATGTATATACTTAATATACGTATACATATATACATATATATATATATATATATATTTTTTTTTTTTTTTTTTGAGACAGAGTCTTACTGTGTCGCCCAGGCTGGAGTACAGTGGCATGATCTTGGCTCACTCCCGGGTTCAAGTGATTCTCCTGCGTCAGCCTCCTAAGTAGCTGGGATTACAGGCACGCGCCAACGTGCCCAGCTAATTTTTGTATTTTTAGTAGAGACGGGGTTTTACCATGTTGGTCAGGCTGGTCTCAAACTCCTGACCTCGTGATCTGCTGGCCTTGGCCTCCCAAAGTGCTGGGATTATAGGTGTGAGCTACTGTGCCCGGCCTGAAAATTTTTTTAGTTATTGTTACAAAAAGGCAAAGTGTACCAAATAACAAAATTGCAAAACACCATTCAGGTATTATGGTGGTGATCTGATTGTGTTTTTATTTTAGTAGGAAGCAGTTCTATACATTGAAAATCATTTGTGTTTAATGTTGAGTGGTGTAGAAAATGTTCATAATATAAAGACTAATGTAGGATGAGAGCTAAATTTCAGGAAGGTTCAGTGAGTATAAATTCACTGAAAAAAGTATTTAAAAGTATTATAAAGACAAAGATGAGTTTTACTAAAAAGCTTATATGGATGAAATTAAGTAGAATAAAGATGAAACTTTGTGACCTGGTGAATTTCAAATAAGTATATTAAAACTACAGTATATGCTTGATTATAAGGCAACTCTCAAATGAGGTGATGTCCCACATTCTCAAGAAGAATAACAAATAAGTTCTGAATGTATAAACTTCTTGGGATATAGGTGAAATAATTGAAAGTATGTTAATATTTAGTTACACATATAAAATATGAGATAAATTTTAGAAAACCTTCATTTTCCCACTCCAAGTTTTCAAGAAACAGTTTTTTTTTGTTGTTGTTGGTTTGTTTTGTTTTGAGACGGTGTCTCACTCTGTTGCCCAGGCTCGAGTTCACTGATGTGATCATGGCTCACTGCAGCCTCGAACTCCTGGGCTCAACCAATCCTCCTGCCTCAGCCAATCCTCCTGCCTCAGCTTCCTGAGTAACTGGAACTACAGGCATGCACCACCACACCTGGCTAATTAAAAACAAGTTTTTAGGAGGGATGAGGTATCACCATGTTGCCTAGGCTGGTCCTGAATTCCTGGGCTCAAGTCATCCTCCTGCGTTGGCCTCCTAAAGTTCTGGGATTACAGGAGTGAGCCACTGCTTCCGGCCAAGTGAAGCAGTTTTATTTAAATCCTACATGTGCTTCAACATTACTTCATCACCAGAACCACTTTTTGGCTCCTTCTATAGTTTGAGTATGTCATCTTTATTTCTAAGTCTGTATGATATCAATTTTGCATTAGCACCTCGACTTTGATGTTTTTACATTCTAAATTATCTACATGATGTAAAAAATAATTACTTGGAAAGAAAAAGCTTAAGTACATTGGCTTTAAAATATATATAACTGGGAGATTGATGGATTCATGGATGTTGTGGGTTGTTTTTTTTTTTTTTTTTTTTTTTACTCTGTCATCCAGGCTGGAGTGCAGTGTCGCGATCTCGGCTCACTGCAACCTCCGCCTCCAGGGTTCAAGCGATTCTCTTGCCTCAGCCTCCCGAGTAGCTGGCACTACAGGCACGTGCCACCGCACCTGGTTAATTTTTTGTCTTTTTTTTTGGTAGAGATGGGGTTTTTTGGCCATGTGACTTACGTTGCATGGGAGTGTATGTCCTGCTTTACAGGTATTGGCCTTGGCCTATAACTCGTTCGGCGGAAGAACATAAATGAATGTGATGCAAGCATATACTTAAATGGGATGCCTTAAATGTAATTGGGATTTTGTGCTAATGTGAGTATCATGAGAAACTATGCCCCAGCTACCTGCTACCTCTTCAGCCTGGACACCAGAATGACGTAGGTGGTGTAGCAGACCTGATTCTTAGCCTTAGCAGGCAGGCTGAAGATCTCTAGGATACATCACACAGCAACTACCTGTTGGTCTATCAGATCTAATTTGACCACTACAACTCACAAATCTAATAATAATCTTGCATTTTTTTGTCTGAATTAGCAGAACCAGAAGTTACACTTAAGATAGGTTAGGTAATTTCTAAATTAAAAATAACTCTGGGCCAAGCGCAGTGGCTCACGCCTGTAATCCCAGCACTTTGGGAGGCCGAGGCGGATGGATCACCTGCGGTCGGAGTCCAGAACCAGCCTGGCCGACATGATGGAATGAAACCCCGTCTCTACTAAAACTACAAAAACTAGCAGGGCGGAGTGGCAGGTGCCTGTAATCCTAGATACTTGGGAGGCTGAGACAGGAGAATTGCTTGAACCTGGGAGGCGGAGGTTGCAGGGAGCCGAGATCATGTCATTGCACTCCAGCCTGGGCGACAGAGCAAGACTCTGTCTAAAAAAAAAAAAAAAAAAAAAAAAAAAAGTGAAAATCAGCCTCAAAACAAACAAACAAAACAAAAAAAACTTTGGGGATAATGCCCATCTACCAAGGGCTATGCAGTAACTTGGGATTCTTGGCAGTAGGCATTTTCAAGAATACAGTATACATGGAAACCAGATGCATGCAGTAAAAAATGTATCACCAGCCTTGAGTGCACTGTTCATTTTTCCAGTGAGACCTTCAAAGGGTCTGTGAAATGAAGCCTGGTGTTTTCCTCTTCAAGGACTCATTTTTGAGTACACTAAGAACAAAATTTTGGCCTCTCTGTTAGGCATAATTTCAGAGTCTCTCTCTACACATTCATTGGATTTTGCAAGATATGTCTGTATATATACACAAGTGGCTCCCATCTTAGTCTGCAGATTTGAAGCATATGTATGTGCTTGTGCATAGTCATTCTGCCTCTGCGCATGTTTCACTAAATTTATTGCATGGACTCTTTTATGGCTCTCTAAAGGAAAGTAAACACTTAACTGAACAAAAAGTTCAGCTTTACATTTTAAAAAATTTCTTCTAAGCAGAAGAGTTTGAGATAAAACATGTCTAGTGACGCCTCCATTTATCTACTGCTTACCTAGTTTACTCGCCAAAATAGATCATTTAATTGAAACTATCCAGTTTGTGTGATGTCTTCCTAAAATACACTTAACTGATTGAAGTTTGACCCACCCGTTCATTATTATCCATTTTCATTCAAATAATTAACTTGATTATGACTTCGATATAGCACTTTCAACAGCCAAAAAACAACGTTTTGGCCTTTTTAGTACTTTTCTACCCTGGTATTTCACGTGAGACTCACGTGGGGAGCTTTAAAAAATAGTGCTGCCCAGGCTTTTCCCCCAAGATTCTGATTTAATTTGTTTGGGGTGGAGCCCAGGCACTGGTAGTTTTTTAAAGCCTCCCAGGTGAGT
This sequence comes from Homo sapiens, assembly GCF_000001405.40. Taxonomy (NCBI): domain Eukaryota; kingdom Metazoa; phylum Chordata; class Mammalia; order Primates; family Hominidae; genus Homo; species Homo sapiens. The sequence goes on from NC_000002.12 coordinate 152,481,594, forward strand.
CTAACTTGTAGTCAGAATTGACAGCCACAGCTACAGCTACAGCTACAGCGTTTTTGTAAACTTTATTATTGAAACTAAGCAATTCAGGTTGAAATTTGTTTTACGTGTAGGATTGTCGTGATAGGTCCTCTCCAGTGTTCAGATCAACCTGATAATGTCAGATCTTCTAGGAAATTGGTGTCATGTTTGCAGCGTTATTTATCTCCTATTTTCAACGTACTTTGGGGCCATTCTTGGAAGGCTGATCGGGAAAATTAGTTGCATAAATAAAACCTTAATGCTAGCCTGGGGATAACTACCTTCCTTTATGACTCCAGCTATTTAGGTAGTACTCAAAGTTGCCTCTTAAATCACACTGCCTCAGTCAACTTTATGGAAATGGATTTAAATAGTGGTGAACTTTCCTCCGTCATGGAGAGGAGCCCAGTGGATTTGCTCTGGTGACCTCAGTCACACTCAGCACAGTAGAGCCTTGTTAGGGACCCAGGAGGCAGCAGTCTTACCTTTCTCTGCCAGATGACTATGTAAATAGTCAATGACAGGTCGCTATAAAAGTTTCAAATTCCTAAATGAAAACCAAGTTTTCCAAGGAAGAAATACAAAGCCTTAGCATGTGTACTTAAATTAAAAAATACTTAAGTCTACTGGAACTGTGTATTTTTTTCTACCACATGAATCTTTTTTAGAAGAGGGGATTTTCTTTCTCCCCTAGCCAGTAAATATTTATCTTTTGGATATATAGACCAGCTGCATATACTGCATGGATTCCTTTCCATTCATATGTGAAATAGCACATTTTTTTCCACTAGCCAGCAAGACTCATACTAGTATATTACTCATAATAGGATGCATTGAGTCTTTTTGATTCATTCTTGCTCTTCTAGGATCCTCATCAGCTTCCATGGAAGTTTACGATCAGTTTCTTAAGACTGGCTGCGATGGGTTTTGCGTGTGAGGCAGTGTGCTTAAGGTTCTAGACTCAAACTTTTTGGATTTGAATTCTGGCTTTTCCACTTAATAACTGAAGGACTTAGTTTTTAAAAGACTTCTCTAAACCATATTTTCTCCATCTACAAAATGGGAATAATCATTGCTACCTATCTCATAGGGCAGTAGTGAGACTCAAATGAGGTCTTTCAAGCCTTTGAAACAGTTTCTGGCATTCTGTAAATGTTAGCTGCTGCTGCTACCTACCCTTCTAATTACTGGTGTAACTGCCTGATACTGTCCCCGGTATTACTCTTTGACATAATTATAAAACATCAAGTAAACACAGGTTACTGGTGAATTAAGAAAAAGGATCAACTTTTTTTTCCTAGGCCTCTTGTAGGCAGTCTCTCCTGGGGTCTTCTGTTTCATGAGTCAGAGGCTTATCTCTCTGTGATTACAGGCTCACTGGGGGCAGGCACCTATTTTATTTTACCTAGATAAATAAATAAATCCAATCCCTTCCCATGTAAAATTTTTGTGTATCAGCTGTATTGAATACTTGTGTCTATTAATATGAATCTTATGAATAGTCTTATTGCTGTAAGAATTCCATAAAGACTGGACATTGTTTTTCATGGTATTTTGACTCTTTAAAAAAACACACACGCAAACAGAAACATGGTGGAGTGGCTGAAAATTGGAAGCTTAAATTTCCAAGTTCATGTCTGTGTCACTGTAGACCCTGACTGGAAAGTCATCATTTCCTTGAACCTAGAGGAATGTGCTGAAACAGTAGTAGGTGTTGGTTAAAATTAGAACCAACTATTTCCATAACCAGAATTACAGACACATTAAAAAAAAAAATAAAGTGACAGAAATCTACTAGTTTTTCCTTGTGTATTCAAGAGGTTTTTGACCCAGTTCAGCTAACTACAATTGGATTCTGTCCCTGGACTTGGCACATAACAATGCATGGTAGACTTTCTAGACCTGGCGATGGAAACTCGGAACTCTTCCCAGGTATGAGCCCTTAAAAAAATGTCATCAGGATCTGAACAGCAAATGACAGTGACTTCTCATGTTGTCTCCTTTGTGCCCTCCTTCCCTGATGCTAAGCCCCAGGAAAAGATTCCATGTTGACATTATTTGTGTTTAATAGCTCATTACTGTGTCCACGCTCTCCAGCTTTCCTTTACTAGCAGTGAGCCTGCCAAGGCGCCAGCACTGCAACTACACATGTTTCTAGACTACTGTATGAATTGCTCATCTCTTGAAGCTATTTATTTGTAGCTAATAGCTAGCATTTGTTACCTCTTGAGAACCAGAGAAATGCACACACAGTTTCCATGGAGAGGGGGAAAAAAACCCAAACAACCTATGATCCAGGATCCTGTTTTTGTCTAAGGAATGCAGTTTGCTTGAGCAAGACTCTTAAGATGTATTTGTATAGGGTGCAGATGTTAGTCATTAGTGCTTAATGTATGCTGAGATGGGACCAGCTAATGGACCCTCTACACTGGTCAGTGGTGTTGAATCAAGCTATTGCTGGAAGGTCCTGAGGAAGTAGTTTCCAACGGTAATGGCCCTGATCCCTTTGCATATCGTTTCTTTTGGCCTTTCCTCCCTCCCATGCTGAATTATAACAGAGTCACTGGTGTGCAATTCCAGAATGTCTCAGTTTTTTCATCAGATACCTAACATTTACAAAATTACTTTAAATATTTGCCTCAGTCCAAGGTCTTGGGACTCAGCACCTTTTTTCTTGCTTACATAATTTAAAAAGTCTATGGTGCCATTTTCTCAATGAACAGGACTAGTTTAAAAGAGAGATATTGGGCCAAGTGCAATAGCTTTGCCTGTAATTCCAGCACTTTGGGAGGCTGAGGTAGGAGGATCACTTGAGGCCATGAGTTTGAGAGCAGCCTGGCCAATACAGCAAGACTGTGTCTCTTGAAAAAAAAAAAATAGCTGGAAGTGGTGGTGCCTACCCAAAGTTCTAGCTACACAGGAGGCTGAGGCAGAAGTATTCAGTTGAGCCCAGGAGTTTGAGACCATCCTGGGCAGCATGAGACCTCATCTCTATAAAAAACTTAAAAAATTAGCCGAGCATGGTGGGTAGTCCCAGCTACTCAGGAGGCTGAGATGGGAGGATCACTTGAACCCAGGAGTTTGAGATTACAGTGAGCCATGATGGTGCCCCTGCACTCCAGCCTGGGTGACAGAGTGAGACCCTGTCTCTAAAACATAAAATGAAAAGAGAGCTATCAATGGCTTTAGGATTTGGGCTGTAAACAGTGATACAGAAGAGATGAACTTTGCGAAAGAATAAAAGATGCTCTTAGGGATTGGGGAGTGTCTGGTGCATTAATGGTTCCTGTCTTGGGAAAAAGCTGTGTGTAGCAATGTTCTTGGGTGTTCACAGTAGCTCTTGTATATGAGACGTGGTCATTTTCAAGGTTGTTCACCAGTGGTAGAAGAATAGATGGCATTTGATGCTTGTTATTTTATACTTTTAACTTTTAAAATTATTCTGTAATTTAAAAATATTCTGGGGCTGGGCATGGTGGCTCCCAGCACTTTGGGAGTCCAAGGTGGGAGGATTGCATGAGCTTAGAAGTTTGAGATCATTCTGGGCAACACAGTGAGACCTGATGTCTACAAAATAATGTTAAAAATTAGCCATGCATGGCCGGGCACGGTGGCTCACGCCTGTAATCCCAGCACTTTGGGAGGCCAAGGCGGGCAGATCACGAGGTCAAGAGATCAAGACCATCCTGGCCAACATGATGAAACCCCGTCTCTACTAAAAATACAAAAATTAGCCAGGCATGGTGGTGTGCACCTGTAGTCCCAGCTACTTGGAAGGCTGAGGCAGGAGAATCGCTTGAACCTGGTGGTGCACACCTGTGGTCCCAGCTACTCGGGAGGCTGAAGTGGGAGGATCGCTTGAGCCCAGGAGGTTGAGCCGTGATTGTGCCACTGCACTCCAGCCTGGGGGACAGAGTAAGACTCTCTGCCTGTCATAGATAGATAGATAGATATAGTTTTCAACCTCTAACTGGTTTTGTGTGTGTGTGTGTTGACAATTTATCTGATGGTTCTTTGAAAACTGAAAATGTGTCCTTCATTCCAACATTATACATTTAAAAAATCGAATGTTTTAACATAAATATGGGAGGAGTACTCCATGAAGGTGAAAGCCAGTGATTCTCCTTGAAGAAGGGTATTGTTCTGTGCTAGCGGCATCTCCATTTCGCCTAGCAATTGTAGCAGAATAGAGACTGCATCCCCTCTCATTCTACAGGTAAAGAATAGTTTGAAGAGAAAGCTTAGTGATTTCACTGCCAAAAGAAAGCTTTTAACAAAATTGCTTATTAAACCACACCTCAGGCTGTGCAGGGACATGGGAGGAGCGTGCAATTTCTGAAAAAGAATATTTAGAGGAGGATTTTATTGTATAATTGGCAAACTTCTCATCTCCGAGAATAATTGCTTGATTTCATGGAAAGGACCAGAACTTGGGTATCTTGAGGCCTAAGATAAATAGATAGCAACGGATCATGCTAGTCCCCATGGTTACTGGGAACTGAGCTCAAGTGGATTGTTATCCTGAACAAGTCTGTGTCAGGATATTCTTGTCACCTTTCAGCTCTTTGGTATTTGCTCTCTTTCTTGAATCAGCAAAAGAAATCGCTGTAAAGTTAATGTAATTTACGGGAAGTTCCCGTGCCACACTGCATGCTTTTGTGTGTCACAAGACTTAAGCTTCCTGCTACCCTCTGTTAAAGGAGAACTTTTTATGTTCCTAACAATATACGATTCTTTCAGGAGCTATTTACATAGCTGGGTTGGTTAATAGACAACTGGGGACTGGGCTATAAGCATTTTGACCTGGAAATATTTCTTTGGGGTTATGTGAACTACTGTACAATAAAACCTCAATTAACTAGGATTACTTGGAGAAAAGACAGTTTCTGGTTGAATTTTCTTTTAAATGGAAGGTTAAACACTTTCCTTTTCTCAACCCTTCTTATTCACTTTCTTCCTTTGGCTTTTGGAATTCAGATGTTAAGATCTTGAAAATAAGTTAATGTTTCATTGAGTTAGTCCGTAACAGTGCTTTGGAACATCCTTGAGTTATGAAGCTTGTTATTCAGGCTTTACTTTCTTCAGAGGATTAAGAGGCTTGAACGTGGCTGCTAAGTTCTCTAAGTTGTTTTCTGGGGGGAAGAATAAATTTTTCTGTGTAATTTTGTTTTCTTGTATCTTTATCAGATTCAGAATAAAAAAGCTATCGTAACATGCCCTGCATCAGTAGGCCTTGTTAGTTACGTAATCCTACTATTTGAGGGTTTAGGAATATTCTAGCAAAATATAACAGAAATGAGCCGTTAGTAAATTGCTTAACTTAAAATATTTAGTTTTCTTCTGTGTGTGTTAAAGTCAAGTTATATTAATTTAATAGGCAGTTGGGTTGGCTCTTTTGCATAATCCAGACAATATATGGATCCCACAAATATTTATTGAGTATATACTCTGTGTTCTTCATATACCATGTTAGGCAGTTTTGTAATATCAGTAATGAGACCAGCATAAGTGTATTAACCTCTGATAACCTTCACATAAATCTTATATTCTACAGCAATGAAAACTTGTCCCTAAGGGACTTTGTGGTCACAGCAGTTCTGATTTCCTTGTTTGAAATTTTTGTAAACTTTCCAACTTCTTTGTTTTGCACTCAGTACTTAAAAATAAATTTAATGCCAGAAGTAAAAGTACTATTATTTTCATCAATCATAAGTTATAGATAACAAAAACTCAGAAATTTTTCTTGAACATAGGTAGGGAACTTAGGTGAAAGGACTGCTTTAATTCCATCTAAAAGATAAAACCTAATACTGACTTACAAATATGTTGCTAAGAGTTTAGTGTCTCCAAGTAAAGGTAGAAATTTTACATTATCTATCAATGATATCGGCGAAAACTAAAATTATTAGGAAGTAAGCTAAGAATAATTTATAGTCTAGATTTTTAACTTAAAAGTGGAACCAATTTCCAATGGTTTCTTCCCTTAGTTCTTGAGTTAGCCATACTGTGACCATTAAAAAACATCTTTAAAATGTATGTGAAAAAACCTGAAGAAAATGTGGCAAAGGGTAAGATTTGATAAGAAATGGGTCTAGGTTTATAGGGAATGCATTATAGTCTTTATAGTTATGTGTGTTTGAAATATAATAAAACACTTTTAGATGAATTCTTTCTTTTTTTTTTTTTTCCTTTTTGAGACACAGTCTCACTCTGTTGCCCAGGCTGGAGTGCAGTGGTGTGATCTTGGCTCACTGCAACCTCCATCTCCTGGGTTCAAGTGATGCATGTGCCTCAGCCTCTGGAGTAGCTGGGATTACAGGCGCACACCACCACACCAGCTAATTTTTGTATTTTTAGTAGGAGACGGGGTTTCACCATGGCTGGTGTTGAACTCCTGACCTCAAGTGATACGCCCACCTCGGCCTCTCAAAGTGCTGGGATTACAGGTGTGAGCCACAACGCCTGGCTAGATGAATTATTTCCTTTAGAAATTATTTTCTGTGTATCTGCAAAAGTGTTTCATTTTAGTACTGTGAAATGAATAGGCCCTATGCTGGGTCCTGTTGGGGTTTGTGATTTATAGATGGTAAAATACATTTCACACTTACAAGATGAAGCAATCTACCTCTATATAAAGAGCTTGCCTGTGGGTGGTTGTAGCAAGTGTCTTCTTATTATTTCACAATTGAGGGCAAGAGAGAGGTCAGACCATTGGTGAAACCCTTAGTGCAAGCAAGTCCGCAAATAAGCTTTTTAGCTACTTAAGCCTAGGTGTTTTATTGGCATTGAAGGCCAAGACACACGAGCAATACTTGCACAATCAAAAGTTCTATTTTTCCAAGACATGCTGGTCACACAAGAAAAACTGAGATAACATATAATTTATTTTTCCAAGACATGCTGATCACAAAAGAAAAACTGAGATAACGTATAATTTAGTTACTGTGTATCCACTTTGGATCCAGATTGCATATCTATATCTGTCTGTAAACAGACATATGCACACATATATATACCTGTGTGTATGTATATATGCACACACACACATATATATTTAAAATCACAGTACTTAATTAATTTGCCTCCAAAACTAATGGCCACATTAATGCCTTTGAGCTAAGTTAGACTGGCTGGAATCAGTTGGCAAGATCCTGGTAAATGGTTTTGGTGTCAACTAGGACACAAGCCAGGTGTGGTGGCTCATGCCTATAATCCTTGCACTTTGGGAGGCTGAGGCGGGAGGATCACTTGAGGCTAGGAGTTTGAGACCAGTCTGTGCAACATAGACTCCATCTACAAAAAATAAAAAATTAGCCAGGTGTGGTAGCATGTGCCTACAGTCCTAGCTATTTGGGAGGCTGAGGCAGGAGGATACCTTGAGCCCAGGAGGTTGAGGCTGCAGTGAGCCACGATGGTACCACTGCACTCCAGCCTGAGCAACAGCGAGACCCTGTCCAGCAGGGTAGAGTGCAAAGGATGCCTGTGGAATGGGAGAATCTGTTCAGCATCCATCCTCCTGCTTCCAGGCTAAACCCATGAGAAGAGTGCTGTCAACAAAAGAAGTGTTCCCTACAGTGGGGAAGAATTGAGGTTAGCAGAAAGGGTAAAACAAGAACAAAGTAATTCCTAGCCATCCGAAGAGGTGGAATGGGAAAGGCAACACCTATAACAGGAAGGAAATACTCCATCTGGGGCTGAGCCTGTCTTATTCTGAGGCCCAAGCTTGGCTGCCTTTCTCTTCATTCCCTCTGTGTGCCACTTAACAGTATGCATTTCAACTTTCTTTTCAGGGAGGGGCCAGATGTAGAAATGCCTCACACTACAGTGGAGGAGACCTCACCAGCTACCTGTACCAGTAAGATGGGATTAGCTCAGGAAACGTTGTTGTTTGTTTGAGGGACAAGAATAACATGAAAGAAGGAGCAAGATTAACAGAACAGCTGACCTAGAGCTGCTAGGCACTGGATGGTCCTCTGTGCTTATATACACAATGTAATACTTGTAAGGAAAAAGCAAAAGGCTTGGAGGAGGCTGTGGACTACCTATAGTTGACAGTATTTTCCTTTGTGGGGGTGGTGGATGTGGGACGTAGAATGTAAACTTCCTACCTTATACATTGATGTTACTTCATTGATTATAGTGAACACTTTATAGACTGAAACAAGTCTAAGAAAAATTCATCTTGAGCTGAGGAGATAGAGATGACCTGCCAAAGATTTCACATCCACAAAGTTTGTATGACTGATAGTTTTAATAAAAAAAATTTGTCAGCCAAAACATACTGAGAGTTTCTTAGTCGTATTAACTGATCTGAAACTGTTGCCACTAGGGGATATAAAAGATACTACCTGTATTTTAGTGATAAACCACAAAGAATAAAATGAGTTTTTAATTAGCATCATGCAGCCACTTAAGTATTAGCAAAGAAAATTTGTAGCTGATCTTTCAGTTCTCTGTAATATAGAAAAACAGATGCTGCATCTCTAGTTTTGCCTGTGCCTGGGGGATATTTAAAACTTGTACTAAAATGTTAATTTCGCCATGGTAGAGGTGACGGGGAAACTTGCAAAAAAAGGGGAAAGAGGAGGGAATTGGGTGCATAGAAGTGAGCATGAGGCCAGCAGTAGGGAATGAGTTTACAATAAATAAGGTGTGAGAGTGGTTGGGGGGAGTGGGAGAGGTTTGGGGGCTGGGAAGACAAGGGAAAAGAAAATGCAGGGATATGCTATTTGTGTTCATTTTGTCTTTGAAAATCGTAAGTGTACAGCATCATTCTCGGGCAGAGTCTGGGAGGACTTGAGTTGACTGCTACAGTTTATGATCTTCCCTAAACATCGACGTTCCTGGAAATCTTTGGCCTCTGAGCTGACTTCTTCTCTGTTGCTTGTGAGCCAGGAATTTAACAGCTCTGTTGTATGTGCAGGCTGCAGATGCTTCTCTTCAGCTTTTGCTATCCAATGTGTGTGTGTGTGTGTGTGTGTGTGTGTGTGTGTGTGTGTGTGTGTTGGATAAACTTAAAAAACCTGTTGCTTCCATGCAACGGCCCACACAACTTGGGACTCATGGTCAGCCTCACCTTCCACATTGGCTAAAACTCTACAGGAAACAGTTTATGGAGTTTAAGGAAAAAAAAAAAAAAGGAAAATTATCAGACTCCAAGCAAGTTATTTATGGACCAGTGTGTGAACAGAACATCTGATTGAAAAAAGAAAAAATTACAGATGGGTGGGGATGGAAAGGCAAATGTGTTGTGTAGCTGGCCAAGTAATATCTGGTTGTGTCAAAAAACGGGAAAAAACATCATCTTCAATGAGTTACGTTATTTGTATTCCTTCCATCTTGCCTGCCATGTGCCTTGGATAATGCTGCTGTCTATTAAGCCCTCTGTGTCCTACTCCCTCGCCAGCTTTGCTCCATTGTGCTGTTGGTGGGGACACAGCCCAGGTGGTTGGGTGATGCCTGTGCTTTCCTCCTGCCCTCTTTTGGTGTTGCTATTTGAAAATCACTTGTATAATGAATGTATCCTCTCCCCACTCCCATTGTTATGTGAAAAAAGCCAGTAAAAATGAACATCTGGCAAAGAAACTGTCCCAATTTAAGGAGGAAGTTTGCTAGATTTATGATCTTCCTTTGTAACTCAAGTATAAACTGGCCACTATCTGAGGAGTGAGGTCTTGCTACACAGTTTTCAGGGTCAGGGGGCCAGGCAGGGGTCGGGTAGGGTGAGTGGAAGCTCTGGGGTTGCCGCCTAGGCTGGAAAAACACTGTGCATCAGCTGAATGGCTGCCGGCCTGCCAGGATGCTGCTATTTTCTATCCTGATTCAGTTTTGTGAAAGGACAGTGGGTGTGAATTGTTGGCTGGGTCTCTGGATCACTAACCAGAAATAAGCTTAGCTAAATTGACCACAAGAAATTTCACTGTTTTAAATCCCACCAGCCAACTCCCCAAATTTTGCCTTTTTTGTCTCTTTCCTTGAAATTAGTTTAACATTGCATAGTGTATTTTATCTTCATAATGACTACTTAAAGATGGTTTTAAAACTGAACTATAGATCAGCCAGGGTGTGATGGCTCATGCCTTTAATCCCAGCATTTTGGGAGGCTGAGGCGAGAGGATCACTTAAGGTCAGGAGTTTGAGGCCAGCCTGGCCAACATGGTGAAACCTCATCTCTACTAAAAATACAAAAATTAGCCTGGCGTGGTGGCGTGCACCTGGAATCCCAGCTACTCGGGGGGTTGAGGCAGGAGAATCGCCTGAACTCGGGAGGCGGAGGTTGCAGTAAGCTGAGATTGTGCTACTGCACTCCAGCCTGGGCGACAGAGTGAGACTTCATCTCAACAACAACAACAACAACAAACTATATATTGTAAAATAGAGTTATACTGAGCTAAAGTATACATTTTAATCATTTATGTACTATGAAAAATAGTAAATTGCTTTTGTAAAAATAAAAAGTACTGGCATGAACACAGCATTGTTCCAGTGGAAGGAGTTTGTGGGTTTCAGAAGTTTATTACCCTCTGATTTAGATATGGTCCTGTCTGTTGAACTCACGGTCATGGTATAATGACATCTCTTCATTCCGTCCCCCACCCTCTGCCCCCAGAACAATTACCTTGCTTTATGTAATTTCTTGTTAGATCAGTCTCTATCTCCAAAAGCAACTGGAATAGATTAAATCAAGGCTCATACACAGCCTATAAAAACAGGAACTTCATTTCGGGGAAGATTTTTGTAAGATCGTTTTCTAAAATAGCATAGTATCAGAAATATTTCTGTAATGCTTTTCGGCAAGGAAATTAGTTCAATATTTTTGGCTTTGTCAACTCAGTTCTCAATAATAGCTGTACTCTGTTGTCATTACAGTTTTGGCTTTTCTCAACTGGAGAATGATTTTATATTAAGTGCTTTGTAATTATTTTTTTCTTGCATTTTTATCTAAGGCTTTGTAAGGGGGGTGTTCAAGTACAGCGTGGAACCAGATTCTTCTTTTCCTTATCTTTCATAATTTTCCATGTTTGTTTTGAATTAATTAGTTTTGATTCAAACAAAAAAACTAGCATTTTAAAAGATCTGGTGTTTCAGTATTTTGTTTTGTTTAATCACCCCTTGTTTCTTTTGACACTAAATTTTTCTCAGGAACTAAGCAGATCGGTTATCGTTCCTCTACTTTGCTTTATTGAACTCCCTAAGTGAAATTTGTTTTAACAAAGAGGCAGTGTTTATGTGTTGGTGATAAAAAGAAAATAGCCGATATATTATTACTTTTTTTTTCTTCTATGTCACCTTGTTATGTAAGGTTATTTCATTACCTTTGTAGTGTTTTTCATGGAAACCGTCAACAAGGAAGTACCTAACACTGCCCAACATGAAGCCAACCATAATTGTGGATAGAAATAGTAGACTCCTACTTCCTAGCCTTAAAGAATGTATAATTTAGTTAGCAAGTGAAATCCCAAGGGGTACATCATAAAGCAATGAATGATTCAAATTGGCACTGTAAGAATAAGTTCTAGGTGGTATGGGGCAGCCTATAAGAGCTATTGGAATTTAAAGAAGCAAGAGATTCTTATGCAATTATGGAAAATGTTCTCGAGGTAGAGGAATTTGAGAGTTCAAATTGTTTTCTCATCAAACTTCTCCTCATTTTAGATTCAGCATTTGATAGGTAGGCTTCCAGTGTAATTTCTTTTTTCCTGTTAACAAAATGAACCTCAGAATTCTGAAAAGGAAAGATACTGATTCATTCAAATCTCAAATGTCCTAACTTTATAGAAGAATGTGGTACTATGGAAGGGCACAAATCAAGGTGCTGTTAATATGAGCGGTGTTGTAGTTTGGATATTTAACCCTCTAAACCTCATGTTGAAATGTGATCCCCAATGTTGGGAGGTGGAGCCTAGTGGGAGGTGATTTGGGTGATGGGGGTGGATCCTTCATGAATGGCTTGGTGTCCTAATGAGTCTTCCTGGTGTTATCACTGGTGGTAATGAGTGAGTTCTAGCCCTATTAGTTCATGCAAAATATGTTTGTTAAAAGAGCCTGGCACCTCTGTTGCCACGTGATCTCTGCACACAGCAGTTCCTCTTCCCCTTCTGCCATAAGTGGAAGCAGCCTGAGGCTCTCACCAGGAGCAGATGCTGGCACAATGCTTTGTGTACAGCCCAGAGAACCATGAGCCAAATAAACCTTTTCTTTAGAAATTACGCAGCCTTGGGTATCCCTTTATAGCAACACAAATGGACTAAGACAAATAGTCACCTTTAATTTGGGTTTGTAGGATAGCCAGTGTTTAGGACCCTGTAATTTTGCTTTTAAAACCATGAAAGCTCATTTCAGATATTAACAAAGCATTTGGCTTACATATCTTATTTGCTTGGTGTGTACACAGGCTGGATTAAAAACAAAAGCAAATACAGTTTGGAAGAAAATAAAGCCAGCAGCATCCCCTGGTGAATCCCTTTAACCATCCACCCCAGGAATGTCTGCAGTGCTGGTTAGGGCAGAGTGGGGCAGTTCCTCTGGAAGACGGTATGATAAACGAGGGTCACCCAACTGTGAGGCCAGAGGAAGGGAGACTATCTTCAGGAAGCTGTGAGCTTTTCCTTTTGTATGGAGAGTGTTTTGTTGGACTAAAGTTGTAGAAGGCATTTGACCTCTGTTATTGTATTTAGTGTTTCAACCTCAGCATCTGACCCAAAATAACACATATCTTTTCAGTAACTTGGGACAGAGCTGACAAAAGGCAGTCAAATTCAGAAGGAGTCTCATTGTAAAAGAAGGATTATAAACTACACAAAGAGCAAAATTAGTAGGGAAACTACCACCACAATAATAATGCTGCAGTGTTTTCAGAGCTGATATGTGATTGTGTTTTTCCTGTCTTGATTGTTTTTAAGTTTGGTCTGAAAAATACGGGTATCAAATTAAAATTTCATAAACTGCTACGAGTTTCTCTCCTTCCAGAGAGAAAGGATATTCATTTGATTTGAGAATTGTCGTTTTGGTTTAATTAACAGTTGTTTGAAGGATGTTAAAAATCATCGTGGTGAATTGGTTTTTATCCTAACAATTGCATGATAATTTTAGATTACTCTTGAAATATGCCTCAAAATAAAAAGTTAGATGTAGTGGTCCTTTCTCATGTGCCTTGACTATTGTCAGAGAAAGCCCTGGGTTATCAGCCTGTTTAGAAGAAGTGACCTGGTACGCTTTTTGACTCTTGGCTCTGAAATCTTATCATCAGGAGGACCATGTGGATTTTATTCATTTGACAGATACTTACTGTGCACCTATTATGTGCCAGGCCCTGTTATGCAGAGGACAAGTAGAGTAGAAAATAGAACTACTAACACTTGCAACACACACAGTCAACTCTTTTGTTATAGCTCAGTTTAATTAACAGAAGGAAAAACTTTGCGTTGGGGAATACACATAACACCTGGAAACGCAGCGTTGGAACACCCGATTTGTCTATGATGCTTGCTTACTACTCCTATTATTCTATATATTACAAAGCCTGAATATGTAAATGGCAGTTCAATGGTCTTTTAGGAAAAAAATTTACTGGAAATATACTAACAGGAATAACACTAAGGAATTCAGGAGCTACAAGAATTCTTGGAGTTCTGTTATTTCAGGTACTTTCTTTGAAGTATTAAGTACATATTATCAGTAAGTTTTGTTGTGTTCCTATTCTACGTAGATCATATTATCAGATAGAATGTAAAGATAGATTAAGATGTTCATGCTGGGCCAAGTGTGGTGACTCATGCCTGTAATCCCAGCACTTTGGGAGGTTGAGATGGGCGGATCACTTGAGGTCAGGAGTTCGAAACCAGCCTGGCCAACATGGCAAAACACCGTCTGTAATAAAAATATAAAAATTAGCTGGGTGTGGTGGCACATTACTATAATCCCAGCTACTTGGGAGGCTGAGGCACGAAAATCCGTTGAACCCTGGGAGGCAGAGGTTGCAATGAGCCGAGATCGTGCCATTGCACACCAGCCTAGGTGACAGAGTGAGACTCCGTCTCACCAAAAAAAAAAAAAAGATTTTTTTCATGCCCTAAAAGCTTTTACACCTCCTAGTTGAGAGGACAGGATACACATACACACACACTTCCCTACCTGCCTGCCTGCCTCCAGGAAGCATATACGAAATGCCAATCAACTAGGATGCCTTGTTTAGTGTTAAGAACTAGAGAATGACGTGGATAGCTGTTCTGATTCTACGTTAGTATTTCTTAGCTTCTTTCTTACCCTAGTCATTTCACTATTAGGTTGGCAATAGTAATTCCCCATGTTTACCCCAGCATTAAGCTTGTGTATCTTCTATCAGCCCATACCTTATAGGTGGCAAGATTAATTTTAAAAGAATTTCAGACTTAAAAAAAGTTGCAAACTAGTACAAGGAGTACTAGTTGCTATATAATCTTTCTTACTTTCCCCAAATAATGTCTCACATAATCATAGTGTGATGATCAAAACTAGGAAATTAACAGGGACACAATACTATTAATCATTGTCCTGCTGATGCCCTTTTCTGGGTCCGGGATCTAGGGCCGGTTCCTACATTGCATTTAGTTGTTATGTCTCTCCAGTTTCTTCTAATTTGGAACAGTCAGTCTGTCTTTGTTCTTTATGATTTTGATAATTTTGGGGATTACTGACCAGTTATTTCATAGACTTTGATTCAGGCTGGGCATTTTTGGCAAGAATATCGTGGAAGTGATCTTGTGTACATATTAGTGCATTATCATCACATGCCCATGGTATCTGCATGTCTCGTTACTTTGCTAACTTGATCACTTGGTTAAGGTGGGGCCTGCCAGATGTCTCCACAGTAAAGCTATGATTTTTCTCTTTGTAATTAGTGTCTTGTGGGGAGATACTTTGCAACTCTGCAAATATCTTGTTTCACATCCTACATTTGCTAATTAATTTTAGCGTTTGTTGATTTCCTGGCTGCATCAATTATCACTGTGGTGTTTGCCAAATAGTGATTTTTAAATTTCTGTCATCCCGTCATATGAGTTAGAATTCTGTGAGGGTGAGCTATTCCTTCTCCTCTTATTATTTATTCAGTTATTTATATCTGTATGGATTCATGGATATTTGGTTATGGGTTACAATCTCTTCCTATGATTATTTATTATATTGCTCAAATTGTTCCAGATTTGGCTATTGTGAGGTCCTTAAATTTGGCTTGTAATGTTCTTTTGACATGTTCCAATTTTTGGACCAATTTCTTACTTTTGGTACCATAAGATGTTCCAAGCTTATCTTGGATTTTTTTTTTTCTTTTCCTGCTCCAGCCCTGGAATCAGTCATTTTTCTAAGAAGCTCTAGTTCGCCTTATTAGAGAAAGGTATATAGAAACCAAAATTTGGTGCTAGATGTGCTTATTGTTCCTAAGATGTCAGTACTTCTAGCCGTTCTCAACAGATAGAGCTAGGAAGTATATGTGTATACATATACATATGCACACGTTTGTATCTATATATTAAAAACCTTAGGGTTCATTCTCACTTTCCCCCTTATATGTAACTCTTTTATCTGAATGTGAGAAACCTGGTTGTCATTATCCACAATGTGTTTACTTATTTGTGCAATTCTAAGCTACACACATAGTAGTTTTCAGAATGCTAACACATACCCCACGAGAAATTTGCTAACTAGAATGTAACATTTGTGTGCATTTTTTTTTGTTTTTAGTGTTAGAATAGAGTACTGTTTTCTAAAGTTATTTAGGTTCTTCTCTACCTACTTTGTGCTTTTGTTCATTTGTAATACATTAGGTTCTCTTATTTCATTTTGATTAAAATCATGTTGGTTTTATTTATTTTTAGGTGATGTCAAATATTGTCACAGTTCTAAGACTTATAAATACATGAAAAGTATGCTCAGAAGGTGTCATTTCTTCCTCATTCTTTCTGACTCATTCCTGTCCTCTTTCTGTAGATAATCTCATTACTTCTTGGTTTATCCTTCCTGTATATATATTTTTTACACACATCAGCAGATGCATACTGTATTTTCTTATTTCCTTTTTTTATACTTGAAAGGTGGTATTTTTTGTTGTTGCACAAAAATTGCCACAAACTTAGTGGCTTAAAACAACACAAATGTATTAGCTCATAGTTTCTGTGGGTCAGGAGTTTGGACATGGGTTAGTCGGGTTTTCTGCTTTTCTGCTCAGACTCACCAGGCTGAAATTCAGGTGTTGGCCAGGGTTTCGATATCATCTGAGGCTTGGGAGTCCTTTTCCAAGCTAACTGGTTGTTGGCAGAATTCCATTGCTTGCGGTGGTTGCACTGAAGCCCTTATCTCCAAGAAGCTGCCCACATGACCTCTCCCTGGTTTGTCTCTTAGTAGTGGCTCTGCTGCTTTGGATTTTTCTAATATTTTCTCTAGCCCTAGACTATCTTTAAAGGGTATACTTCTTAAGGTCAGACCCACCCAGGATAATCCCCTTTCACCTTTGCCATATAATGTAACCTAATCATGGGAGTGAAGTCATGTCATACTCATAACCTATCTACAGTTAGGAGGAGATGATAATATATGACATGTGCCCCAGAAAGCAGGAATCTTGGAGGCTATCTTAAAATTCACCTTTTACCATGTAGCATACTATAGGTAGAATTGCAAGATAGCCTCCAAGTGCAAAAATTTGAAAAAGTATTGTTATATTGTCTATGCTTTTTCTCCATGAGATGTAGAGTTTTTGTTCAATTTATTAAAAATACTAATTTTGGCAGTTAGGGTTTGAATTTCTGTTCTAGTGTTATGTTTGTATTTTACCATTTTTTTTAAAAAAATGCCCACAGCCACAGGTTTCTTATTTAACTTTATATTATCTGGGTTGTCAGTTTTTAAGGATATTCTTGAACCCTTACCTATTTCCTGTACACCAATCCATGAACTCAGTCAAATTTCCAGTTTTACTCTTCCTTCTTCTATTTGTTTAAGTCGTATTACTTCTATGTTGTCACAACATATAATATTGTCACATTGTTCTTTCAGCTCTGCATTTCGATCTTCTGGCAGATTTTACTGACGATAATGTTTTTGTGTAACATATATTGTTGCTGTCTTATATCAGGAATCTCTCTACCACCACCCTTTTTCTTTAAAACCTTGAGAATACTGAGATTTGGGAGATCATCAAGGAAAATAAAACTGAAGACAAACAAATGTACTTACCTGAATGTTCAGAGACCTCACCATTCATGTGCATTATTGAAAACATGGCAAATGGTTCCTACTTCAGAAAGAGGCAGAATTAGTCCCCCTTCAACTTAATTAGTGAAGGAATTTGGCATCTTTGTAAACATAAAGGGCCTATGTGGTTCATGTATCTTTCTGTAAGGCAATAACCGTGAAGGGCAAAGGGGCCCTTAGTTAATTATAACTTGAGTAGGATGGGAGGGGTCAATGGCATTTTAACGTAGAAGAACCAAGTGTTAGTAAAGAGCTTTTCTTCTCCGGGAGCTTGGTCAGCTATGTTTTCTGTGAAGCCTGATTGGGGAGTCAAAGTCCCAGTGGAAAAGTGTTGATGAGAAGGCAGATTCTAGAGGATCAATATTTCGAACCTCCTTTTAAGCTCATCCAACTTCACAGCTAAAAAGCTGTTGAGGCTTCAGAAAAAGGAAAGGCACAAAGGAATGAATGAATCAGAATTTGCCTGGATGTGATGTTCCTGATGATGGTCAAAAGTCCTGAGAGTTCCAGCCTTGAGGCCTGGCTTCCCTCTCTCTGCAGGCCTCTTGCTGGTTGCTTTTGGAGGAAGCTGAGTGTTTGGGTTGTTGTGATTGCTGCTGTTGGGGATTTCATATAACATAGCTCTGGAAGGTCTTGTACTCATGACTATTAGTTATTCAAGGCCACCTAAAATCTAAATCAAAGAAATGACTAGACAGAAGTGAAAAAAAGGGCCTGATTCGTGAAACGATTTCCCAACTTTGTGATAGGTCACTCAAGGCTTAGTGTAGGCTTTTTTCAAGGTAGGTGTCTTTTAGGACTGAATCGGTTCCAAGCTATATGAGAAAGCTTGTGTGTGAATAGGTTTCTGCTGGCAGATGGTTGGCAGGCTCAACCATCAGCCTTCCAGACTTGGGATTCTAACAAAATTCTATTCTGTGGCACAAGCCTAGAATAAGTATGATCCATATAAATACATTCATTTATGCACATATTAGCAGTACACTGAGTTCTTGTTTTTGTGATTTTGATGATCTGGTGCTTTTGGTTTTCCTAATACTGGTTCATGGAGAAATAAGTTGTACTGTGTTGGCTAAAACCCGACTCTGGATGCACTAAATAATTCTTCTGAGTTTCTTTCTCTTTTTCCTCTAGCCTGGAGGAAGTCTGTCTGCTTTCTCTTTTGCAGTCTGGAGATAGAGCATTGACCCCTGAAGCAATGCTGGGTTTACTTTATTAGAGCTCACCCGCAGATGTTAATGAAAGCAGAACAGTGAATTAGTGCTGACTTCAGAGCAGAACAACTTGGGTGGGGGAATCTGTGAAGAGAACATGTTGTTATAGGCAACACCCAGGGGAAAATTGACAAATCACAGTAAGAATCATTGGATATTTCTGCCCCACCAAGAGAGCAGGAGGGTGAGAACTAAATCATCCTCTGAAATACACTTAGATTAAGAAATCAGTCTGATGTTCATTTCACAACATTCATCAGAAAGAAAAACAGGACTGATCCCAGGCAAAATTTATTGGTGGGAAAAATGTCGTGTTCTATCTCCTCCTCCTCTCTGCTTAGCCCCCCAGCACCTGATTAATTAAAACTCTGCCATCTACCGGCTCAGAACGTTTTTCTTAGAAGCACCTGAGATTCGTTCAGCTAAAGAATCAACAGCTGTCAACCGCAGCAAATAGATCCCCTACCCTCTACCATATCCCAGTATCCTAACAATGCCTTAAAATGAGCATCAAGCCGGGTGCGATGGCTCACGCCTGTAATCCTAGCACTTGGAGGTCGAGGTCGGTGGATCACCTGAGGTCAGGAGTTCTAGACCAGCCTGGCCAACATGGCGAAACCCTGTTTCTACTAAAAATACAAAAATTAGCTGGGTGTGGTGGCGGGTGCCTGTAATTCTAGCTACTCGGGAGACTGAGGCAGGGGAATCACTTGAACCCCAGCGAGGCAGAGGTTGCAGTGAGCCGAGATCACACCACTTCACTCCAGCCTGGGTAAAACAAACAAAAAAACCAGGCATCAAAACTCGGATGTCTACAGGAGTCAGTTAGGTCTCTTAAATTTGTAAAATCTGCCTGGATTTGACACAAAAGGGAGTGGTGGAACCTTGGCAAGCCTGTGAGTTAAGTCCCTGACCGAGGCAGGCGCCACTCGGCTTTAGCCCATACTGGCAAGGCAGGCCGGTGCTGTGAGGGCTTCCAAATTTTCATGAGAAGATGAAAATTTTGATTCTTCTATGAAATCTTTCACATTTTTCATGACGGTTTTAAAAGTTTTACAGGCAGTAAAAACAATTCTTTGTGCCCTTATGCCCTGAAATCAAACCCTGTGGGCCAGTAATTCCCAAATAGAGTCCTCAACCTAATATGCTTTCCTTAAAGCTAAATGTATTTAAGGATTATCTCTTTATTTTGATATTTTTATCCTTGCTATATTGTTGATGTAAGAATGTAATTGCTTTTCTAAAGTGACTCGGGGATAGGGTTAGCTTTTACCTGCATTCAGTTGAACTTGAAGGATGACCTTCCCAAAAGGGAACTCAGAAAATGTATCTGACTCTTCTAAAAGACATGTAACTTAAAAGCATAATTCTTTATGAGCTGATATTGAGAGCTCCCAATGGGTTGATGGAAATGCTAATGAAGGCTCTATTCAATTGTTAAGTTTATCTTCAATGAGCAGCCAGTACAGAGGCTCCAAACCAAACTAGCCAGCTTGCCCTGATGCTGGAAAGCAAAATCCCCCAGGATGTCCACGGTTTTGGGTGAGAGGGTCTCAGGAATATTTACACAGAAGGGAGCAAAGAGCCTGATTGTGTTCCTGGCTTTAACAAGTAAAGATATTCTGTTTCCATCTGTGTAAATTTGCGTGACTTTTTTTTTTTTAATTTTGAGTAATTAATTGCCAAGACTCCATTTAGAAGGAAGACGATGATGAGAATGAATCTTGTGAAAGTCCATACTGTACTGTTTCTCTAATGGGGTCCTGTGAACCCCCTGCGATTTACATATTGGCAGAAGGTCCAGTGTACACTTTGAATGTGATCCAAACGTTCTAGTTCATTTAAATTTCATAAGTTATAGTTTCCGGAAGGAGAAACTGTAACTGCATGGTAGCAAGTATGGAAAGGAACCTAGTTTTCACTGTTATGCCCTGTCATTTAACAGTAGCTTTGAGTAGTTTTTAAATCAAAAACAAGAAAATGTTGATGCCTTAACTTTTTAACCCCTTGTTCTTCGTGCGAGTCTATAGGGTAAGTTCTTCTTGTGGAAAACACTTGGGTTATTTTGGGCGAGGTGGCGCTAACAGAGTTTTGCTTGAGGATGTGCTTATCTGATTCTCTCTTCCCATTCAAATATAGGATTGATTGTTTTCATCCTTGGAGCACCCACTAGGTACAACCCTGTTGGAAACCTTAATGGTGAAAGCAGCGTCTATTCATTGAATTCTTTTTAATGTGTCAGAAACTGTGCTTTGTGAAACACAGGTTATAACATTTATTTTTCACAATGGTCTATGAGAGAAGAATATAAGAGGGATGGTCTCCAAGATAGGAAAAAATACCGCCTTTGGGCCGGGCGTGGTGGCTCATGCCTGTAATTCCAGCACTTTGGGAGGCCAAGGTGGGTGGATCACCTGAGGTCAGGAGTCTGAGACCAGCCTGGCCAAAATGGTGAAACCATGTCTCTACTAAAAATACAAAAATTAGCCAGGTGTGATGGCAGGCATCTGTAGTGTCAGCTACTCAGGAGGCTGAGGCACGAGAATTGCTTGAACCTGGGAGGCAGAGATTGCAGTGAGTCAAGGTCGTGCCACTGCACTCCAGCCTGGGCAACAGAGCAAGACTCCGACTCAAAAAAACCCAGAAAACCCAAAAACAACAAAATAAGTACCATCTTTATTTCATTGTGCGGAGAGTGGGAGAGGAAGGTACAGAAGTATGGTGGGTTTGCGAGTTTAGTAGCAGGAAAGGGAGCGAGTTCTTGTATAAGGGGGTTTATTTCCTTCATGACATACAAGGGGTGAGGCTATATTGAGAGAAGGGGGTAAGGAGAGGGTATGGAGGTTGGAGGTTGGAAGAGATTGTAAATGGTTGACCAGAAGAAGGTAGATGTTCCCTGGGCAGTGTTGAGGGTAGATGTTTTCCGGGCAAGTGATAGTTGGTGCTCTGTGGTTGACTGATCTTCCTGTTGCATGGCACTCTCTGCAGTCTCAGGTGCTTCTGTATCAGGAGGGACAAAATGGTATTAAAGAGGAATTACTCATGACACTCGTTCAAGATGGTAAGGCAGACTTTATTTAGTACCATCACGATAGGCGTAGGGACCACTGCAGTGGGATTTTTGCAGTGAGGGAGAGAGATTGAGCTCAATTCTGAACAGAGCATGGACAAATAGGAATTTATAGCCAAGGAGTGGAGTGGAGGTCAGTGGATGGAAAATTACTAGGAGGAAACATCAGGGCTATAGGAGTGAAGTAGGGGAAGAAAGGGAGAGAATTCTGGTTAAAGTGATCCTGACCTATTATAGGATTCTTGTTGAAGGCAGGCCAGGGTGATCAGATACCATCTGGGGAATGGGAGAGGATGAGGAACCCAATTAATTAGTGGGGGTGATTAGACATAGAGGGTGGGGAATTCTGGATAAACTGACTTAGAGTTCTTGCCAAAACCAGATTTTATAAGGAAGTGTATACACGGATGTAGGAGAATGTAAAGGAGCCTGACTAAAGTTTGGTCAAGCAAAAAATCTATATCACTGGTCAGTGAGTTTGTCTAGGTTTGGGGGTGTGTTGGGGGCTGTGCTAAAAAGACAGCTAGAGGAGCAAGAAACACTGGTGCAAGATCAAGAACATTATTTACCTGGGCCATGGATTCTAAGTTGGGTAAGGAGGGAACTGCAGAAAAGAGTGAGCTGATGGGAGTTCTTTACTAAGGGTCAGACAAATTTGGGGAAGGTATTGCAGTGGGGAAAAAAATTGTTAGGACAAGAGCCAGGATGTTCTCTCACAACTGCATTTCCACCCTTGCTTCAGGTGGGGGAACTGTTTACACATTCCACAATGAAGAACAATCAAGCTGGGCATTGTAGCACATGCTTGTAACCTCTGCGCTTTGGGAGGCCGAGGCGGGTGGGTCACTTGAGATCAGGAGTTTGAGACCAGCCTGGTCAACATGACAAAATTCCGTTCTCTACTAAAAATACAAAAATTAGCCGGGCGTGGTGGCACGCGCCTGTAGTCCCAGCTACGCGGGAGGTTGGGGCATGAGAATTGCTTGAACATGGGAGGCGGAGGTTGCAGCAAGCCAAGATCGTGCCACTGCACTCCAGCCTGTGCGACAGAGCGAGACTCTGGCTCAACAATAACAAAAAAGAACAATCAGTATGTCCTTTGCTAAGATGACTCCTACCCACATGCAGGGAGGCTTTTTTTTTTTTCTTTTCTTCGAGACGGGGTCTTGCTGTGTCGCCCAGGCCAATCTCGGCTCACTGCAACCTCTGCCTCCTAGGTTCAAGAGATTCTCCTGTCTCAGCCTCCTGAGTAGCTGGGATTACAGGCATGCACCACCACGACCGGCTAATTTTTTTATTTTTCGTAGAGATGGGGTTTCACCATGTTGGTCAGGCTGGTCTCGAATTCCTGACTTCGTGATCCGCCTGCTTCGGCCTCCCAAAGTGCTGGGATTACAGGCATGAGCCACCGCGCTCAGCCGCAGGGAGGCTTCTTAAAAACCTGTTTAGTGTCTCTCCATAGCCGCATCTCATTGTGTGTGTGTGTTTTAATATATTCATGCTCAAAATTTTGAGAAATGAGTAAATGGGTTGTTTACTGAATGTAAGCTTCTATCTCTTATGCACTGAGGCACTTGTTTATCAGTAGACCTAAGAAATTATGTACATACGGATCTCATCTCAGAGGCTTGTAAGAGATGTAGATTCCTGGGCCCAGATCTCAGAATTCCTGAATCATTACTGTCAGGCGGGGGCTTAGGAATGTGCATATCTGTGTATTAATACTCTGAAGACACTCAGAGTTCTAGAAGGTGAATGCTGTCATTCATGTTCATCTTAGGCCTTAAATGTAGAAAATACTGACGTGTAAGGAAAAGCAAAGGTGAAACCAGCAAGTTAATTTTGTCTTGAAATGCCATCACATTTAAAGCACAGTTCTTCAGAAATCAAGTTAGAGGGATATTGCATGATATTTCCCTCTGTTTATCTAAAGTTATTTGTAGTATTTCTGTCCTGTGTATGTTATGAAAAGTCACACACGAGTCTGCTCATTCTTTGAGAGTCTATATTTACTAAGTCAGAAGATTTTTTTTTTTAAACCCTGAAGCATGAGAGATTTTGTGAGAAAGAAAATCTTTGCACCTTCCATTTTTAGAGAAAGGAATAGTAGAGAGTCAAGTGTGAAAACCAGCCACTGGGTTTCTTGGGAAGAAAAAATATAGTGTTAATGAGTAAGAAATGTTGTTTTGTATGAAGAAAGATATTAAAATTTATCTAAGGGCAGGTTGAGTTACAAGGAAAAAAATGGATAGAATTAGAAACAATTCCAACTGTGACTATTTTAAAATGAAATATTAAATTTGTTACAATTGAACAAAGGAGAATTTAGAATTAATGAATTGCTTTTCTTGTAATATTTTCTTTACTCATTTCTTCTTATTTCTTTAAATAAGGAAACCCAAGTCATTACTTGGCTTATTATTACAGGTTATCAACAACTTAGTAAAACGTGCATGAAATCTGTAAGGTACAGAGCCTAATTCGTCAGTAGCTTTGGCAGCTAGATGTGCTGATTCACTGTCTACCCATTGTGACTTCAGAGTCACAGGACTGTGGGTTAGAAGAAGGATACTAAGGGTCATCGGGCTCCAGCCGGCTCCAGCCGTGTCTTCGAGTGTCTGATAATGAGTTATTTAAAAAACTGAAACCCAGAATCACACCTCTCGTTCTTGCTTAGCTAGTAATACAAGCAGACATTCATACCTTGATTTCTTCAACATGTAATTGGCTTGTAAATCAGGGCGGCCATATAATTGATCATCCAGATTGGAGTACTTTTCGAGTGAAAGGGGGCATTGTTAATAATTATGCCAGGACAGCAGGCATTTTAGATTTGTACTCTATCACAAAGCTAAGTTCTAGCAAATGGTTTTGAAACCGTGTTTAGTCTGAAAGATTTCTTTAGAAGTTACATGTGAAAAAAACTTACCTAGATTGAAGTTTATTTGCCAAGGTAACTAGGGTGCTGCGTACTATGTGATAGCCTGGTTACATGGAACCCCTAGGGAAATATCTCGTTTTTATGATAAAAATTTCTTTAGTTGAAAAATTTGTGCATTTATTTCTCAAATCAATGTCCAACTGTTTTAATAATTTCTCATATGCAGCTTAAGATTAAAATTCTTCATAGAGGGCCTTTTATTTTAGAATATGGTCTTTCCTTGGTATCTATGGAGGACTGATTCTGGGACCCCCTCCCCATGGATACCAAAATCAATGAATGCTCAAGTCCCTGATAGAATGTATTTGCCTAAAACCTATGCATATCCTCCCTTATACTTTAAATCATGTCTAGATTACTTATAATACCTGATATAGTATAAATGTTATGTAAATAGTTGTTATACTATATTGTTTAGCGAATAGTGGCAAGAAAGTCTGTACATGTTCAGTACAGATGCATTTTTTTTCAAATATTTTTGATCCATGGTTGGTTGAATCCACAGATGTGGAACCCATGGACACGGAAAATGTACTGTGCTGCGGGAAAGTAGTAATATCAGGTGTGATGGGGGTGGAGGTAGATAGTATCTAGACTAGAGGTTTCCAAACTTTTTCAGTCATAGCATCTTTAGTGTCTCA
This sequence comes from Homo sapiens, assembly GCF_000001405.40. Lineage (NCBI taxonomy): Eukaryota > Metazoa > Chordata > Mammalia > Primates > Hominidae > Homo > Homo sapiens. Next base: position 152,506,707 of record NC_000002.12, read on the forward strand.
AAAATTTTCATGGTGCCTCCTAGACCAAAAGAAAAACCTAACCATTCCATTTATTAAGTACTTAGGTCTAAACAACTATTTATGTTCTACTAATTTAGTGGCTGTTTGAGAAAATATTACATATAAATTGTGAGGAAAAAACTCATTTTATTCTTCTAAAAGCATAATTACTTATCAATATGTGTGTAGCTATGGGGCACTGCACAGCTTTCACACGTTGAATTCAGATTGTGCACACACTTCCTTTCCTGTTCAGTTTTCATTTTCTCTTGTTACTTGCTTTTATCACAGCAACTGCTAAAAAAACAGTTTCGCAAAGGTAAGATGTTATGGAAAGGAAATGTTGCGTGACTCAGGGTAGAAACTTGAACCACCTCAGGCTAGTGGCTTGTGCGGTCTCTGATTTTGAGTCTTGTTGCTTCCTTTGGAAATAATCCCATAGCTTCCATTCATTTCACTGTAGTGCTTGGGGGTGCCTTGGCACTCAATTTGAGAACCACAGATCTAGACATTTCTATTTAGTTCATTATTTGGCTGTTAGCTAAACATCCATTGTGTTTATGGCACCAGAAATTTTTATGTCTGTGTGTGAGAAGCTCTCAAAGCCATTATGTTAAAGAAACTAAGATGCTCCAGCACTTTACCCCTCCCTTCTTTGAATTAGGTTGTATCATATTCTGGTACTGAATAGCTAAAGTTTATTGAACACTTATGTCAGGCACTGAGCTTGATGAAACACTTTGCATGTGTTCTCTCATTTTCTTTTTGATTTTCATAACAATCCTGCTATATAAAGCTTCTTCTATCAGGCTCCTCCTGAAATCCGCTTGGAGTAGATACTGTCCTTATTTTACAGATGAGGAGACTAAAGTTCAAGTAATTTAAGTGATTTGCCTATGAACATCGAGCAAGTAGTTTCAGTTCTGTGATATAAACTTAAATTTTCTTATTTTACCTGAAGACTAGAATCTTTGTCTGCAGCCACAGCCTCTTCTGTGGACACTGTGCTACCGTCCATGTGTCTACTACTGTTTTGATAGGTACTTTTTGTGTTTCGTGGTGGTCCTAACAGGGAGATCTTTTTGTTCTCATTTTCAAATAGAAACACCGAGACTCAGAGAAATTTAGTTACTTGCCAGAGTGAACAGCTAGTAATTGGAATTTGAACCCAGGTATGAGTAATTCCAAAGGTTGTAATTGTAATTTATTGTGATGACCAGAAGACGTTTTCTAAAATTCTGGAGTTATTTCAGAGTCATTAAAGAAAGATTAAGTTACGATAATATGGCTTTTGTGTTAATTTGATAAATCGTATTCACTTAGAAATCATGCATGGTATGTGTGGCACCTCTCTATTAAACAGTGTGCCTGTTGCCCAACCATGTGCAATAACAGAGAATATATTGTGCTTATCATTTATAAATATATGTATAGAAGAGAGAGACAATGAATGGACCTATTTGTCAGTGGGCAGCTGACTGGGATGGAACACTGCAGCAACGCTGAAACGACAGACCCCCGAGATAGGATGGTGTGTGGAGGATCAGATTTTAAAGGCTTGTTTAGGGAGGTGTGTAAGTGCTAAGTAGTTTCTCAAGTTGAAAATTAGGAATCTCTTGATCCTGTCACTTCTCTATAAAACCTAATAATCAAACAGGGATTCATTTGCACTTGGAGTTGCATTTCCCTCTGGAAGAAGACAGATCTAAATCAGAGGTATGCTTCAAGTTGGCAAACACTTTGGGTGGGAAGCAACATTAGGTACTGGATGAAGTGCGTTGCATTAGCCCTGGGCTCCTTAGGACTTGAGGTGTAATTTGCAGAAGGATAGATTGGTTCATGTGAGTTAGCTATGGTTCATCTCTTGAGTGATGGGGGCGGAGTTGTTATAGAATGTAAGAATGCAAAGATTGAATGGTCAATGTGGTATTTTGGCATTCTTCCAAATCCTTGTAGCTCTTTTGGAGAAGCATAACACTGCTTTGTAGGAAAGAGAAAAGTGTTTACATCCAGAACATATTGAGTGGGTGTACTGAGTTCAGCAGCCAGGGTCGTGTCCCCCAGGCCTACTGTTGTGGTTTACCCAGCTGAGACGCACAGAGGGTCAATACAGTCAGATTTCTGCATCCTGCCACCCCCCGCCCATTTTCATCTCTGTCTTGCATGCATGCTTGCTTTTTCCTTTTTCTTGCCCACAACCAAGTCCAGCACTTAAAATGGAATAGTGCACACTCTAGGGCCTGCTTCCCAGAAATTCTTTGTCTGTAAATGTAGGTGTGCGCCCACCCTGGAAAATGCTTTCTTCTTATTGCCTTGCTTGGTGCATGCAGTGCACATGTCACCATGCTTCCTTGTTTTAGGCTGAAACCAGACCACACACTTGGGTAGCACTTTACACCTAGAATGTACCACTGTGGTGTGAGAATATAAAACCAGGCATAACTCAAATGACATGGATTTTATTTCACATGAACCTTTTTATCTCCAAATAGACAAACATTGAAAACCTTATGCCCCAACAAGAAAGAGGTACTTCTTATTGAGGTATCTAAGGGTACCTGTTTATAATATGATTTAGTTCAGCCATATTTAATAAATAATCTATTATTTAATGTTATAGTTGTTGTGCATTGTATGTATAAATTCTAAATTTCCATGTACCACACATCAGAATTAATTTTATTATGGGATTTTTTTTTTTTGCTCAACTCATAACTGTTAGATGTGTATTGTGTATCTGTCCATGTTCTGAGTATTATAGAAAGCATCCAAATATGCCAGAGAACTTTCCCTCTCATTGGATAAAAAGTGTACACATGTGAAATGGCAACCAATACGGTCACATTTGGTCCCTTGAACAAGTGCTATTAGAGATAATACAAAGAAAAGGTCACCCCAAACATGGTATATAGAAGACTCAGGTCTTGGGTTGAGATGTAAGTTTGATGGAGAGAAGGTGAGTGGGATGGTAGGAGAGGCAGGTCAGGTCCAGGCCTGGAGTATAAGAGAAGGTATATCTGTACTCTGGACCTTTTTTTTTTTTTTTTTTTTTTTTTTGAGAGAGGGTCTTCCTCTGTTGCCCAGGCTGGAGTGCAGTGGCACAATCATGGGTCAATGCAGCCTCGAGCTCATGGCTCAAGTGATCCTCCTGCCCCAGCCTCCTGAGTAGCTGGGACTATAAGCACATGCAGCCACACCTGGCCAATTAAAAAAGTTTCTCTTTGTAGAGATGGGATCTCACTATGTTGCCCAGGCTGGTCTCCAACTCCTGGGCCCAAATGATCCTCCCACCTTAGCCTTCCAAAGTACTGGGATTATAGGCATGAGCCATGATGCTCGGCCTATCTGGAGCTTTTAAATATATATTTTTAACTTTACAGAGTTGAAGTAAACTCTGTTAGTATTTGTATAATATTTAACAACCACGTACAAATAGATAATGACTAAATTTGACACTTGCTTTTCTGTTCCTAATTACTTATTTGTTTAAAAGGAGATTAAAGATCTTGGAGCAGAATGCCTTTTGTTTATTGAAATGCAGCTTGTTTGGCTGAGCAGAATTCTGTTAGACAATAATTATGCACCATCTGAATACAAGATACTTTATTGGGGTACTGTGGCTGTAAAGAGGACTAACAAATTATTTTTCCTTCCAGGGACTTGGAGTTTTGTAAGGATAGAAAGAGAAGTCAGTAAAATAGAATGTGATTGGTGGTCCCCTCAAAAAGATCTTGATGTTGTTGAGTTGCTCTTATGTCAGTTGTTTTGGGAATTCTTCTATTTTTATGACATCTTAAGGAGTTTAGCAGTTTAAAAAATTATGAAAGTGTTCCCTTAGACATTATGTGTGAATTAACTTGTTGATTGTTGGTGTTGACCATAAAAATACCAGCAACGTTAAAGTATTACTTTAATACCAGGATGTCGTACACACAGATGCAAACACTTACTTCATGGTCTTTTCCGCTACCACGAGGGGTGAGAGCCAAAAGCTAAGTGGCAGGCTAAAGGAGTGCAAAGAAGGAGAAAACTAAGAGCAGAAAAATTAATCCACTTGTCATACACCAGAAGGCCTGCCACGCAAGACTTTCCAGCTTTCCTGCCTATCTTGGCTGGGCTTGTCTGGAGAGACACTGTGGGTTTCTGGAAATGAGACCATCAAGACTGATAAACACGTGTTGTGGTGAAACCTTAAGTTGTCTCAGTGTTACTGTGTGTTTGGATAGGGCAGAACTTTACTTCAGAACATGGCTCCTTCATGAGTTGATAGTTTTATTTTTAATTTTTTTGGTAATTTAATCTTAGGACATCATAACTTCAGGTATCTGAGTCTCTGTTTTTAATTCCTTTGTATATATACCTCATTGCAGAAATGTAGGGTCCTCTGTTGAGTGTGTGGTCAACATTTTCAGGAACCACCACACTGATTTCCATAGTAGGTGTACCATTTTATATTCCCAATAACAATAAACAAAGGTACCAGTTTTTCCAAATCCCTGCCAACACTTATTCCGCCCCCACCTTTTGAAATTACTCTTTCACTTTTAAGGACCCTGTGATTATAACTGGTTCCCACCAAGGTAATCCAGGATAATCTTCCCATCGCAAGGTTCTTAATCATATCTGCAAATCACATTTTAATATGTAAGGAAAATTCACAGGTTCCTGGGATAGAGATGAGGAAATCTTTGGGGGCCATTATTCTGCCTATGACAGCAAGTCTACCTTTGAAGTTGCAGCTGTTTGCAAATGAGAAGCCATGAATTTGAGGCTATAATTTTGATCATGGTTATGGCAAAAATATTCATTTTTAAGACAAAAGCATAATCTTTCTCTTGTTATTTCAGAAGACGTGACCTTAGTTGAACATAAACTTGAACTCTTTTCCTCCTTTGGTGATCCCCATCATAAGATTGAATAGTATGAGGCTGTAACCTGGGCCAAGCTTGAGTATAGAATCCAGGTTCAGTAATCGTTTCCAGAGTGACTGCTGTGAAAGAGAAGAGGGAGACTAGCGATAATCTTAATGTCCTGAGAAGGGAATTACAGATATGTTGCTGGGAAAGGGCTGGGGGAGAGTGAGGCCAGGGTTCCAGGGCAGTGGGACAGGTGAAATTATATACTGCTTCAGATCAGCAGGTGATACAGACTGCAGTCTCATGGCTTTCTTGTGGTAGAATCTTGATATCTAATATGTTACAATTTGAGTTTGGTATCTTCAGTTATCAAATTGAGTTTACTCTTCAGATCTTATCACATAGAAAGTTGACATTCAACAGCAGAATAAGAACACTTTCTCTGGATTTCGATGCATTTTGGTCTGTGCCAGCAAGCCTAGTACCTTAATATATTTGGCCTCATGTTGTCTAATCATTGCCCATGAAGGAGTTTTCTAGCATCTCAAGTGTGGCCTCTTGTGTAACTCCCTCATTCAGCACACAAATGTGTGGATTCAGACACAGCTCCTGGCACAGCAGTTAGCAGACAGTAGGTGAAGAGTTCTTTGAAATCCAGAACATGTCAAGAATCGTTAGACAGCAGACCTCTAATGAAAATCAGACATGAAGTTTGAAAAAAATTGCATGAGTGATTCTTTCCATTATTCTCTTTGTGTTTAAATGCAATAGGAATCTGTATTTTAGGGGCTGGCACTTTGGCCAGAGGAGGGATGTGTGGTTTTTCCATCTATTAGATGTTGAATCACTAAGCCAATGATATGGGGAGTAGTAGGAAGATGGGCTGCGGGAGAGCTTGTCCTTGACTGCTATAGCTGCACCCTTTTGTCCTGTGGACAAGATTGGCTCTCCCACCTAGCTTGGTCTGTATTGATGATAATCTGGCCTTGCAATTAAATAAATACCATAAACATAAATATGTACATAGTGAGCTCCTTTTTTAATGAACTCCTGTTTATTTGCATTTAAAAAGGATGGCAACAGTGTGACTACTTTAAAACAGTAGATAATTCACATGAGATTTAGGGAATTCATTTTTGTCTGTTAGGTTGTGTTCACTGGTTTAAAAAATGGATAATTTTCTAGAGGTTCATAAATTAACAAAATGGGTTGTTTTATGTGGATGGAGCCCAAAATCAAGGAGGAATGAAGACAGTGGCAAGTGCTGGCACTTCTGTTCTAAGAAAACTATAGTCAGGAAAAGATGGAGGTGCATTAAAGTAGCAAATTTCAAGTGTTCCAACTACTTTACATGCGTTATCTGATTTGATCTTCTGAAACTTCTGTATGTGTATTCACACACGTGCACAAACACCCTCCAACATATGTAAGTGATCCTTCTTTCATGTTAAAAGAGAAATAATAAGAGACATGTTGGCCTGAGTTCTCTTTAACAGCTTCATTGAGATATAATGGATACAGAAAAATGGTATATTTTAAACTGCATAACCTGATGTATTGATATACAGTTTTGTGTTGCTTAACAATGGAGACAGGTTCTGAGAAATACATCATTAGGCAATTTCATCGTTGTGTGAACACCACAGAGAAATGATAACCACCTAGAGACATGATCACGAGAGTCAGACTAATTAATATATCCATCATCTCTCAAGTTACCGTTTCCTCCTTTTTTAGTGTGTGTGGTGAGGACTTAAGATTTACCCTCTTAGCGAATGTTAACTATACAATACAGTATTGTTAACTAGAGTCACCATGCTGTACATTAGATCTTCAGAATTTATTCATCCTGCCTAACTGAAACTTGACCAACATCTCTTCATGTCCCCCTGAGCCTGAAGTCTTTGCTCTACCATTGGTAATAACCAGTTCTGTGAACTTGGACAAATGCTTTCACCTTTTTAGTCTGTTTTGGTCACCTATAAAAGACAGAACAGAATGAATGTATCACAAGCTTCTCTTGTAGCTCTGTACTTTTTGATTATAAAAAAGTTATGGAGGAGTCATAAGAAAGCAAGCCTTCTAAGAAAATAGACTGTACCTAAGATTGTGATTGAGAGATTAGAGGTATGTCTCATTACCACAGTTTCCCCAGAAAGGACAGCTTTCTAGTCAGCTTTTATTTCCAAGATGTTACTAGATTAGGGAGAGCCTAATTTCTCCCTTTGTGAGCTTCACTGGCTACGGCGGTGATATTAGTACCCTCAATGATTCAATAAAAATAACAGTGACAATGAAAAATGACTGACTGGTGATTCACTTTGGGGAACTATTTGGCTGGCTGCCTGAGACCTGTGCCAGGAAAGAAGCTGAATAGATTTTAGCAGCATCCTCTAGGCTAGGAAGATAATAAAATTTAGGATGCCAGGTAGTTGTTTGGACCATGAATATAGGTCATGGAAGGAAATGGATTTTAGGTGAGGGGAATTGATGGGCAGGCCATGTGCTGAATTTGCAGCCACCCTGCTGAGGCCCTCAGCTGTTGTAATTTTCAAGTGAACTCAGGAGAATTGGTACATTACTCAGTTCCAAGTGACTTAATTTGATGTCCCAATAATGGTATAAGGAAAAATGTCAATGTAGGAAGAGTTAACAGAGCAGGAGGAATCATTTACCTCATTTGATTTGAAGACCCCTTGAAGACTTTTCCTAGATATTTCTTTGGCCGATGACTTCTCACTGCCATAGAGTAAGTTTGAAATTATCTGGTTTGATGTCCACATGAACTTGGTCTCACGCTACCCACTCCTTACCTCCTGGTTTATTCTGTGTGATGCACAGCTCTTTGCCTTCTCCTGTGTTCATGCCTTTGTTCATATCTTTCCTTTTACCTAAAATAATGAGGATAATATGAATAATATCATTTAACATACTGAGTACTTTCCGTGTACTTACTTTTGTACTATTTTATAGTAATCCTCCCATATCCGTGGGGGATACTTGTCAAGACCCTCAGTGGATATCTGGAACCTTAAATAGTACTGAAACTAATATATACTATTGTTTTTCCTACATATACATACCTATGATAAAGTTTAATTTATAAATTGGGCACAGTGAGAAATTAGCAATAAGTAATCATAAAATAGAACTATTGTAACAATATACTATAATAAAAGTTTATGTGAATGTGTTCTCTCTCTCTCTCACAAAATATCTTATTGTTCTCCACGAACCTATTTTGGGGCCATGGTTGAACTCAGGGAACTGAAATAGCGAAATAACAGAAAGCAAAATCATAGATGTGGGTGAGGCTACTGTACATACATTATCGAATTTAATTTTGCCCAAACTCTATGATGCAGGTAGTAACATTACCACCATCCTCATCACCCTCATGATGCTTATCACTACCATGGTGATCATTTCCATGTCACAAGTGAGGAAGCTGAGATTTAGTATAAATAACTTAGCTGAGATGACACTCTAAATGAGTGGTAGTCATGATTGCAGCCCAGGTGGCCCATCTCCAAAGCCCACACATTAGAAACCATATTGTGTCATTTAATGCCATTCTTTACCATCCTCCCCACACATCCAGGCTCAATGCATAGTATTTTCTACTTTCCGTAGCAAAAAGTAATGGCTCCTTCTCTGAGGTTCTGTCGGATTATTTGACATGCTCCGTTTTATATTTGTGTATTCATCTTCTTTCCTTCTGCTTCATTGATGCCTTGTCAAAGCCTGAGTTTACCATGTATTTGTATCCTCACCTTGATTTGTTATTTGGCAGAGTTTATTAAGTATATATTGATTTGACACTGTACCTTGCTATCTGTATTCAGCCCAGTCAGTTTTTTGGCTCCAGTTTATATTTTTCAACATCTTAAAATACTTCAATTAAAATGCCAGTATCTTATATGAAAATATTAATATCATGCATTTCCACCTTCACTTTTCGTGCTAATGACTGTGTCTGGTTATTTAAGTGGAATTGTGAGATTGCTTAGTTCAAATAAGTCATATTTTAGAAACATTGTAGTTTAAATGTCATGGAAGGGGGATGATCATACAGACCTCTATTCTGAGTCCTGGCTTTGCCACCTACCTCATGCATGGAGGAATTACTTAACCTCCTTGTCCTCCGATTTCCTTCTCTGTTAAATAGAAAAGATAATAACTACTTGTCAGGATTATAAGACAGACTAAATTGGATAATGCATGCAAAGAGCCTAAGTGCCTGAGACATACCAGTCCGTCAATAAATGGTACATCTTGTTGTTTTTGACCCTTGATTTCGATTCTTCAGTTTTGAATTACATTTACTGGCTTTTTCGACTGTGGGGTGTTTACTAATTTCATTTGCTTTAGGATTCAAATAGTGTGGTTTAAGATCACCCGTAATTAGTAGAGTCAGGATTAGAATCTAGCTAGTCTAATTCCAGAGCCCAACTAGCAAAAACTAATAAATGAGTAAATCCTTGCTTGCACCGTCTCATTAGAATTCATTGTGCTACCCAGCCATCCAGTTGAAATCCATCCCATTTCCTTTTTTGTAGCGACAAGTAATGGCTCCGGGGAAGGGAACATGGGGAGTTGTTGTTTGATGGGTACAGAGTTTGTTTTGCAAAATGGAAAAGTTCTAGAGATCCGTTGCACAATAATATTAATATAGTTATAAACACTACTTAAAGTATAAACTTAAAAATGGTTATGAGGTAAATTTTATATTATGTTTTCTACCATAACTGAAAAATTTTTTAAAGTAATGACTCCTTCTTTTGAGTTCCTGTAAACCTCTGTATCTCTATTATTTAAGAGCTCTAAAAGATTGTCTAAGCCATTTCTTTTGTGACATGATTTTCCCTGCTTCCATAAGAAGCACTACTTGCAAAGTCCATGTTTTTTCTCTCTAAGCAAGTGGTTATATAGTAGAAGAGTTCCTGTTATAAAATCTGGTGACTGAATGCTTGTGAGTTTTAATTTAGAGATTACAAGGACAAAGATATATTACATAAGGTGTATTTCATACTGTTCAATTTCCCTCCTGTGTGTCTCCATATCACTGTGGGTTTCTAAGTATGAGCCTTGAGAATATTTGGGTAAAAGAAGGATTTTACAAGTTTGCATTAATACCATGAAACCAGGTCAGGAGCTGATATCAGAAAACTCTGTTTTGCTACCACATAGGTCTATTTGGTTGTGAATGATTTGGGCACCATCATTCTGTTCTGTGTTGTGTATGATAATCTGTGGGTATAACTTGAGATGTATAGGCTACCATAGATTCTTCTTCACCATAATTACTTTCTTTATAAAGTACTCAGGAATTTTGGGATATTCTATTTTTCTTTATTTTCTAGTTATAATTTCTATTTTCAAAAGGTTCTGAGATGGAAAACACATTTAAAAGCAAATTAAGATTGTACAATTATGGATAAAAACCAAAGTAGAGACCATACATGTAACTACCACTTGGAATAGATACCAATCTGAATTAACTGGCACTGAAACAAAGTTCAGATTCATGGTTTCATGGTTTATTGTATGTGGCAGAAGACGCTCATTTTTCTTTTCAGGAAAATATTGCTAGAATTGAAGATTTTTTTCCCCCGTGAGTTTTTTTTGGAAAATAATAAGCAACAGATATTATCATGGAATGATGTTTTACAAGAAACTGAAATACTGTTCAGTGTGTAGACATTGTTAATAGCTATAATATAAATCCTAATTCATTAAGGATATTTGCAGGCTGGGCAGTATGGCTGATTTTGTTTGCTCTTCAGTATTCAACAACCTGCTTAATGCCTACCGTTTGCCATACTGTGCCATACGTTGATGGTTAAGAAGAACATCAAAAATTGTTCTTGAAGCACTCAGTCCAGTGGGAAATTTAGGTAAGCATACAGATTGTTAGGGTACAGTGTACTAGGTGTTATATTAGAGACATGTAAACAGTGCTGTTAGAGCCCAATGAGAGGGTATGTCTTCCTGGAGTAGTGGGGGGAAGGTTCTAATGATAAATGACATTTGAATTGATTCTTACAGTTTGCCAGGTTGAGAGTGGAAAGAAAGGAACAATTTTACAGAAATAATACTCTTGGATGATCTAATTTATTTTAGCTAGGAACTTGTACAATCTAGAAAAACAATAATTAACATCCACTGAACTTTTCAATTCAAATATCATATGTCTTCCATCGACCTTTGGCGATACTTGCAGGCAGTTACTTGGTGATTAAGTTGTCTCAGATGCCTACAGTGCGGACATTCTGGTATATGGTTAAAGCCCAGGAAATATGTTGGATGGAACAATGGATGAAAAGAATGAAAGGAGAGCCCTATGTCACAGATGTCACTAAGAGTGGGTGAGGTAGAGTTGTCACCGTGTTAGGAAGACTCGGAAATTGATTGATATTTTCAGCCAAATAGATGAGCAGTCCATTTTTATAAAGGCAGCAAAGGGACCTGGAGATAGAGCCAATATTTTCCTCACACAGTAACTTGGACTCATGAATTACCTGCTCAAACATTTAGCTTGGACTCCAGAGTCTTGCCCTGAACAGCACAAGAGGAATGAGTTCACTCGAAAGAAGTTTAAAGGCAGTTATTACCAGCTAATCACAACATCCCTGAACTTTAACCAGACCTCTGTAGAGTGTCTGATTTTAAATAGAACTGCTTCCTCATGGTCCTTATGGAATTATTAAGCTGTACAATGTATGTCTGAGTAGCTCAGAGGCTTGGCTCATGGAAGGGGTTATTTTAGATGCTTGGTGAATGATTACCCAGTGGAGCTTTAGTTTGGATGTATTGATGTTGCACTGCTACTTCTGACAATAACTAATCATGCTCAAAAAGACTTCTTAAGTCTCTTCTTGTTCAGAGATTCAGACCTTTCTTTTGACCTCCAGAATCATGTATCTACCTGCCCACTTGAGTGCTCTCTTGGTTATCTCATAGCTATCTCAGGCCTAAACAGGGTCATTTATAAATCTTATTCTTCACCAACTCCTCCAGATTTATTTTGCCTTTTGTTACGTGCCCCTCTTATTAACTGTACCCCATTCACTTAGTGACTCAAGCTGGAAACAAGGTACAAATCCTCCCCAGCCCTTAAGTCTAACCAGTCAGTTTCACTTAATATTTCTGACATTTGTCCACCTTTCTTCATTCAACGTGCCATCGACCCCATCTAAGCTGCCATCATTCACTTGAACTGCTTAGTCCTGGCCTCCTACTGGCTCTCTGCTTTTGCTGTTTCTAATCTGTTCTCCTCATAGCACCTATTGTTATCTTTGAAAAACAACGTCATTATGTTATTTATCTGCTTAAAAGCCTTCAATGGCTTCCCGTGGCACTTCAGATAAAATATATTGACCCTGGTCTGCATGTCTAGGCATGATATGGCTTTGACTCACATTTCCAACTTCATCTTTTTCTCATTCCTTCTCTTTTACTTTCTCTCTGGCTGTTCTGACTTTTTTCAGCTCCTTAAATGTGGAAAGCTAATTCCTGCCTTTGAGGCTTCCCTTGTTCACTGTGCCCAGTGTGCTTTCGTCCGCCCTCTGCCTGGCCAATCCTTCTCATTTATTGGGACTCATTTGTTACTTTTTCCTGAGAGGTTTTTCCAGACTGTCTAATCTAAGACTACCCTCTGATAACCTTTCTCAAGCCTTACCAGAGTTTAAAAAGCTTTGTTTGTTTCATATGTGTCTCCCCACCATAACACAGTGCTCTCTGGGCATCGCGTCTGTTTGGATTCCCACCGTGCCACCCAGCATGTTGCACAGGGCTTGTACAGGGGCAGTGCTCCATAAACATTTGTTGAACGAAAGACTCTTTAATCAAAATAAGAGTTAGTCTGGAAGGGGCATCTTGCCTTTCTCTTTGCAGAAAACGACAGAGCCTGTGTGTAATTCCTGTGGCGATGTTTGCCAAGTGCTTCCACGGGAATGTCTAGTAGAGTACTAATAGAAGGTCATAAGCTATTGCCGTTTTGCTCTCCTGCAAAAAAAGCTTGGTGGCATATTCAGAATTTATCCTTGGGAGCCTAACAGACTAAGTTTAGGTCCTGTCTTTGTTCCTGTAAAGCTGTGCAACCTTGAGCAAGTTAACCAAATTCTCCCGGGTCTATTTCCCTATGTTAAATGGAGAAGATTATGTCTATCCCACATGCTTATTATGAGTATTAACTGAGATTACATATGCAAAGTGTTGAATGGAGTACTTGGCACCTTGTAGGAGTTCAGGCATTCTTTTTCTTATTCCCTTTATATCTCGAGATTAGTGAGGACTCAAGAGGAAAAGAACTCATTTAATTTATAATCTTATTGTTCTTACTTAATGCATAATTATAGCTGGGGTGCTAACATGAAGGTCAACACCAGTTTAAGAGGAAAACCTCCTTCTCTGGAGTGCAAATAAGCAATGATGGACTGACCATTTACCAGTAAATAACATTAGACTTCCTCAGAAAGATACACATGAAATTCTCCTTTGCCTTATCCCAGGAGTTTTTTTTTAACATTGTCAAATTGTAATAACTAATAATTACAAATAGACTTTTTCCATTGTAGTTCAAGTAGATATTCCATGAAGACAGGCCATATGAAAACATTTTCCCATATTAGATGTTTCTATATCTAAGAAGCTTTGGCAGTACCATTGAAAACTCTTTATAAAGTCCAAAGCTCTTCAAAGTAATTGTCAGCTTTGAGGGGGGGTGATTAAAATATTAAATATTTTAGGCCAGGCATGGTGGCTCACGCCTGTAATCCCCGCACTTTGGGAGGCCGAGGCGGGCGGATCATCCAGGGGTCAGGAGTTCAAGACCAGCCTGGCCAACATGGTGAAACCCCGTCTCTATTAAGAATACAAAAATTAGCCAGACATGGTGGCAAGCTCCTGTAATCCCAGCTACTTAGGAGGCTGAGGCAGGACAATTGCTTGAACCCAGGAAGCGGAGGTTGCAGTGAGCCGAGATCGTGCTATTGTACTACAGCCTGGGCAACAGGAGTGAAACCCCATCTCAAAAAAAAAAAAAAATTAAATTAAATATTTTAAAGACAGGTTATTGTAAAATCTGATGGATTAGACTCAAATAGGTGGCAGATATACTTAAGGCATACCAATCTAGATGTTAGATTGAGTTTAAGGGAAAATGCTTGGTTTAATTTATCATAATCAGTGGTTGATTTTCTATCATTAAGTCAGGACAGCATACTCACCTTTGCCTCTGTTAAACTTGTTTCACCCTATAACACAAGACAATAACCATGACCAGGGGAATTGTTTCTCCCTAAGCCAAGTCCTTCAGAGAGCTAGGAGCTTGAGTATTAAAAGTTCAAGACCTTTGCATTTGTCTGCTTGAATATTGACCCAGATAAGGGACTACATTGTTTATTTAGGAATAGGTGTGACTTAGAGTGCTGATGCCAGGGGATAGACAGGATGATAAATAGGTATAATACTTTAATTGACTACTTAGCTCAGTTGTTTAGCACATGAGAACTTTGGGGAGGCCAAAAGAATAGATCTGAATTCTTTCTGAGGCTCTCTTACTCTGCCATGGTCTTTTGCCAAAGACCTCACTTTGCATCCAAACCTAGTATCTTAAAAATGTGTATGATTGGTCATTTGGGACATTAGATTCATGACATGTGAAAGTACCTGGGAAAAAATCCATGACCAGCACTACAGAAGGTGTGCTGTGTTAAGAGGAGGGTTTATACGAGTGCTGATGTCTGGACATCTCTTTTGCCTCATGATTAATTTCCTACTGCAAACTCACCTTCATAAACCAATATAGCTCAACTGAGAATTGTGGTTATTAATGTTGACATAAATGTTAACATATGTCCTCAAGGAATACTGTCATCTCACAGAGGGGACAAAAAATAGTTGCATTGTTGTCTTTTTTTTTTTTAATTCTTTTCCTCATAGTTGTTTATCAAAGTGAGTATAATTTGAATCTATCAGTGATTCTGATCATTGTGTTCTCTTTTGGTGTTTTCTGTTTTGTGTCTGGTGGGGCTACAGTGCTTTACAAAGAAATTGGATACCTTGTGACCTTTTTGTTGAGTAGAAAGGGAGTCTGCCAAAGCGACAAGGCATCACCTTTGCTAAAATGCAAGTCTGATTGTTCAAAGCAGATCATCTCACATGTCCCACCATAGAACTTCAGAATTTCCCGCCTCTCATCTAACCGATTTGATGTTTAAGTGACTTCTGTGGGTGTTTTGGTTTAATCAGATACTAGGAATTGAGAGAAAGTCATGAAAAAACCATAGTGGTATTATTTGGTCTGCCTGCAAGTTACCAATTTGGAAGCCTGCTGTGGAATGTGACATCTTTTCTCTCTTTATTTTTTTTAAACAGAATGCTATGAACCTACCTCCTGACAAAGCCAGGTTACTGCGGCAGTATGATAATGAGAAAAAATGGGAACTGATTTGTGATCAGGTAAGAAACAGTGACACTTTCTTTTATGAAAAAAGTAATGAAAGAAGAGATCCAGTGTGAATTTTATGGTATGTCAATATCATGATTGAAAAACAAGATATTTGCTTCTGCGACAGAGATAGGAAAAAAGAAGAGAACTTCAGAGAAATAACAATATGTTTGTGTGGATCTTCTTTGGATCCCAGTTTGAACAAGCTAATTATTAAAAAGACTTCTTGAGAAAATTGGGAATATTTGATTAGTGACTGAGATGCTTCCAAGAAATTATTGTTGATTTTGTTTGATCGTAAAGTACATAGAATAATACTGGGCACATAGTAGGTGCCTCTAAACTTGTGTGGCTGCCTCTGTTGCTGCTGAAGGGCCCAGATATTAAATATTGTGACTGTTACTGTTTTTATTTTCAACTTGTCCTTAAAAGATTCAGAGAAAGTTATATCAAGTTGATATGGTTTGGCTGTGTCCCCACTCAAATCTCATCTTGAATTCCCACATGTTATGAGAGGAACCCGGTGGGAGGTAATTGAATTATGGGGGCAGGTCTTTCCTATGCTGTTCTTGTGGTAGTGAGTAAGTCTCATGAGATCTGATGGTTATCATAAGGGGGCGTTTCCCTGCACAAACTCTTTGCTCTTTTCTGCCTCCATATGAGACATGCCTTTCACCTTCCGCCATGATTGTGAGGCTTCCCCAGCCACATGGAACTGTGAGTTCTCCATTAAATATCTTTCCTTTGAAAATTGCCCAGTCTCAGGTATGTCTTTATCAGCAGTGCAAAAACAGACTAATAGACAAATATATCATTATCTGTTATCCAAACATACTTTATGGTTTGAATAGCTGTTATATGATGCTGTCAGAAAAAGCCTCAGCTATAGATTTCCAGTCTAAAAATATTACTACCAACCTTATTTGTGAAGCCTTAAAATTATGACTGTGGGGTGGTGTTGATATCCAACATACAGGACACCCCCGGGCCCCAATGCCGTGTGCACGCAAATATTAATACAAATATTAATTTTACTTCTTGGATACAAATATTAATTTTACTTAAGCATATAGCATGGATATAGTATATGTTATTTAGGATACATGTTAACAGGAAAGGTACACAAAGTGATAGATAATGTTAAAGAAATTGATTTCCAAAAGAAACTATATAAATAAGAGTGTGAGGACTTATGGAGAAATTATTTCAGGTTTCAGTTTCATGAAAAATTACCATATGGACATGGTGAATCATGGAACTGGTCATTGTTTTCCTTGGCTGCTAAGATGCTCAGAGACAGATTTGTGGCCTGAGCCACAAATTTGGTATAAATGCTTATAAGAGACCATTTATACCAACTACACAGTACTTCAATGACATGTGTTTTACCAACCTCATCCATGGCTTCATCTCATTATTCCTGCCTGCATTTTCCCTCCACACTGATATCCTCACTGAAAAAAACTTACATGAAGTTGTAAACTTTTGTAAATTATCATTTTGAACAAGATATATTTAAATATATCAGCATTACTGGTGAACAAAGATTATTCTTGCATTGATAACTAAACTGAAATGTTCTCTATGCTATAGGCATTGTACAAATTAGTGCATTGAATCTGTTCTGCTTCTCTCTAAGGAAGCAAATATGGAGTGTCACAATAAATGCTTTCTCATGACTTGACTTTATCATGAAGTGGCCGTTCATTATTTAATTTGGGGCATCCATTTTTTCATACTTCTGTATGATTGCATTAGTCTATCACTTTGTTTTGTAAGTATTTATTTAAGTGTGTCTCCCTCAAGAGTAAGTTCCTTTAGGATATGGGCCTCTAACAACTTGCTTAGTGCTTGAAACGTGCTTATTGAAAACATGTTGAATGAAAGAAATAATGGCTAATATGGAAGACAGTGGAGAGGAAGCTTGCATTATTGGCAGAGAGGGCAGAAGGGAAAAAGCAGTTGAAAGAGGTGGCCTGGAAGACTAAGCAGAAGTTTGCTGTTTCCATATCCTTCTCACCTTCCTCTACCTGTCAGTGTGGTTTGCTTTTGGTAAAGGAAAGCAATTCACTGCTCATTTTTAGGAATTACTTTAAAGAGAGAAGGATAACATTTTTAAATGTAATAATTCAGTGGTACTAAATACATTCATGTTGAAGATAAATATTTCTTAATATGACAGATGCTGATAGGAATAGAGAATAAATTCCAGAAATTCTGTCCCAAATTTAACCAAATTAAGATTAAATCCCAAAGAGCTTTCTATAGTAACAATATTGCAGAAATGCCTCTTGGTCCTTTCCTGACTCATTGCATAAATACAAAGATGACCTGAGCTTCTAGTGGGTCTCAAAGGTGAAAGTAACATGGGAGACGTGTCTAACTAATTCTGGAGGGAGTGGGGCTACGGAAGCCACGGAACAGAGACATCTGTGCTGGATTTTGGGTGCAGTGAGGTGTATCCCAGCGTACCCATTTCTGTGTTATAGTAGGTGAACAGAGTTCCCATGAAGACATTATTAATTTAAGGACTCTGTGGGGACACAGAGGCAAATTTTGTAGTGTGAGCGTAGAAAGCTAGAAATGTCAGGTTTCTTTGATAACTGCAAATAAAACCCCTGAAGCTACTTAGCTGTAAGAGCTCTTTCAGTGGCATTTACACTTATGGAAAGAGAGAAAGCCCCTTAATCTCACTTGTGCCTCAGTTTTTGGTGCAGACCCTGTGCTGCACGTTTTGGTTTTGGAGCTTTGGCCATTTCCCGTAAGTTTAGAACTCTTAGCACAGTGGGTACTGTGGATAAATGCTGGTTTAGGGGGTTTAGAGATCCTGGATGAATTTAGACTTTTAGATCATTTATATCTAGAAGGGCTGTTAGAGACCATTTATCCCAAGCCACTCTGACTTTACTTTTTCTATTGAAAAAGTTAACACATGCTTGTCCAAGAAAGCTTGTGGAGGAGCATGTGGAGTGAAGTGCGCGTCCCTTCGCCTTTCCTATCTGTTTCCCAAGCCCCTTATTTTATAGATGATGAAACTGAGGTTCATAGAGCCTAAATGAGTAGGCCAATGCCAAGGTCACCCAGATAGTGAAACGAGAACATCTGTTTCCAAACTCTACTCACAAGCTTTTTCATTTGTTGCCTGTTATACCAGGGATCTGGAAACAAGCCATTGAAGCAAAAATTATAGTAGGTAAGGGTTTCTTACCGAAGTTTTGTGTGTGGCTGCTCAAATGATTTAGGGGGTGCCTACAGAACTTACAGGTTGTGGATTCATAACTGTGCCCCTGCTGGATGATCAAGTGGAAGTGGTTAGTCAAAGAATTCAGGACATTGGAGATGACTAATGCAGATGGGTGTAGATTCCACCAACATATAATCCAGTCCAGAAGCTGTTAGAGGTGCCATCCCTATGCTGGGTTATAAAAGCTTCCTTCTGTGTTTGCTGTTGCTGAGGGTGTGATTGGTTATTTTCTGTGGTGATTTGGCATGAGTGGACCTTGCCTCCTGATAGCTGGCTGTTGCTTTGCATAGTAGCCTTGGGGCAAGGGCCCAACGGAAGGGTGAGACATGGAAAATCTCCCCTTTCTTTACTTATATAAAGCGATGGAGAGAAGCAGATTAAAAAACAAAACAAAAGATGAGCGTGAAGAGGTAGCAGGAAATTGTAGCCACTTAGACTCAGCTTCCTGTGCGAAGCGTTTCAGGGAGGTCAGACTGCATCTCTCCAGGCTTGGCATGGGTCCTGATCTAGGGAAGGGGAAGCCCTCTGCTGCCACTCAGCCGGAGCAGAGTCAGGCCAGTGGCACTAAGAAGCCTCATTACTCTCATTGTGAGAGGTGATCTCTTGTCTTTTTCAACACAGCTGACCCATACCATATACATGTATTTAATCATTAAGAATATAATTTTTTTTAAACCCTTTACTTGTGGTCAAATACTATTTCTTTAAAAAAGAAGGGCAGGTTTTTTACTGGAGAACGTGCATCAATATTTAAGCCAATTTGCCATTGGAATTAAATTTTCTAAAACATTAAAGAGCAAATATATCTCCATGGTTTTTAGTGTTGGTTATTTTTTTTGAAAGTGTTCATGTTTTTGTGAGCCAGTTAAAGCTCTTTCCTGCCTAGTAAACAAGTACTACAGAATCCTGATAAATTAGTTCCTGTGGGCCATTCCAGGTAAGGAGGACTTGTCCTTGGAGCACCAGGGGTGCTAAATGAGTAGTGACAGTGGTGGCATTTTTATAGCCTATTTTGATGTTGGTGGCTGCTATGTTAGAGTCATTTGAGCAAGCATAGGAAGAGCAGAGACAGTGGTGAAGAAGCTGAAGGAAAAGATGGTGATGCCAGCAATAACCTTTCCCTGGCCCTTTCCCTCCTTTTTGCTCCTAGACTTCAGACTTAGTCTGCCTTTTAGCCCTGTTTCCCAAGTTCCAGGCTTTGATTCTACATTTAGCTATGCTCACTCCTTTCTGGCTTCTCACTCCCAGCTGTTGGGATAGCAGACAGCCATTTCTCCCTCTCCTTCTCCTCCCTTCCTTCTATCCTCTGGCTAACTGACATGCTTCCTGTACTTAATATGTTAAATTGGTTATATTTTTATCAAGTTTACAATACTGTGGTATGATTAAATGCTATTTTAAAATTATTAGGTTTTTGCGATCTGTTTAATTCTTTTCAAATTTTGTCTTTTGACCCTTAGTTTTCTCTTATCATTTTGATATCCAGTCTTCCCCCTCTATACATTCATTCTTTTGATTGTGCATTAGTCAGATTTTTTGTTTGGTATTTGTTTTCTAGTTCATCTTTTTTTTAAAAAAATCGGTATGCACCTTATAAAATTTTTCTCTTGTATTCAAATAAGGTCATCACAATTAAAACGAATAGTAATTTCTTAATATCTCCTGTTGTCCAGTTTATTGTTCTCAATTTTCCTTAAGATGTTCTTCCTATCTAGTTTGCTCAAATGATAATCTGGTACAGGATCAGTCACATATTGTATCTGGCCATGTATTCCTTAAATTACTTTAAACTGGAGTAGACTTTTGTTTATGATGCTCATGTGGTGAATATAGTAGGCAAGCCCTCTTGTAGAAAGTTTTGTTTTCTGCACTTACCTGTTTCCTAGGGGTGCCTTAGCTCCTGAGTTTCCTGTTAACTAGAAGTTAGACTTGAAGTCATTACAGATTGATGTTGAACATCTTTGTGAAGAATATCATAGAAAAATAATGTCTGGTTGTCCCATCATTAAATAAGTTTGGCCAGTGACAACTTGATGGCCCCATTGTGTAACTGTTTTCCCCTTGTGCTGGAGAGAATTCTGTTTGGTGTCACTTTGTCACCATATATACGTCCAGTTACCTATCAACCTTGTACCTAATGGGTTTGAAACCAATTGATAATCTTTTGTTGAATCAGTTTCATTACAAACTGGAAAAAGATTATTTTCTAATCTCTCTTTCCTTCTATTAATACAGTAAACTAGTAACTAGAGCTTTCAACTGGGACTTGGTTTATCCTGGAATATAATTATTCCTGGAATTTTTCCCCTCAATTGCCATTTTTTTAAGTAAGAATTTGGATTAATAGATACCTCATAAGATGACCAGTGGGTTTTCTGTGGTCTCCTTTTTTGAATATCACTACGAACTCATGAATTTTCATGGGTTCATCATGTTTCAATCAATGTGATATTATTTTTGAGGCTCATATGATCACTTCTTTGATCTATGGGAATCCCTTGGTGCTGGTTCTTGTGTCCTTTTCACATGACCCTCTTAATCCTTGAGAGCTTGTTTTATGGTATGAAACATATCTTCTTTGTATCTTAACTTGTATCTTCTTTGCCCAGGCCCAGGATAAATCATTTCTCCAATGATCCCTTTTCTTTTTAGTGGGAGGTAGTATTAGAGATGAGGAAGTGCATGCAAAAGGTTTTTATAGCTGCTGAGTGAATTTGCTTCTCAGTGTAAGTTTCTAGACCTTGAAAATACAGGTCCAGAATTTATGGATTCAATATTTTCAAATCAATTTTCATTAATTTTCTTAATCTCTTTGATTTTATAGTTACCTTTCTTTTACAATGAAATGTTTGATTCCTAACAGTAATATAATTATTTACCTTTTTCTATCATATAAAAACTTTCAAAACAAATATGAGTATCATTACTACCTAAAACATTACTAAGTAAATTACTGACTGTAGTATAAGGTTTTTTGTAGTTTTCTGTGCACCAAATGATAGGGTAACGAATAGATGCTATCTTAGCGTCCTACGGCTGCCATAACAAATTACTGCACATTTGGTGGCTTACAATAACAGAAATGTGTTCTCTCATAGACCTGGAGACCAGAAGTCTGAAATCAGGCTGTTGACTGGGCCTTGTTCCCTCCCAAGGCCCTAAAGGAGATTTCTTCCTTTCCTCTCTTTCCTTCTGGTGTCTCTGGGCATTCTTTGGCTTGTGGCTGTGTAAATCCAATCTCTGCCTCCATCCTTACCTGGCCTTCTCCTCGTCTCTGTGTCTTTTCTTGTCTTTTATAAGAACAGTTACTGGATTTAGGGCCTACATGGATAATCTGAGATGATCACATCTTGAGATCCTTAACTTCATGGCATCTGCAAACACCCTTTTTTCCACAAATGGTTATACTCACTGGTGGTTGGGGGAGGAGGTTAGGACATGGCCATATCTTTTGGGGGCCACCATTCAACCCACTACAGACACTAAGATGTATAATGATTCACATAGTAAGGTTTTAATTTACATAATCAGGTTGGATATTGTTGGCCATTGGGGGTCAAATTCTACACAATCAGGGACCCAGGTGAGGCTATTTTCAACACACAGCTTCCCCTTCACCCTGGGAGTCATCTCTTTCCAGTCAAAGGGAGAAAGAACATGCAAATGCACACCTGGGAAGTCTGTGGGCCAGGCCTGGAATTGGCACATATCACCTGCACTCTTACTTGTTGACAAGGACCTGCAAAAAAGGATGAGAAACGGAGACTAGCTGAGCACCCACGGGGAGAAGAAAATGTTTGTTAAACAACGACTGCTAGTCTCTGCCACGATTACCAATTTTGATAGTCTTATAGTTCATTTGTTTTAGGTTGTATTCAGTATTAAAACTTGCCCTTATGTATTCATTAATTTATTCATTGACTAGGCATTTAGTTTTATAGGTGAGGGAAAGGAAAGAGTGAGGTGAGACATGGAGTGTGGATCTGAGTTTTCCTTATAAGTCAAGGAAAAGGCTCCAAATGGTTGGTAGTACCAATTTGTTTGTCCCGAGTTCCAGCAATGTACCAGACAAGAATTGGCTGTGGGACGAGGTTATTTTTCCCACACCTCAGAAGAAAAAGAAAGGCATTTTGTATCTTTGCTACTTTCTGCTTGAGATTTCGAAGGGACTCTTCATTTTCTTGAGCTCTCCAAACCTGAGAAAAGGCACTGAATTAATTGCTGTTGAAAAGAAGTCAAGTTTCTTTTCATTTCCTTCCTAAAAGCAGTTTCCTTTCCTTTAAGACTCACTCCAGGTCTCTGATTCTTTGATTCTGAAACACTGGAAAAGCAATCAAATAGCAGATGCCAACTCTTTGTATGTTGAGCTTTTGGAGTTTTGGAAAGTTGGGTCTGAACCTAGAAGTGAATTTACATTACGTCTTTCCTCTTCTAGAGGTTTCCTTTGGCCTATAGCTTTCACATGGGAGAGAAAAATGCTGGCCTACCCTACAGAGATTGGAGTCAGGGGAGAGAAAAAGGGAGAAAGGTAGTGAAAAGAGGAGAGGAAACAATTATCCCTTTTAAAACCATCCTTTTTGGTGGCTTGATAGAAATACTCTGTCAGAAATGCTGTTTGGTATTCGTTGCCAGAGCTAGACATCAAGGGCTTAGTCTCGTTTGAAATGTTTAGGCTTTAGAAGGAGCAAGATAAGTGGGGAAGGAAAAAAAAGAAAAGAAACTTTTAGGCTGTATTTTGCCAAAATGTATATCACAGTGCCTGCCTTCCTGCCTAGCAATACAAATGGAATTATAGATCCCCCACTCCCACCCCACCTTTTAAAAATGACTTAATTGCCTGAGCTGGCTTAGACTACGTGGTTGTCTTGTTTAAAGTAAAGTTTATCATATGAATGACTTTTATAAACTTGAGGACACTGAGGTTGATCTTTGACTATCTTTTAGAAAATCATTGCTAAGCAAATTAAAATGATTTATTAAGGCAGGTTAGCTAAGAATTTCTACCAAGTGATACAGATACTACCTTATGTCATTTTAACATTTGACTATTTAACTCATACTCTTTGTTTGTAGAAGGCTGTTGTTGCTCACCTTTCACACACAAACACACACACACACAGTCAAAGGGCTTTCTAGAAGTTGTACAGCAAGTGCTTGAGCTGAAACTAAAACTGAAGTCTACTGATGCCTGATTCTGAAAAATTTTATGTTTAAAAAAGTTTTTTGAGAAAACCACCATACAATTGTAGCTTCTCCACCATCAAGCAATTAAATAATTAACTTCACCTTGTGAAGCGTGATGTGCTAGATGCTAAGACCACCACGCTTCAGAAAATATTATGCTGAATGTTTCAAAACAAGGTTGAAAAAAGATACATACACTTAAAAGTAAACTGTAAAAGACTAAATATATAATGGAATGCTCTTAGCCCAGATACATACTGTTTCCTGGTTGCCTACAGTGTTCTTGATGAACTTTCAAGGAAAGAAAGAGTTTAAAAGAAGTCATTTTCTAAAGTCATTGAGGAAATTGAGGTGTCTACAGTCTTTATCCCTGCTGCAGTAGTAAAACAACATTTATTTAGGTAGCAGAAATACAAGGTAAGTTGGTTTAAATTTCTAATGATACTGTAGGTATTTGGGAGTACAGCAAGACTGGAGGAAAACTAATTAGAAATATGGTTTGGGTTTTGTAAGAAACAGCTATACATAGGGCAGAGACTGTGTATATCCTCCGTCAACATGGCGGATACTAGCTGTGGATGAGTCCAAGGCTTGTAGCAGCATCTTCAGGTACTAGAAATATCCTTATACAGATGTTTCTTACCGGTAAAACCACTGTTGGTTCTCTTCACAATCAATTGGACCACAGCCACTTAGTTATTGATATATGTACCCATATTTTCAGATAGAGTATAACTTCAAGTCAGTCTAAAACCCTATAAGATGAGCACATCTAACAGGTTAGGTGTGTGCTTATATATTTTTGTCCTCAGCAATGACCCATTTAGAGGGACCTCCTTTCTACTTTCCTTCTCTGCCTATCCTTAGATCCTATTTGAAAGTTTGGCTTAATGATTGATTTTGACCATGTGGGTCACAGATTGAAACTATTGTTTGCTTAATCATGGGATCTGAAGATGAAAAGAAAGAATGTGGGGCTAATTTGAAGGGGTGTTTGTGTTTATTATGCTAAATGTAAAATCAAGATGTAAGATCTTTTTTTTTTTCTTGAGACAGAGTGTCGGTCTGTCACCCAGGCTGGAGTACAGTGGCACGATGTCGGATCATTGCAACCTCCCCCTCCCAGGTTCAAGTGATTCTCCTGCCTCCTGCCTCCCGAGTAGCTGGGACTACAGCCGCCTGACACCACGCCCAGCTAATTTTTGTATATTTAGTAAAGACAGGGTTTCACCATGTTGGCCAGGCTGCTTTTGAACTCCTGACCTCAAGTGATCCCAGAGTGCTGGGATTACAGGCGTGAACTACTGTACCCAGCCTAAGATATAAGATCTAAGGGGAAGGCATACAGTGGGATCACTGGAGCCTGGGTTTAAGATGTAGGTCTTCATGTTATTAGCACATGTTGCTTTAGTTTTTATGTTTTAGAAGGAGAATATTTATATATCTAGGAGAATGGGATGTGGTTTAGGGGTGAGGGTGAGGTACAGAAGTTGGATCAAGCTAGTGAATTAAGCAAATATGAAATGACAGTGAAGTCGTATTAATGGTTTGTGGTATGGAGGTACATTTTTAGCCTGACTAAAAAATTGTGGTGCAATTACCATAATTTTTAATTCTTTAAATAGAATTATGAATGATATGTTTTTGAAATAGTAAAACTAAGGTTTATAGGATCCCTTGGAGTACTTTATTTCCTGCAAAAGTATTAATTGACAAAGATGAATATTTGGCTTGTCTCTGGTGCATTTCTTCTTCATTAGGGCAAGATAAACTTTTTCAAGAGAGTTGTGCTCAGTAACAAAGTAAATAAATAATATCTAAAATTACTTTGATATACTGTTTTTAATTATTTTTATTGAGGTCTAATTTATATACAATAATGTTCACCAGTTGTGTTTTCCAAAGTGGCTAGACCATTTTGCATTCCTACCAGCGATGTAATAGCGTCCCTGTTGCTCCAAATCCAATCAACCCTTGGTATTGTCAGTCCGTTAAAATTCTAGCCATTTTTATGGGCATATGGCAGTATCTTACTGTGGTTTTAATTTGCATTTCCCTAATGACTAATGATGTTGAGCATCTTTTTATGTGCCTGTTTGACATTTGTATATCTTTGTTGAAGGATCTGCTCTGTTCAAATCTTTTGCCTATTTTAATTTTTTTTCTTATTTTTTTTTTTTTTGAGATGGAGTCTTACTCTTTTGCCCAGGCTGGAGTGGAGTGGCATGATCTTGGCTCATTGCAACCTCCGTTTCCTGGGTTCAAGCGATTCTCCTGCCTCAGTCTCCCGAGTAGCTGGGATTACAGGCATGCACCACCATGCCCAGCTAATTTTCGTATTTTTAGTAGAGACAGGGTTTCACCACGTTGGCCAGGCTGGTCTCAAACTCCTGACCTCAAGTGATCCACCCGCCTTGGCCTCCCAAAGAGCTGGGATTACAGGTGTGAGCCACTGCGCCTGGCCTCTTTTGCCTATTTTTAAAAAGTGGGTTATTTGTCTTAGTGAGCTGCAGAAGTTTTAAACAATATTCTGGATACAAGTCTTTATCAAACAGATACTTTGCAAATATTTCATTAGTTTTTGTCTCACTTTTTAGTATTTATAATAGTATTTTCTGAAGAACAAAAGTTTTTCTGATTAAATTGAATTTATTTTTTAAGTGGCTCTTGCATTTTGTTTCCTAAGAAATTTTTTGTCTACCTTCAGGTCACAGAGATTATCTCTTATGTTTTCTTCTGGAAATTTTACAGTTTTGGTTCTTATGTTTTAGTCTATAATCTATTTTGATATGTGGGATGAGTTAAGGGTGGAGTTGTACTTTTTCCTCATCTGTCTATCTATCATCTGTCTGTCTATCCATCCATCCATGTATGCTTCTGTATTTATCTAACTTTACCTCCAACTGTTTCAGCACAATTTATTTAATAGACTGCTCTTTTTTTCATGAACTACCTTGGTATCTTTGAAAACCAATTGGCCATAAACGTGTGGGTCTATTTTTGTGTTCTCTATTCTGTTCTACTCATCTATATTTTTATCCTTACGCCAATATGTCTCTGGTTTGATTACTGTCTTGAAATCAGGTAGTGTCAATTCTCCAACTTTTTTTTTTTTTTTTTTTTTGCTAAATTATTTTGGCTATTCTAGTTCCTTTGCATTTTAATATAAATTTTAGAATCAGCTTGTCAGTTTCTAAGAAAAAAAAACCTTCCAGGAGTTTGGCAGAAGATGCACTGGCTCTGTAGATCAATTTCAGTAGAATTGACATTTATACAATATTGACTCTTCTGATCTATGAACATGGTACTCTATTGATTTAGGTGTTTTTAATATCTTGCAGGAATTTTTTGACATTTCTAGTAGTATACAGGTCTTACACATATTTTAAATTTATCTCTAAATGTCATGATTTTGGGTGCTATTTTAAGGGATATATTTTTAAAATGTTTCCAATTTTTTGTTCCTAGAGGAATATTGTTTTTGAACAACCTCCCACCACTTCATTTATGCCTTTGTAGAGAGAGATGGTTTATGTTATATCATCGTACTTACCAAAACCCAGTTTTATAATTAAACACTATTTTATGGCTTCTGTAATAGAAACAACTGCCTTGGATAAAAGTTGAAGTTGAGTGTTTTGAGCTTGGTTCTTATGTTTAAATCTGTGCCTAAATTAAATAAAAGCAAGTGGTAAGGGTAGGATGATTAAGATCTGATGAATTTCTCTTATTTTCAATTATTATGTTCACAAGCATGCTTTCTTTGCATGTATCAGACCCTTCGCACCACTTATTGATTTTAGTGGAAAGCAGCTTCTTTAGCTCCTCCCATGCTACTTGCTTTAAAGTTTCACTGACAATAAAACCGCCTCAGTGAATATTCCAGTTCAGTTTGATTCAGCTAGCACCTATTGAAGTTATGATAATTATACCCACAATTTGTACACTGTTTGAATTGAGGCCAATGGAGTTTCAGATAAGCCAATTAATTTAACTGTAGTCAGAAAAGCAATTCTTAAAATCGGAGCTTGTAATTTAAAAAAATTCTTGAGTAATTGAAAATATTAGTGCTCTTGAATTGCCTAATGGTTTCTACAAGAACTCTTAAGGCTTATTTTGTCTTTTTTTTTTTTTTTTTTCCTGATCAGATTTTGAACTCTGTTCTCTCCCAACCCCTAATGTTTTATTTGTATGATACATGACCATCTCTGGGGACTCTGAAAGATCATCTGTACTTTCTTTTTGTTTGAAAGGCATTCCTAAGTAAGAGGAGTAGGATTAAAGAAACCTACTCAATATTACGTATTAGAAAATGAGTTATAGGATGTTTTGGTCAGGAAAGACTCATTGAACTAGAATAAATTCTCGCTAGTCTAAATAAAAGAAAGCATTTGGAAAAGTCTCATCAGAGGTTATTTTCAGTCTGAGAGCTGTAATGGAACACTTGGAAAGTTGTCCTTTCCTCTTCAACTAGCAAAATGATTTCATATTCAGAGCTGAAGAATGTTTTGAGGCTCTCCAAGAAACTATGGCTGTGGAATGAATCTGTCGTGCTGATTTTCAAGTCCAGTCTAGCGCAGAAATGGCCAACTTTAAAAGTTGGGAACGGAGGAAAGAGGTACACAGTATTAATCATGCACGTTTTCACTATTCAAGACTCCTTGTTGTCTGTCCTGTATTCCTAACCTATTATTTGACATCCACTGTCGTTTGTTCTGACTTACCATTTAGATCCTTTGTGCAATTTTCATAAACTGGATTACTAGAACTCAGCTAAACCTCTTGAAGTTACTACCACATATCCCTCCTTTCTCTGCTTTTGTTCCCATGTTCCTGATCTGGAAAACTCCTCTGTCTCCTGCCTCTTATACTGTCCCAGGATATCTGTGCACTGCCTGCCTTCCAAAATTCAATTCAAAAGCCACTTTCTCCAGGGAGGTTCCTTTGATCATCTCAGTTGGGAAGAGCCTCACCTTTCTTTGAACTTTGAGAGGATCACATATGGCTCTTATCATATTCTACTTTGTATTACAACTATGTCTGTTGCATCTCAGAGATGAGATTTAATACTTTGCAATTGAATTTATTTCTTTTTGTGCTTTTTACAGTGTCTTCTGTAATGTGTTCTGGATAGGTGAAAGAGTAAAAAGCCTTTTTTAAAGTTTTCGTGTTAGTGCCTGGAAACAGGGGATCCAAACATGTTAGTAAGATTTAAAATGTTCAGAGGCAGGGGCTTGTTTAGCAAGATGTTTTCATCCAATAATGACCACTGGGATCCCTCTAAATAGTAGCCCAGCTGGCACTAGCTTCCTCTGGTAGTCATTATACAAATTAGAATCTCATCTGAACTTGCCTTCTTGGCCATCTATTATAGTCAGTAGGCAGAGACTTAATACTTTTTCATTTTCTGTCAATTGTCCTCTCCTATCTCACCATCCCCAACATGCTCATACGCATACTTTCTGTAGATGGGGAAGTCCGCCAGCTACTCTGAAATTTCAGAATTTTTATTTTGGGGGAAACAATGAGCATGCATTCTTTTGGGGACTTTGGTTCTCTCAGTTCTTTGGGAATCCAGGTCTATTTGTGTAAATCATTTTTTATTTGTATAAATGGTTAGCCCTGGGAGGGCAAGGTGTTAGGGCTTACCTCAGGCCCTCCTGTTTAGGGATGCTGATTGGTCTTGGCAACCCTCTCCCCTCTTCTAGCCCACCCTGCACCACGCAGGTGCACTGTTCTTGGCCTCTTCCGTGTTGGATAAATCATTTCTGTCCATATACAATATTATTGCAACATTTTATTTTCATCTTTTCCTCTCCCTGTTACTTGTGTCAGCATTATCTATTTTAGAGGGTAAAACCCTTGAGGATATGAATTATGTCTGTCAGCTTAACTCTGAAGAGTACTTAGCACTAAGCTAAATCTTACAAATTAGTACTTACTAATAGCAATAGTGCTGGTTGTAATATTGGCTCATTTAGAGACTGCAGTTTGCCTACTCAGCCTTTGGAAAGGATGCCCAACTACTTCCAGCTTCCAGGAAGAAAACATTCAAGTGTAGTGACATTATGTGAACAAAAACAACGCCCTTTAAATTGTTACTATCTAAAATGAATTATTTTAGGATCAAGATAATAAAACATTAATACTCACATAATGATGGTGACATCTAATTCATCCCTGAGGATGTTCAAGCAGTTTATGTAGCTCTGCTAATACACCACTGAAATAGAGCCAGTGACTGTGTGGCTATACCAAACGGGAGAGAAACTCAACAGTGTGTGCCCTGAGAGCCATTCATCCCCTGAGATTTCTATTTTCAGATGTCATGTTATAATTTCTTTCCTTAAGCCTCAGAATATGAAGGTATAAGATAAACTGGAATGGAATTCTTGTTTGATTGTGTATCCAAATGTGATTTATGGAGCGGAAATGCTTATAACATGCTTGTTCTGAGTCTAGCTCACACCAAATTAACCCCAATTAATTTCTCATGTAATTGGATAGAGAGGATGTAAAAGATCAGAAATGCTAAGCTAGATGAGTGGAATGTCCAAATTTCAAACCTTTACACAGAAAGGCTTTCAATGACAAACTCTATTAGATTTAAGTGGAGAAAGAGGAGGAGGACATGTAGGGAGAGGACGAACCAAAGAAACAGTTCAGCTTGTTAGAAAGAACTTAAGTCTGCCTGCCTGTGTCTAGTAGAAAAGGCTATGTTGTAGCATAGCTGATGAATTCTGTTTGCTGTGACTTACCTAATTAATTTACTACACCCCTGTCACAGCCCGTCACTTAGTTCTTTTCACAATGGTCTAGTTTCCCACCTTGGGTTGCAGTAGACTTGGTCATTAAGTGGAGTCCAATAAGTGTTTTGTTTTTTCCTTGTCTGCAAGGCAGGTATGTGTATAGGCAGCCTAACGTTCCAGGCAACCAGTAGGGAAAGAGGAAGCTAACATACGCCTTAGGGGATTGGGTTAATGAGGAAACGTATGGTTATGAAAGGCATTAGACGGCTTTAGATCTACGAGAGACACAGCTGCGGCTCATCAGCAAATGTTCTTTGGCTCTGACGTGAGCTTGACTAACTTATGTCTACTGAACCTGCTGGGGTACATCCTGTAGAGTGTGCTTATAGTCTCTTTGTTTACTTTTACATTTAAAAGTTACCCTTAATTTATGAAAGAAGTGACTTGTATGTGACATTTTTAAAAAGTTTAATTCTTTGAACATTGTTGAAGATCAACTGTGTGCCAAGTATTCTTTTACATACTGGGACTCAATGAAGAATAGAACATGTTTCCACCCTTTAAAAAATGTTTATACTATTAAATTCAAGATGAGCATGCTTATTATAGTGTAGTAAAATGAACAAGCATCAGAAAAAGTCAGAAAACTGTGTTTGAACAACAGAAACATTGGGAAAATACATCAGAGACCTTACACATACACACACACACACACAGTATATGATTTCAGGTAAGTCATTTAATCTTTAAGCCTCAGTTCCCTCATCTGCAAAATGGAGATAATATCTACTTGCCAGATATAGAAGCTTGAGTGAGCTAAGAGGTCTAAAGAATGTGATAAACTGTGAAGTATCACTGAAAGATAAGTTAAAAATCAGAGAAACAAAAAGTACTGCCCCACATGAAAAGTTAATTGTATTTGAAATATCTCACTAAAAGATATTTGAAGAATCATCTACATGATGGATTGCACGTAGCTGCTAAAGGCAAGGAGTTACGAATTACATTACTTCTAAATTAACCAGTTCAGGGAAGAGGAAGAGGAGGATTAAAATTCATTATCTGGAATATTTTATATGAGGTTTTTTTTTTTTGTTTGTTTGTTTTTTGAGATGGAGACTCTGTCGCCCAGACTGGACTGCAGTGGCATGATCTCAGTTCACTGCAAGCCCCACCTCCTGGGTTCAAGTAATCCTCCTGTCTCAGCCTCCCAAGTAGCTGGGATTACAGGCACGCGCCACCACGCCTGACTAATTTTTGTATTTTTAGTAGAGGTGGGGTTTCACCACGTTGGCCAGGCTGGTCTCAATCTCCTGACCACAGGTGATCCACCTGCCTCAGCCTCCCAAAGTGCTGGGATTACAGGCGTGAGCCACTGCACCCAGCTGTATTTTTATGAGTTCTTAAATAAAACTCATATAAAACTTTCATGGGAACCATGAAAGAAGGAGAGAGGGAGAGGGAGAAGAGAAAAGAAAACTCGGCCTACATCCAGGGACCCAAATAAAAGTGTTATGGAGGAAGAATACAAAGCCCCAACTGTTTTTGTAAAACTTGGGGTTGCCTGTCTAATATCTAAAGGAACCACTGTTTGAGTTATAAATTCAGCACCTGATTTGCCAAACCTTTTCTCTCTGTTTCAATGTGGCCAATTTGAACAACAGAAACATTGGGAAAATACATAAGAAAATTTCAGCACCTTGCCAAACACATTTATTTTGAAGGACTTCAGATGGATTATGGGCATCCTATTTATTTGAATTAATATATTTTTCCCTCTAAATATTAGAATTTTAGATATTGTATTAAAAGTCGAAACTGCTTTGGTTGGCAGTCTTCCATTACCCACACTTTTAAAACTGCTTCATATCCCATGTTATTTTCAGGACCTCGTTGCCTGCTTGCTTGACATCAATGATATAAGTACCTTTATTAAGTTACCAACTTGAGTTGCACTGTGTAGAAATGTTATTCTTTAGTCATGATGAGCTATCAAAATGAATTGAAAAGGCACCTCCAAAGTCTTGGTGATCTTGCTCCTTTTGATAGTTACCACCCCTCCATTGAGATTCCCAGCTTTTCTGTTCATTTTGATCCTCTTGCAAAAAGCACTCAAAATTGGCAGCTTCCATGACTCCATCTTCTAGAGGGTGGGTGGAATCAAGAGTGAACTTCAGAACCTTCTTTTTCTGTCTTCCTTCTCCCCATTTGCCACAAGCTTTTTCACGGGTTCCATGGCAGCAGTGGAGGTAGAAAGAGGAGATGGGCAGACTATGCCAAGGCAAATGGCCCCACCTGAGTTTTCTTAGAAGTGGATGCAATGTGGACCAACTGTGTTTTAAAGCATGAGGCTTCCTTATTTTCTCTTTCTTAATACATCAGTAAGCTGCTCAAACAAATGAAGAATATGTGGAATACAACGACAAATGCTAAATAAGCATATTTGAAAAAGTGTGAGTTTATTACATGTAGACCTTGTTCATAATTTCAAGTCCTAAGGAAATATAGTCCAGTCAACAGGACCAGCAAATGTATGTATTTGAGTAAGCCTTCTGAGTCGCCACAGTCCCAAATAGGAAATGAAAAAAAGCTGCCTTTACTGACTGTCAAAGATAGGGCTCACTAAATGAGTGAATGCTACTGCGTTACATGTGCTACTCCACCAAATTTTATTATTGTAAAAATAAAATTGAGCCCAGGAGTTCAATACCAGCCTGGGCAACATGGTGAGACCTTGTCTTTAGAAAATTAGCTGGGCGTGGTTGCCTGCACCTATAGATCCAACTTCTTAGGAGGTGGAATTAGGAGGATTGCTTGAACCTGGGAAGTCGAGGCTGCAGTGAGCTGTGATTGTGCCACTGCATTCCAGCCTGGGTGACAGAGTGAGACTCTCTCAAAAAAATTTTTTTTGAATAATTGGAATTATATTATTTAAAAGGATAATATTTATTTATATTCTGATATGTGTTTGGCATCAGCTGTTGTCATACATGAGGTTGGAAATAATGACTGGCTTCTAGATAGCTCATCAGTTCATTTTTCTGAGCTTCTTGTGATTATTTTAGCCCTCAGCTGGACTACTGCTAAATCCCCATGGCAATAGGATCCCCTCTGATTCCTTGGTGAGGTGATGGTGATTTAAAAAAAGTAGTTTATACACAGACACAGTGATGGCACTAGAGATGTTGAATAGTTGTGATTACTTAGAAATTGCTCTCGAGATAGAACATTTGAAGGAATAATTAGAAAAAGTGTGCTGTTCTTTTTTTAAAAGCAGCTTGATTGAGATAGAGTTCATATACTACAAAATTCACCCTGATTATTTTTAAATAAAGGGAAAATATTAATAGGTGTCCTACTACAAACCATTCCCCCTATTTTCAAGGATAAACAATAACAAATATAGATTTTAAATAATAAGATTATCTCATAGGTGGGAATTGAACAATGAGATCACATGGACACAGGAAGGGGAATATCACACTCTGGGGACTGTGGTGGGGTGGGGGGAGGGGGGAGGGATAGCATTGGGAGATATACCTAATGCTAGATGACGAGTTAGTGGGTGCAGCGCACCAGCATGGCACACGTATACATATGTAACTAACCTGCACAATGTGCACATGTACCCTAAAACTTAAAGTATAATTAAAAATTAATAATAATAATAAGATTATCTTTTCAGTATTATTACAGTGGCCTTTAGCATTTTAAAATCTACAAGCAAGCAAGGCTTCAGTGGACCATGCAGAATGTTGTGGTTCCCTGTGTTGGAGAAATACAAGTTTCTATGGGATAAACAAATGCATGCACATGCTGGCCAATTGTCAGAGTGAAATACCAAAAAATTCCGTTGTGGAGTAAGTGATAATCAGATTATAAAGAATTAAAGTAAGAAAATACCTTTTGGGTTGTACGTAGAAAAGAACATGATAAAGATTATCCTCATTTCTTTTTTTCTTTTCTTTTCTTTTTTTTGTTTTAGACAGGGTCTCGCTCTGTTACCCAGGCTGGAGTGCAGTGGCACGATCAGGGCTCACTGCAGCCTTAACCTCCCAGGCTCAGGTGGTTCTTCCACCTCAGTCTCCTGGATAGCTGGGACTACAGGCATGTGCCACCACACCCAGCTAATTTTTTGTATTTTTTGTAGAGATGGGGTTTCACCATGTTACCCAGGC
This sequence comes from Homo sapiens, assembly GCF_000001405.40. Classification (NCBI taxonomy): domain Eukaryota; kingdom Metazoa; phylum Chordata; class Mammalia; order Primates; family Hominidae; genus Homo; species Homo sapiens. Next base: position 152,541,371 of record NC_000002.12, read on the forward strand.
TTGTCCTCATTTCTTGATGAATCTTTATTTTTCCTTTAGAGCTGATTTAAACTTTTTTTTGTGAGAAATATAGCATCTATATAGAAAAGGTAGTTAAGCCCGAGAACCAGCATAGTAAGTAGTATAAAGCCAGCACCTTTGTAACTGCTACTCAGATCAAGAAATAGAACTGCTGGCCTCTTAGGAATGTGCCATATTTCCCCCTTTGATTATGACTTTCCCCACTTCAGTCCTCCAACCATGACTTTCAGGCTGATCATCTCCAAGTACGCATATATACACACAATATAAAACCATATATCTATATGTATAGTGTTACCCCTTGAGTGTGTATCTGTAACCATTAAAGTTTAATGTCACCTATTTTATAAGTGTGAAGAAATGAAATCAGGTGTTCTTCTTGGCTCAGCATCAGGTTTGTGAGATCCATTCATAGGAGCATGCAGTACATGGCTTGTTTTCATTGTAATCTAGTATACCATTGTATGAACGTAAATATAAGTACTGGTTCATTTTATGGTTTGTGGACATGTGGCTTCTACCCAGGTTTTTACTGTTGCCTGTTCTGCTTTGGACATTAGGGTCTATAAAACCTGATACACGTGGCATGAATTTTTCAAAGTATGGTTCCTCTTTTGGCAGCATTAGCATAAAACGTGTTAGAAATGTTGATTCTTGGGCCCCACCTCTGACCTACATTCAGATATCACCTTGGACTGTATATTGTGTATGTTTATGCTTATTCCAGTGACTGCCTTTGCTCAGGATACTTTTGGATCTTCCAGGTTGGAATCCATTCATGTCGGCACACACATGTGTACCCATGCAAACATAACACTCCCACATTCCAGCAATTGACTCGTTGCTCATATTTGAAAAAAATTAGCTTTATCAGTTTGAGTCAAATCTTTTGTTATTTTCAAAGATAAAATAAATATCCAAAAGAGAAAGATTTGCCAACATTGAAGATATTCAAAAGAATATGCAAAAGATTGAAGACCTGCTGAAGGAGGACCTGAAACAGGTTGGGCAAAACACCATTCCTAGAATGGAAGCTGCAGGGCCCTACAGAGAAAGCAGTACTGACTCTGGAGTTGAGCAGATGTGGGTTCAAACCCACATGTACATGTGACCAGCAGTGTCATCAAAGAGAGTTCTGCATTTCTCTGAGCTTCAGTTTTCCTCCTATGCAAAGAGGGGATCACATCTACTACCAAGATGCAAAACAGTTAGTACAAAATGACTGCTCGCAGGGCCACATTTATACTGTGGATGCATTTTGGTCATATTTTGGTAACATAATCTGATGTGGCTGACTGTGTCATGGCTTCATACCTTTCATGCTTTGGACTTTTGTGCTTTCTGCAGGAACGATTCCAGGTGAAGAATCCTCCCCATACATACATTCAAAAGCTCAAAGGCTATCTGGATCCAGCTGTAACCAGGAAGGTAAGATGGATTTGTTTCCACTCTTTGTTATTGCTTCCTTATTAGCGAGCAGAATCCTCCTGCATTGGAAGAGACCTTCCTTCCTCTGCATTAGAGCCTCTGCCAGAGCCTCCACAAAAAACAACCTTGGGAGACCAACAACGTAAGAAGACAAAGGAAAAAAAACAACCTTCTCACTTGAAGATGTGTATAAAAGTTCTTTCCTGACATGAGAGTCACGTACCTCTGATGGTTGTTGAGTCACTGCTATTTCCAATTACGTAGGGCAGTGAGTGCATTCCAGAGGTATTCAGGCCCCTAGAAGAGCAGGCTTTGCAAAGGGAATACTTGCCTTTCAGTTTTTTATGCCTTGGTGCATTTCCAGAGACCTTGAAAAATCACTGGGCCTTTGTCATCCCAGCTGTGCACTCACATCCTGTGTTGATGCTTTTAGCAGCTCCCCCCTACTCCCCCCAACCCCTGCCCCTGGCCTGAGAAGGTAAGTAGAGAATAGCTGATTCCATTCTCAACAGACTCTCCCCTTTTACAAACAAGCCCTGCTTTGTGCAGCCACACAATTGGTTTAAACTGATGCCTCGTGGTAAAGCATGTAGCCTGGCACGGCCCTGTGGGCCTGAATCAGTCCTGGGATGTCTCAGGGCAGAGCTGTCCTTGCTCAAGATGGGTGAAGGGGTGCTTTACCAGATAGCATTTGTTTTTCCATTGACCTACAACTCCTGCTTTTAAGGCTCCTGCGAAAATCTCTCAGGCTGATTCTCTCTGTTGTTTCAGTGTGTGATTCTTGAGAAAAGAATGGTATACTTTACCTAGTTAGCCATTTTCAGGGCTCTTGATGCTTGCATTAAAAAAAAAATCTTTTTCTTTATCTTCTACTCTAACTCTTCCTCCCCTCACCGCCCACCCCCCGACCAAAAAAAAAAAAAAAAAAAAGTCCAGCAAAGGAGAACAGCTATTATTTCCTTTTGGAAGTTTCCTAGGCCTTTCTCTTACGGTTAATATGTAGACAAGGGGAAATAAAATCTAGTAGTGATGATGACAGTGTAGTGCAGAACTTCATCACTGGCTGTATGTCATATGTGACTTGAATGTGACACAACCTTCAATCCAGGAACGTACCTGTCAAAGTATCATGATACTTCTCCCCTCGTAAATGTGGCACACACATTTCTTTCTAAAAGACCTGTTGTCAGGTCTTACACCTGCAAATGAGACTATTGTTCAGTTCTTGTTAACTTCTCTCATTTCTCCCTTTCCCTAAGAATGTGGCAGTCTTAATTTCATCATTTAAAGAGGTCTGTAAAGGAGGATACACCCAGGCCTGGCACAGTGGCTCACGTCTGTAATCCCAGCACTTTGGGAAGCTAAGGTGGGTGGATCACCTGAGGTCAGGAGTTCAAGACCAACATGGTGAAACCCTGTCTCTACTAAAACTACAAAAATGAGCCAGGCATGGTGGCAGGCACCTGTAATCCCAGCTACTCGGGAGGCTGAGGTAGGAGAATCGCTTGAACCCAGGAGGCGGAGGTTGCAGTGAGCTGAGATTGTGCCATTGCACTCCAGCCTGGGCAAAAAGAGCAAAAAACTGTGTCTCAAAAAGAAAAATAAATAAATAAATACAGACACACCCATATACACAAAATACATCCCCAGACAGGTGTTTTTCTGCACTATTTCTTTGCAAAGGGACAGCAAGATTCTGTTTTAGAATCGATTTCTAAAGGTTTTCTGAAATCTCCAAACTTGTAACCTTCAGGCTAGATGGCTCAGACCTCAGCATTGAGTCCTAATGCTCACCCTGAGTTGAGTGTGGCAGAGATGCTGATGTTTATACAGAAGACTGAGACCTTTCCTCATGCAGAATTCATCCTACCTCCAAAAAATTCCTTCCACATTTTTCCAGTTCTGAATAGAAAGGAAAAAATATGCACACTCCTAGGGAGTGCTGCTTAGGCCCCCACTTCCATACCCCACATGGAGGAAGATGCTTAGAAGGAAGAGGTGGGCTTCCTCCTGGCACAGTTCCAATTTTCCTTTAGATCAGCTGTTTCTGGGTTTAGGCAAAGAGAACAAAGTGAAACAAAACAACAGATAAGCTTCCCAGAAAATGTTTTGCTTCCTCACAAATAATAAACTGGAGCAGGACATAAGATGTCTGTTTGGGCCTTCATTCCCGACATTTCTGCCCTGGCCCATGTGCGTTCACCTGAATGGCCATGTTTGGTCTGTGCTTCATCTTTCAAGATCAGTCATTCAGCTCAGAAAAAATAAAATGGATGGTGGATTAACCACCCCTGCTTTAGTAAGATTCTGTCAGGAGCTGGCAGGAGGAAATGATCTGTTCCACACAACATAATTGTAATGCTTAAAGCCTGGAAAAAAAGGAGATTTGTTGAAATAAGACATGGCTTGCAGTTAAAATGAGCTTAAAATTCTCAGCTGTATTATGGTGGGGGAGAAAAAGATTTCAATTCGGGGCTTTAAATTTCAGCCAGACAGTCTAGGTTGGGCAGTTTTCCTTTAACTGTGTCTGGAGTCCTCGAATACTTGATTCGTTAATCTTTTGTGCAAATTGAATAGAAGATACTTAATTTGCTTTTTTTAAAAAAAAATTTTAAGCATTTTCTATTTAGATTTTCTTCTAAATAGTTTTAAATGAAACCTCTCGGGCAGAAAAGGAAGAGCCTAAATTAGATATCTCTATGAACAGAACTCTCCAAACCAGCCTCCTTATTTAATACCAGGAAGTGATTAGTCTGTGTTTAAAGGATTCTGGTCCTTTGCTGGCGCTGCAGTTGTGAGATGAAACCTATTGTAGGGCTCATCCTGGGCTCAGCTGCCTCTGGGGGCTCATCCCAGGCCTCCCTTGATGGGGAGGGAAGGGAGAATAGTACAGACTGCTCATGGATCCTCTGTGGCTCCCCATGGGCACATAATTTCTTTTCATAGTGTTTTGCATTCTGGATAGATTTTAGAAGTGCAAAGTGTTAGCACTCATTGTGTATATATTAGAGAAGTGGACTCCAAGACTTCTCTGTGGCCCAGAATCTAGCCGAAAATTGAGCCGTTCCTTAGATAATGTAATACAGGAGTAAAGTCAGTTTAGTTTGCCTCCGTTATCAGGCAGTTGCAGAAGGGTAGTGCCTAGGTAGCATAGTCAGTGCCCAAAAACAGCGCTGCTGCTGTTATTATTACCTCATCGTGTTTTGATTTAGTTACCTGGTTTCGATACATAGCTCTTAGTCCTTCAGTGGACCCTCTTTTATACTCTGCTATGTCCTCAGTGCTACGCTGGGTGCCCTTGTGCCTGATGGCATACGTAAGGGATGACCTTGCCCCGAGGAAGCAGAAGGCGGCATTAGGGGCTGGGTGTTAGTTCCTTTGTGTTGCTATAAAGAAATACTTAAGGCTAGGTAATTTATGAGGAAAACAGGTTTATTTTGGCCTACAGTTCTTTAGGCTGTACAGGAAGTGTGGTGCTGGCATTTGCTTCTAGTGAGGGCCTCGGGGTTTACAATCATGGCGGAAGGCTAAGGGGGAGCGGGTGTGTCACATGGTGAGCAAGAGGGAGGAGGTACCAGCCTCTCTTAAACAGCCAGATCTCACAGGAACTCTTAGGAGTAAGAAGCCACTTATTATCACGAGGACAGCACCAAGCAGTTCAGGCGCTATCTGCCCCCATGACCCAAATACCTCCCACTAGGCCCACCTCCAACATTGGAGGTCCTATTTCAACGTGGGATTTGGAAGGGACAAATATCCAAAGTATATCAGGGGCCCAGCAGAAGCAAAGGCTGCAGGGAATGAGTCAGAAGTGCACATAACACAGAGCTTGGAAGGCTGAGTTATTTTCTGACAACCACCTGTGCAGGCAGCCCGAGACTTAGGACTCTGACACGGGAGTGGCCACACTGAGCAGCCAGCATATCTGGAAATGGTTGCCTTAGCTGTGTGACCAGAGACCCTAGAATTTTTTGTCTCCTTTCTCTTCCCTTCTCTATATACACAGCAGACTGCCTGCTCCATTCTACTGACTCTCCTCTACTCTATTCCTAATTTTTAGCTCCAAGGAAGAGTTTAAAGAGAGAGAATACCTTTAGCTGCCCATCCTGCATTACTTGCCCCCATTCTTTTTTTTTTTTTTTTTGAGATGGAGTCTCGCTCTGTCACCCCGGATGGAGTGCAGTGGCCCGATTTCGGCTTGCTGCAACCGCTGCCTCCCAGGTGCAAACAGTTCTCGTGCCTCAGCTTCCTGAGTAGCTGGGATTACAGGCTTGTGCTACCATGCCTAATTTTTGTACTTTTTAGTAGTGACAGAGTTTCTCCATGTTGGCCAAGCTGGTCCTGAACTCCTGACCTCAGGTGATCCACCCACCTTGGCCTCTCAAAGTGCTGGGATTACAGGCGTGAGCCACTGAGCTTGGCCATTACTCCCTTTTCAAGCCAAGTACTGTGCCGAGCCTCCTCATTGCTGGGAAGTGGTCTAGGGAGCTCTGGGGTTGGGTGTCCTCCAAACTCTCAAGTATGCCACCATTTGTTAGGCCTGTTTCGACAGAAGAGGGGAGTGCCTCTCTTTTTTCCATCACATTGGGGACATTTTTATTTCCTACTTCTTACTATACCTGGATTCTGGAAACCTGACATGGTCTTTTTAGATTGTCTTGGGAATGGCATTTATGGAGGAACTGTGAGACCATCTGCTTCCTTGGGGGCTCTGCTTAGAAGCAGCTGGTGGGGAAGCCAGGGGCTTTCAGAAGAAGATGACAGGGTAACAGGAGCCTGCTGTGCTGAGCCGTGCTTCAGGCCTTCATGGGCCACCAAGTCCCAGGTGTGGGCGTAGCTCTTGCCACCCCACATTCTGGAATCCTTACTTCCATCCTCCTTCCTTTTCTTCTTGTCCTTGGAGCTGAAGGACTCTGTGTCTGCTGCAATTGTGGCAGCAGAGGAGAGAGGTCCTTTATATCCTGAGCCAGAATTCTCAAAGCTCTTTCCTGTAAACAGTGTGACATAAAGGTGGTTCAGGTTCGTAGCACAGATAGTCTGGAACTCCGCTTAGGAGGCGCTGACATCAAGTTTTCTTCCTTCAAAGTGGCCTGAGACTGTCACTTTATATTTCTGTAGGAAAATGTGTTCCAAAGGACTGATGTGCAATGTAGCCCATTGATATCTTGGAAATGATTTAGGGTCAAGAGGCTAGAGAGGTGTATATTAACACATTTACTATCAGAGGTGGATTCAGTGAAGAAAGAAGCCCCGAGGGATTCCTGGAAGGGTAGGTGGGATTTTAACAGGCAAGGGAATGAGGAAGGGCAGTTCATGTCAGGAGGGTGGTGTGCTCTGGAGGAAGGACCCTCTAAGTGAGGAATAAGGGGCAGAGGTAGCTCTGCATGCTTATTTTTGCAACGTGTTAGGTCACGCAGAAAAAAAATTAACATAGCAGGCCTGAGACTGCTATGCTTAGCAAAGGGCCTGCCTGCAAGGTTGGCCCTTGGCTGGCATCTAGGAACTTGTGTTTGACGGGGGAAAGTTCCTACCATTTCCTGATAAGACTGTTTCGCTGTGCCTAAACAGTTTATGAAAACAATACGGCTTATGCTGAATGCCTCTTTTCCCTCTGGGAGTCTGAATTTGTGTAATGTACTAGGCAGAGAGTTGCCTATTAAACCAGCTCCCAATAAGAACCTGGCCACTGAGTCTCTAATGAGCTTTATGCATGTTGTCATTTGTGTCTCCTCGGGGAGAGGACTCCTGGAAGATTGCACCTGGTTTCCTGCACGTTTTATCCTATGCACCTTTTCTCTTTGCTGATCTTGCTTTGTATTCTTTTACTGTAATACATCATAGCCACGGGTATGACTGTATGCTGAGTCCTTTGAGTGCTCCTAATGAATCATTGAAACTGGAGGTAGTACTGGGGTCCCTGACCCATAGGAATATTGGTGAATACTGTTGTGTGTGTGGGGTAGGGAAATAAAATCTACTTACTGAAAGGCACATTACATAAAACAAGGACTTTTTGTAGTCCTTTCTCAGTAGTTAATTTTCATGGTGAGGAAAATTTGTGTGCTCTGCAACAAAAAAAGTGAGGGAAGCCCATTTTAGAAGTGAAGATATTTTTCATATTGTGTTAAATTTATTATAACTAAGCTTCAGTTATAGCAGTTGCTAAAATATTTTGTGAGAATATGTGTTCTTGAATTATAGAAATTCAGACGGCGTGTTCAAGAATCTACACAAGTGCTAAGAGAACTGGAAATTTCTTTGAGAACTAACCACATTGGGTAAGTATACCCCTTTAACATCTTAGCTCTAAAGCTTTTGGACACTTTACAAAGTAACTGAATCATACCCAAAGAATTGAGCTTCCTTATGGGCCATTATAAATTAAAAGACTGAGGTTTTAGTAGATGAAACCTTGTTAGTACTCAAATTACTTACTGCCCAAGAATCAGCAGAAGCAAGACAGATAGTCCTTGATGTGGAATTTATAACAATTCTATATTTCTTTGAGCGGGTGCAGTAAATATGGACACTTGGTTTCATGTGTGCATAACAATTCTCTGGCAAATCAGAAACCCCCAATAGTGCATGTAGACTGAGATCTTGGAAAATCTCTAAGCTTTTACTGTAGTTCTCCAAGTTGGTTGGTTGAAGCTGCTTTATTTCCCTTTCGTTAATTCTCTAGAGTTTCTGGCCAGAAGGGGACGGAAGCTGGAATAATGTCACTTGACTCACCTCATTGCACTCAGACACATTCTCAGTCTCTTTTTCATACATCTCAAAACCTCAGGACCATGAAGTGTAAATCCACTGTGGGAAAATAAAGTTCAGGGAATCTATGCACTAAGCATTCTGAGTTTCTTTCAGACAATGACATGGTGCTTTGCCTCAGGCAAGAACAGCAATATTATATTCTCCCTTACCCCTGGGTGGCCTAATTGTACTATGTCTTAAAACAAGATGGCTTCTCTCTAAGGTAGAATGATATCAGGTATCCTATTTTGTAGCCCTCCTTCTGCCCAAAGCACCTGCGTAACATTGGGCAAGCTATTTAACCCCTTTGGTTTTGATTCTTTGAGCTTTACAATGAGAGGACTATCGACTTTTAGATCTTTTAGAATTTTCCCATGACATTCTTTGCAAGTCTATTGGAAATTAATTTTGATGTATATATATTGCACTTTAGTTTTACAGAGTATGCTGTAACATACAGTAAGTTCTGTCTCGTTGATAGTTCTTCTTGAAAACCATGAGTTTAAGTGAAATAATGTTGTTATAAAACCTTTTCCCCCCCTCATCAATGTCATAATGAAATAATGTTATTTGAGGTTAAGTAAGGACTTGATGTGGATTTATTATGTAGATAAAAGTTTACTTCAGACTGCTGTAAGCCATTCAAATGGTTAATTAGCATAGTTATTTCAAAATAAACTTTTAGAAACTGTAGAAATGCTATTGTGATTGATAGGTGATGGAACTTGGGTAAGAATGTGCATTTCTTAAATGATAACCAGCAGGTTTTTCACCTTGAGAATGAAATATTCAGAAAATGAATTAATTCTAGACTTTGTCCCTGGAAATGGGCTATAGAACAAAGAATCATAGAGTCATGATTTTAGAACTGGAAGAGAAATTAAGAATTGCCTGATGCCTACTTTTACAGATTAAAAGAATTAAAGACCAGAGAAGGTGAGTGAATTGCACAAAGTCTACAGCTGTAGAGCCAGGTGCTTTGGCTCAAGTTGCTCTGTTGTTTTTCCTGTATGACTTATGCTGGCAGCCGTTTCCCTGAAAGTAAATAAGATTATCAGGGATCTGGGATCAAAGCAATGAGGCTTGTCTGCTGGGGATGAACATGGTAGTAGTTTAATACTTTTGGGCATTTAGACTCAGCACATTTAAATACTTTCTAATATTTATGAATCAGGAGCTAGATTCGATTTTGTTTGGTCCAAACCTTTGCCTTTGGCCCTTTTAACTGAAAATGGTGGAATGAACTGCAGCCAAGATTTCTACAAATTGTCAAAAAGCATTTCTTAGGCTGTGCGTGGTGGTTCACGTCTGTAATCCTAGCACTTTGAGAGGCTGAGGTGGGTGGATCACCTGAGGTCAGGAGTTCGACACCAGCCTGGCCAACATGGTGAAACCCCATCTCTACTAAAAATACAAAAAATTAGCCAGGCATGGTGGTGCGTGCTTGTAGTCCCAGCTGCTTGGGAGGCTGAGGCAGGAGAATCACTTGAACCTGGGAGGTGGAAGTTGCAAGTGAGCCGAGATCATTCCACTGCACTCCAGCCTGGGTGACAGAACAAGACTCCATCTCACCGAAAAAAAAAAAAAAAAGCATTTCTTTAAGCATTGCCGAAGTAATGTGAAATTGACCATCAAATACAAAAGGAAGATGATCATTTCCAACACAAACTTGGCTGAATAGAAGAACCTTGGTTGGGTTGAAGCCAGTGCAGTCTGCAAGCAATTGGAGTGGTTTGTTGTTGAGGATACTATAGGCATATTGAAAGATTCTTAGATTTCTTTCATCCTTACCAGGTGAAGTTTTCCCTTGCCCACCATCTATGTGAGGAACTCTGAAAGCTTTGGCTTTAGCAGCAGAAAAATTCATGGAGATGCATTGTCTGATTATATGCAACCAATCACTAGCATAAACTTACGTGAAGTAAAACCACACAACCAGATTGTGACCATCTTGCCTGTTCTGAAAACCCAAACCTGAACTCACTCTTTGTTATGTAAACTAACTGGCTTGCTCTCACTTGATAGGGATATCTTCTGAAAAATTACTCAATAATGATGAAAATAATCAGTTACTAAAATGAAGAATTCTTGGAATGCAAGGTGCTATTTAAGGAAGCCATATATTTTATTGTACTGTTTAAAATACTGTAATAGATAGATAATTCAGTGAGTGTGGTGACCCACGCCTGTATTCCCAGTACTTTGGGAGGCCGAGGCAGGACGATTACTTGAGCCCAAGAGTTTGAGACCAGCTTGGGTAACATAGTGAGACCTTGTGTCTACAAAAAAATAAAATATTAGCCAGTCACAATGTCACGTACCTGTAATGCCTGGGACACTGAGGCAGAAGGATCAATTGAGCCCATGAGTTCGAGGCTGCAGTGAGCAGCCATTGCACTCTCTGAGTAACAGAGTGAGACCCTGTCTCTAAAAATAAAAAATCGGTGCCCATTTGCTCAAATTTTTGCTATGCCCCTTTCTAGTTATTTGACCTTAGATAAGTTATGTAAGTTTTCTGCACTTACTATGTGACCCAAGTTAAATTCTCATTGATAAAATTAGTATAATACTTACATCACAGGAATATTATAAGGATTAGATGACATAACTTGTAAATTCCTAATAAAGGGTCTGAAACATAATAGTTACTCAATATATGATAGTTGTTTGTTATGCTTGTTGCAAATAATTACCTGCAGTATTCAACAGTATTATATATCTCTAAGGATATACATCTCTTATATATATCTCTAAGGAATTCCCTAAGGCAGAGAGTATTATCATCTTTATCTAAAATGATCCTGACACCCAGGAGATTATGATACCCAGAAATTAAAAAGGAGGGATTACATTTACAATCTACTTGTCCTAAAAAAATTGTTCTGGGCACATGCTTGCTTTTCAACGTTAAAGACTTGAGCTTTCCCAAGATAACATTCTGAGCTGCAGCTTTGTCAAGCAAAGGACTTCTTCTGAGTTTTGATATAAGCCTAAAACTCTATAAATGGAACAATCTTCTGAGAAAGAAAATTAATTTTCTTTGAGTCAAATTGAAATAAGAATTGGACTAGAAATAATCCCATTCACTTACTCTTAGGAACTATAATAATAGAGAAGAATTGGATTATGACTTATCTAAGCTTTTGAAATTACTTGAAATACCCTTGAAATGATCCACATAGTGTTAGAATACACTAGCCATGCAGTGTGAGTAGGCAGATGCCATGGTGCTTAAGATGTCAGAGTGATAGGATTTAAATGGTGGTGAGGGTGAACTGGACAGATTTACCAGCTTTATTCTATGGAACTGATGTGTACACTGTCTCTCCTTGCAGGGAATTTATTGTAGTAAAGCTACCTATAATGATAGAAAATTACTTTTCATCCTCAGTGCAAGGTCACAGAAGTTCTGAAAGATGCTCATTTCACTTTCTCATTGTGGTGTAGAGAGAACAGGCATGAGATGGCAGAAGGAATGTGGCAAGTTGGCAAGGAGGGGAAGGAGGTTTGTAGAAAAGGGAAGATGCTGAGGAACTGCTTAGTTGATGTCTTCTCTCCTGCCCACCAGACTTCTTTATGAATCAGTGCTGGCTGAGCCAGGCCAAAAGAAGAAAGACAGGAGAGTGACAAAGGCTGCTTTTAACATGCATACAACACGTATGGGAGTGTATGTGTGTATCAAGCTGCCTTATGATTAACTTATTCCTAGATGGTACTTTTTTAGAAACCATCAAGGTTATAATCATTTTGTCATTTATTAAGCACGGTGTTAGGTACTTTACGTTTGTTATTCTGTGTATTTCCTACAAAAATCTTATTGACCATTAGCCCTGAATCCCTGTTTTATGGATGAGAATACTGAGGGTCATTTATTAAGTACCTTGCTCAATTCCACACAAGTTAGAAGCACCGAGATTTGAGCCTAGATACGGTCACTTCTAAAATTTATTACTAAACCAGCAATTCTCACATTTTTTTTTTTTTTTTGGTTTTAGAGTGCCTTTATACTTTTAACTTATTTTTGAACCCCAATAAGCTTTTGTTTAGATGTGTCAAATCTATTAATGTTTATAATATTAGAAATTAAAACTGATAAATTTTAAATGTCTTTAATAAAATGTAATATTTAATAACATTTAATTTAAATACATATAAAATAAATGTTATGTATTAACATAAATATTAATACATTATAAATTAAATGACATGTTTTATGAAAAATATTCTTCAAATCCAAAAAAAAATTGGTGACAAAGGCTGCATTGGTTTAATTTTTGCAAATCTCCTTAGCATCTGGTTAATAGTTGGCAGCTAGATTCTCCTGAGTCAACATTCAATTTGTCGTGATCTGTTTTGATTGATGTATATGTAGAAAATTGGGTCTTATACACACTTAGAGATGAGTTTTTTAAATGGTCTTTTCAGATAATTGGGATATTCTTTTTTTAGTAGTACCCCCAAAATTGAACGGCTAGTAACTAATTCTTACAGATAGCTATAATGTAGAGTCTGAAATCATATCAGTGAACTTTTTGTGCTCTGTTATATTAAAATCCATTGGCCAGGTGCTGTGGCCTGCAGTCCCAGCAACTTTGGAAGGCCAAGGTGGGCAGGATGGCTTGAGCCTGGGAGTTTGAGACCAGCCTGGGTAACATGGTGAACCCCTGTCTCTATAAAAAATACAAAAATTAACCAGGTGTGGTGGCATGATCCTGGAGTCCCAGCTACTCAGGAGGCTGAGGTAGGAGGATCACTTGAGCCCAGGAGGTTGAGGCTACAGTAAGCCATGATTGTGCCACTGCACTTCAGCCTCAGCAACAAAGTAAGACCCTGTCTCAAAAAATCCTTTGTGCTGTCTTACACTTTGATTGGGTCTTTTTATCCATACATGAACTTGTGACATGATTTGTTAACATCATGTTGGTCATTTGGAAGATCAGAATAACTCAGTAAAATCATGTTTCTCCACTGTTGAAGCATATCCCTTTACAATGTTTTTAAAAATCACATTTGTTAATAACCACCAGTCTGATTAGAATATATGTTAAGTATTGAGAAGCTGTCAAACTGACGGTGGTGAATACAGGTTTTCCAGAATTCTAGTTTTTGTTTGAAAGCTCAAAGTTGGTCATCAGCAACAAATACTGTGTTGTCCTTGAAAGGATGGGCTCACTTCATATTTGAGTAAATGTCTGCCACATACCCCAAACTGAATCACCATAGTTTGTCAGTTATTTTTACAAGTAAATTGACATTCCATGAAAAAATGGCTAGTTCAGCTCGCAACTCAAACAATTTCACAGGTGCTTTTCCTTGAGACAACTGTGCTACTTGAGCAGGTAGCAGAAGTACTTTATGTGAGCTTCCTGTTTTGTCACACTGAAAATGAAAAAGATGTGTACTAAATGAGTAAGCTTTAATAAAATCAATATTTTTTATTGCTTATCTAAGGGCGTTCTTAAGTGAAGCTGGCCTTTTCCCCCTCCTGAGTGCACGGAGTGACAAATACAATAAATAAGTGTCTTCTTTGGTTGCAGCAGTTTTATACAGTATTTCTTTGGCATTGTAAGTGTCAGTGTCAACAGATTGAAAACAACTAATGTCCTAATATTTTTGTGAAAACAGTTTTACCTTCACAGGCGCCCTGAGAGGGTTTCAGGGACCCCTAGTGGTATATGGGCTATACTTTGAGAATCAGTTTGCAACACTGCCTAACAGAGTAGATCTGATGACCAGTGTTGAATCCACACAGTGCTTCTTTCTCTTGCTTTTCATGATTTTTCATCAACTTCAGTTCCCAACATATGTCTGTAGGACCTCTCTCTAGAGGAGGCTGGCAAAAGGAATTAACTGCTTTTTCCTTTCTGTTGTGCAACTTTGGGCTACTTGGCTTGATCTTAGAAATTGAAAGCCAGGAACATCTCTTAAGACCTATATGAGGAGAAATAAGGTTCTAAGATTTGGGGAGACAGAACAAAGATTTGATATTAAGCTGTGACCAGCCTACAATAAAACAGTGACTGTTGGCATTGGCACTTACATCTCTTCCTTGCACCCAATTTCTTCCAGAGCTATTTGTCATTGTCCCTGTCTTTTCCAGCTCCTAAGCATCTGATTTAGAATTTGCCTAAATTCAGATGTACAGCATATGGTAATTACATTGAATCCGTGAGGCACTCAGGAAGTTATGCGTTCTGTCAGAGTCAGAAATAATTCAACTTTCCAAAACCTATAATCACCCAATTTGAAACTGTTTGCCTATTGGCAACATATTAAAAAGTGTGTGTAGCATGCACAGAGGTGAAATGGAACTAATTTGCTATGGGAACCCTGAATATATGATATAGTCCTTGCATGATCATTTACATAAATCTGCAAAATGAGGCATCCATATTCTTTGAATGCCTTTAGATTCCAGTTACTGCTTTGAAAGTTGCCCGTTTTTATCTTTACCTGTTTTCTTTCCTTACTCTTATATTTCTGTAGAAGTTCACTTTCAACTCCAATTGAAAATGGCCAGTTCTCTCCAATACAGAAAGTTCCAAGTCAAGAAGGGGTAGGGACTGAGATAATAGTTAGAAAAATGGGGGCTCTTTTTTCATGTCATCCATACCCTTATTGCTGAAATGACTTTGCTAAGCTAACCTGATACCATTTGATAAAGTGGGGAAGGTAGCCAGCCCTGAAAGACTGATCTCATTCTTTCCTAAAGCAGCTGGGGGTGTCAGGACTAGATCAAATCCCAGGGAGGATCTTGTAGCTTTGAAAAAGATGTTAACTGCATGAAATTAAATCAGGGGTAAAACATGTCACACTTTAGCTGACCTTTTAGGAGGTAGGCAGCAGGCTGTTACCTTTTACTCAGAAAATTGTCTTTGAGGCCCTTTCACTCAAAGTCAGGAAGTGGTGATGGGGGCATGGATAAGGACTCTGAAGTGAAGTAAGAGGAGCCAATGAGTATTCTTTATCCCTGCATTAAAACGTATGCATATTAGCATGTTAAGCGAATTGTAACTCTGGCTGTACTTGGCTATTTCCTACCTTAAAAAAATTTAGTTTTTCTTCTGTAGGTCACTTGCCTCTTGTCCAATTGGTGGCTGAACTTTCCAAGTGAGATGGAGGTGCCTGCCAGTAGTTGACACAAGGGCAGGCACTGAGTGCATTCTGAATGGTCTGCACTCTACAGAGGCTGCATCTGGAAAATCAACCAGAAGAAACGACAATGGCTGTTTCTCTTAGCTCCTAAATTAGTGTGTTCTTATGGGCCACTGAGAATATGTACAACTGAGACTGCCCTGAAAAATCTGCCCCCCTCCCCCCGCCGTGATTATTTTTCATATTAAAAAGACACCCACCACCGAGGGCCAGTTTAAATTGTACAATCACAGCCCATAGGCCACCAATGGAAAAGCCTAAGCAAGGCTAAGGGGCTTGAATTTAAAGATTTTCTAATCATCAGATTTTGATATTGAGTTCCAGACTTTAAGTCTCCAGCCAGTTACAAAAAAGAAAAAATTCTTTTTACTATTTCTAAGCTTCTAATTACTAGTATTTAAACGTGATCAGTGTCTCCTGAGACCTAGCACCACAGAAAGTACTTAAAATAAATAAAAAATAAGTATCTAGTAGGTGCTGTGAGATTGTGTATGTGGCTGTTTTGAAATGAAACTTCAGCCTCCACCAGTAGCCAGCCCTGTTAGTTTTGTCTAGGTCTCATAACAAAGCCACTTTGTGAGGCCTACCAGGTGGTATTTTCTTTGCCACCGTTGCCACTCCAGGTCTCTCTTAAATTAAATGTTATATGTTTACAGGCAGCTATGCCAAGTGCATAGGTTTTGCAGTTGCCTCTCTGAGGCGCTTGAGGGGAAAACACAAGGCAATCTTTCCACTTTCCCACTTTGCCGCCTCCTGGAACTACCTGCAGACCTGGGCTGGGTTTGCATCATGGAGATGACAGGACTAGAAGAAAGAATGACCTTGAGGATGAAACAAAGAACCCCTTCCCCCTGCCAAAAATTAAAACAAACAAACAAAAAACCAAATATCCTGATTCCATGGGATTGTTTTCTGCCTTTTAAGACAAAGACCTCAAGGGGTTGCTCATGCTTAAGGGATACTTGGTAGAATTGTCCTACTGTTATTTTAATAACTAACAAAACTGGCTTCCATAGTCACTATCATGTCCATAGCTGGTCAGACTTTTTAGCTTGGTGTTTCTGGAGGAAAGCAACCATTGTGGAATGCAGGTGGCAGATGTACCTCAAGTGGCATTTCAGCGATAGTAGTAGATCTTTTAACTTATTATTTGTTGGAGTTTGAAACTTAGTGAAGGTTTAATCAGGTACCATATGTTGTTTGAAGATGAATGCACTGGAGGAAATCTGTAAAAGGGGGTGGTGACATTTTACATCCATCTCCCTAAAGATTCTGTTTGACCTCCCATCAGGATTATTATGAAGAACAAATAAGAATGTATAAGCATTCTCCATGCACTGTGGAGCACCATTCAAATGCAAGGAGGTATTATTTAAAAATGAATTTTTTAAAAAACCTGATATTTGTCATGTGCCGGCCTTGATGATAGTATGCGGTGCCTGCAGCTTTTTAAAAAGGTTTTAACATTCATGGAAAAAGTTAAGCAAATCATTATCCCTATTGAATTTCTAGAAGCCCATAAACAGTGGTCTCTCATTGGCTAGTTTAGTGGTTTCTGTAGCTTAGTGTGCCAAGGACTTGAACTTGGATTTGGAATCCCGCCTGGATTTTTGTGGTTATGTTGTCATGTCCCCCATCTGCCTCATTGTCCATAGTCTTGCTTCCTTCCACAAGCAGGCTGTAGATCAATTGTGGTGGAAAAAGTACATTAAGCAAGTGCCTTCTTTAAAGAAAGTTTCTTACAGATTATCTTAAATCCTCTAAGCAGTAAAATGCAAAGATGGCCCACGTGTACTTTTTGGCCCTTATTTTTGCACATTAAAAAGTTGTGGTTTTCTTAGTTACCATATCTGAAAAGCTCCTGCCTCATGTGAAGTAGTCTAGGCCTTCCTCCCTATGTCCTTTCAGGCAATGAAAGTTTCTGGTGGAAAAAACAAAACTTTGCATTGTGTCCGTTCCATGGCAGGTCATGTGATCAATTTCTCCAATGATTTTTTTTTTTTTTTCCCCAACAGATGGGTCAGAGAATTTCTGAATGAAGAAAACAAAGGTCTTGATGTTCTAGTGGAATATCTCTCATTTGCACAGTACGCGGTAACGTAAGTAAAACTTGGCTTGCTTGCATTTGAATTTTATGTGGTCACAGCAGATGCTACTCAGTGGTAAAATTATACACCACAGAGAGGGCAGAAACTCAGAAGCAGATGTGCTAGGGCTTAGGGAGGTTTGTTTCTGTTTGGGTAACTAAAAACAAATCACATAATGGTATTAGAAATGCCTTTAAGGCAGAAGTAAAACAGGTGAATAAAAATCACTCTTAAAGGAGCCCTTATTTTCAAAAGTAACGCTTTCTTTAGGGCTTAAGTTACATATATGGAAGAATAGTCTAACAGTTGGTGAAAGAGGTATGTGATAAATCACTAGGCGATGCAAAAGAGTGACTCCCTTTTTCTTTTAAAAATGATGTCTGCATGTATATTTGCATATGCTAGTAAGTGCATAGAAAATGATTGCAGAAACAGATACCAAACGTAGTGGCACTGGAGGGAGAGGTAACAGGAGGCTGTTCCTTTTTCCTTGATATGCATTTGTATTGTTTTGATTTTCTGCCCATAAGCTGAAGGGGAGTAAAAACTGGAGTGCAGTGGCATGATCTCGGCTCACTGCAACCTCTGATCAAGTGATTCTCCTGCCTCAGCCTCCTGAGAAGCTGGGATTACAGGCACCCACCACCATGCCCGGCTAATTTTTGTATTTTCAGTAGAGACGGGGTTTCACCATGTTGGGCAAGCTGCTCTCGAACTCCTGACTTCAGATGATCCACCCGCCTCGGCCTCCCCAAAGTGTTGGGATTTCAGGTGTGAGCCACCGCACCCAACCTAGAAGCACTCATTTCTATGTGTGTTTCCTTTTTCTGCTGTGTGAGAGTGAGGATGAGCTGAGAGGAACACACGCTGAATGGCGTGGGAGCTGTAGAGTAGCCTAGCGAGGGCATCAATGCCACGAGTGATTTCAGGATGCCCTCCTCGTCTTACCTTCTCTCATCTCAGTGATTGCTTTCTCTTTTTAGCAGTTAAAATTTTATTAGATTACCCCATTCTAACTCTTTTATGTTCAGTATTACCTCCTGCAGCCAAAGGCATGACAGAATTGTGACCAGTTGCCTCCATGGACTTTGTGCATCTATCTCTGCTATCTGATTAGTCTTTTATAGGTGAAAGTCATCACCAATTTTCAGATGAAGGTTCTAACCAAATATTTTATTTTGGCAGTTATACTTTTATAAAAAGTTACACTTTGATTTCCAATATGTATTATTGTTTTTTCTTCTGCAGTATCCTCTAAGATTTTCCTGAGGATATTAAGTGTAGCTACCTTCTGATTGTTCTACTGTCTGATCAGGTGTTGCTATGGATAGAAACAATTAATACAATTTCTTTTTTTTTTTTTTCTTTTGAGAAAGCACAGTTACTTTGTGAGGGGGGAAATGCATGGAGCACAAAAGCCTGTCTGTTTAAAAACTTTGTTCCTAAAACTATACAAGAGTGAGCAAGTTAACTTGTCATTTATTCTAACATGGTTAACATGAGTAATAACCTCAAAAAATGTCAGAGAAACAACAGTCTTACTTTAAAGAGCACCACACTGGGAGGAGATTCCAAAATCAAAGCAAATCCATAACTTTGCTAGTAATGTATCACATATGCTTGGAAAAGTACACTTGCCAACACACTAGGAGAAAATGCTCAGTGAAAATTGATGGGTAGGAATAAATTAGTATAAGCCTAACATATTGACTTGTTAAAGCAAAATGAAGACAGCTGTAAGATCTTTTCCCCCTTCCATCATACCAATGTTAGTGACTTATATATTAGCAAGCCTTATAAAATAAAATACAAATAATATATCACTATTTAATTTTTGCTGCTCATTGTTCCATTATTCTTTTGCCAGACCCATTATTTGTCATTCTGTATTCTTAAAGCTAACACTGAGCCCATAGAAATTCCATTATATTTCCTTTCCAGTTTTCTTTGTTTACAAAGACTTTCCATACTAAGGTGCAGATGTCTTGTAGGAACAGCAAGTTATACATGTTCGTTTATACATGTGAATGTGAATTTTTCAGTCTTCAATGGCATTTCTCTTTTGTTTTAGTTTTGACTTTGAAAGTGTGGAGAGTACTGTGGAGAGCTCGGTGGACAAATCAAAGCCCTGGAGTAGGTCCATCGAGGACCTGCACAGAGGGAGCAACCTGCCCTCACCTGTGGGCAACAGTGTCTCCCGCTCTGGAAGACATTCTGCACTGCGGTGAGTTCGTTTAATCAGGAGGCAACTTTGGCAGGATGCACTGGGACAGCAGGCTCCTACTTCTTTTGATGATTCTGGGCACTGTATCTCATAAATTGCCATACAGCACTTTCATTTGCAATGACTCTAAATGAATGTTTCTTTAGGAGTTCATGGGATCTTCCCTTGGGCAATGTTTGATAACTTTAAATAGCTTCTGGAAACACCATACCTTGATTCAGCATAGAAGGTGGGAAAATTCTGCTGCCAAGTGATAGAACAGGATAGTCTCATAGGCAGATAAGGTTTTGAAACCAGGGGAATGTTGACATCCTGATGGAGGTACTGTTTCCAGGGTAGAGGCAGCACTTAGAGATCTGGGATCTCTGCCCTTTGTTACCCTTTGTCCTTCCGCTCTCTTTCATTTCTCCAGTGGTAGCTCAGGTTGTGTGCTGTGGGTGTTTTCTTAGCCATAGGTACAGAATGCTGTAGTGATAATTTTTATTAGTGAGATGCCATTAACCAGTGTTCCTTTGATTAGATATGCTTCACTTGTCAACCTTTTTTTTTTTTTTTGAGATGGAATCTCGCTCTTGTTATCCAGGCTATAGTGCAGTGGCACAATCTTGGCTCACTGCACCCTCCACCTCCCAGGCTCAAGCGATTCTCCTGCCTCAGCCTCCCAACTGGCTGGGATTACAGGCACCTGCCACCATGCCCAGCTAATTTTTTTTTGTAATTCTAGTAGAGGCAGGGTTTCACAATGTTGGCCAGGCTGGTCTCGAACTCCTGACCTCAGGTGATCTGCCCACCTTGGCCTCCCAAAGTGTTGGGATTACAGGCATCAGCCACCACACCCGGCCAGTTGTCAACCTTATATTTTCTCCTAAGTATTCCCTTTCTCATCTCTTCTGGCTAAAATAGTACCATGCTAAGGGAGGATTGGTGCTGACCACCTGTACTAGTAATGGGTTTAATATTGCTGAGGTTGTTCATTCACTCATACCTACAATCATTCATTCACTGAAAAATATTTTTGTGCTTCTTATTTGTCAGGCGTAACACTTAATACTAATTGTATGTTGGTGGATAAATCAAACTCCTGCCTATGAGGACAGAGATATCATCTAGAACAAGTTTGTAACGGTTTCTGTGGTTCATGATTTTAACATAAAATTTTATTAATAAGACCTTCATTCCAAAATGTTGCTTATTCTTTCCTTTCATTTTTTTCTACACTACCCCCTTACTTACTCTTTCTAGCTTAAAGTGTTTCTATCTTATTTCAGGCATGATCTGGCAAGAGGACATTATTTCTCTAAGTGTTTACGATCACTCCGGGTATTCAGTCATTGTTGTAGAATCCATATGTCAGATTGCAGCCAGTGAATATGTGGCTTTCAGACCTTTGGATTTGGTTGTCTAATTACCTCTTGTCCCTTTGACTTGGTTTTTGGTCATGGAAAGTTAAACATTTCTCTGTAATGAAGTTAAGTTCTGCTGAAGGATTTGATATTTGAGTATGATACCTCCAGTAAATCATTTAGATTTTCCTTGTTTAGAACTGGAAAAAAATGTTAATGGGTTTGGAATGAATTGATTCAATATTAAGAGCAGTGTTTCAATTCACCTTATTATATTTGCAGTAGGCCAAAGGTTGTGCAACCTGCTAATCTGCATCAGCTTCACATGTGGGCAGGAATATATGGGCTGATTTGGCAGATATATAAAGAAAGGCTAATTGTCTGAAGAATTTCCTGATCACCTTGGAAATTCAGGATGAATTTCCTGATCACCTTGGTACTGGAATGGAAATTCTCACCACTAGTTTAACTGTAATTATTTGTAAGGGATTTAATTTACAAAGTACATTTTAATTTGGTTTTCTATCATTGGACACTTAGAAAGTATCATGTATTGCCAAGCTACCACCTTAGTAAGGATTTGTTTTTCTGGTTAATAATTCAGTATGCTTACTTTTTAAAGTATTTTTTCCAGTAGAGCAGAAGAATCGGGAAAATCTGGGAAACTTCCCAGGTTCAGGGAGGGATGTAACCCTGGATGCTGGAGGTCGAGGGACATCCAAGGCCAGCCTGTTTTGCTTCACAGTTTTGCTTCAAAGTGGATCTTGCTAGAATTAATTTCAAATTGGAAAGTCAGACCAAAAGCATGCAGATAGGGAAATTGTATCTGGAAAAACATAGGCATTATATATATGATGTTTCTGGTTGGCAGGTGTGCTTGAAGATGACCAGCTAAGAAACCAATACCACATTCTTCTGTTTTGTGTTTTAATATTTTCAAGCTCAAGAACAGAACATTTAAATTTCCTTTGATTCTGCTTTATGGTTTCTAGTAGCCCAAGAAAGCTGATAAGGCAGTAACTTTCATGCCACTTAAGGACCTGAAGCTTAGATTTTTGTTTTGTTTTTTAAACAATGTATATCAATAGTTTTCCAGCTCTTGTGGTTCATGGATTTATGTCTGGATTCTAATTCTGTATTTGGTCATTGGATATAGCATCTGTGACATAAAAACAGCAATCAGAAGTACAGGCATATGGTACATGTTGCTTTTCATATACCCAAACATTGTTTACATTTTTTTCTTTTCCTCCTTCTCTCCCCTTTCTTTCTCTTCTCCACACGCTGCCTTCACTTTTGGCTTTCTTTTTACCATCCTCCCTTTTCTTTTAGCCATCTCATTTCTGATTGTCTTCTCCTCTTCTACTTTGTCCTTTCTCATCCTGCTGTCTCCTTCTTCTCTGGTTTCATTAATCTCTCATGCCACCACCAGATTGGTTTCTCTGCCTGAGTATTTTCAGTTCCATTGCCACTAGAGCTGCTTCTCCCCTCTTGCCTCTGGAGCAGCTTCAGTTTACATACTGATGATGAGGCTTCAAACCGGAAAATCTCATAAGTCTCGGGTGAAAACGACATCCAAGCGAGTTCACAGTGCATGCTGGCAGGGCAATCCGACTGCTCTCCATGTTATAATATGATAACCTTGTGGCTTTGTGCTGACATGCCATACTAGAATAAAGCCTGCTGCCTTTTAAACTTTGATACACTCTGTTATCATATTATGATTCCTCATTTTTAGAATTTGAACCTTTACAGTATCTTGCATTTTAATAGCACAGGTTGTTTTTTTTTTTGAAAAAGAAAAAGTATATAAATTCATGCTCTATGAAAATGATTTATTCTGGTAGCTTTGTTTAATTAGTATATGTCTTCTGTATCCAAATGCAGATTTTAGTTTCTTCTTTTTAATCTCCCGATAATAAGACAGACATATTAATCTTATCTGATACCACTTGGCAAAAGGATTGGTTAATCTTGGAAGAAAAAAAATGAGATTTCAGGAAATTTAAAACACATTGTAAATGGGCATGATTAAAGAAAAAAATGAAAAACACTGTGTTCAGCTGGGCACAGTGGCTCATGCCTATAATCCCAGCACTTTGGGAGACAAAGGTGGGAGGATCACTTGAAGTCAGGAGTTCGAGACCAGCCTGGCCAACATGGTGAAACTCTGTCTCTACTAAAAAACAACACCAACAACAAAAACTAGCTGGGTGTGGTGGTGCACACCTGTAATCACAGCTACTTGAGAGGCTGAGGCATGAGAATTGCTTGAACCTGGGAGGCAGAGGTTGCAGTGAGCTGAGATCATGCCACTGCACTCCAGCCTGGGTGACAGAGCAAGACTCAATCTCAAGAAAAAAAAAGACAAACACTGCGTTCTAAAATACAAGGTTGGTTTTTTTTTTTTTTTTTTTTTTAACCAAATTCTAATGTTGACACACATTTTCCTCCTTGTAGTCATACTTTACTTTTTAATTATTCAAAATTGATTGTTAAACATTTTATGTCATAACATACCCCTTGAGTCATATCAGCTATGGGATTCTGTATTACCATGTATTTGTCAGCTTGGCTAGAGGGAAACTGTTGCTATTGATGCAGTAGAGACCTGGTTTGTATTGTCTTCTAAAATTAGAATGTGGTGTGCCTTCGGTTAAGATAGGTTTCTGTCAGTGCGGCTACAGAGCTAGCTAAATTTAACAATGCCATATAGGCACATATGTGCACATCAGATCTATGAAGACAAAGGCTGTGTTATTTCAGATGCAAGAGAAAATACTTTCTGATTTTTAAGAAGGTCCAAGTTAATGCTATTAACTCGAGTAAGAAATGACATAGCAAGTAAATGAGTTTTTAAAGAAAGAGGTGGAGTACTAACTTAGGGTTTGGAGGAAGGGACAAATTTAAACTGGACTTTAGGCAATGTCCAGAGTTGGTCCTCAGGGTAAGGAAAGGTTGCTCCAGGTGGAGGGGAAGTGAAAGAACATGAGTTGAGCACAGCCCTATATAAAGATCAGGTGTGCTAGGGAATGAGAGAAGAACCTGTCCTTTCAGGAACAGGTGCTTTGTGATGGAGGTGGAGAGCTGTCCAGTGGAGAGAGAGTCATAAGACAGAAACCAAGATTCACCCTTGCTATTGATCTTTGTAACCAAGGATGATCTTTTCAAAATAATTATATAATCCCGCTCATTTTTTCCTTAAAATTTTTTTGTCTTCTTTTACTTTCCTGAATATGCCCATAGTTTACATATTCCCATTGCAACGGTTTATTTTCAAATAATATCTTTTCTTTAAAAACAACACCAAGGTCCACATTGCCTTTAATACATTAACTACCATTAATATTTCTTCTACACTCCTCCAGAGTAAGAGTTTGTTTTTCTTATGATGATGATGATGATGACGATGATTTTTTGAGATGGGGTCTTGTTCTGTTGCCCAGGCTGGAGTGCAGTGGCACGATCATAGCTCACTACAGCCTCAACCTCCTGGGCTCAAGAAATCGTCCCCCTTCAGCATCCCAAGTAGTTGGGCCTACAGGTGTGTGCCACCACGCCTGCCTAATTTTTAATTTTTTCTGTAGAGAGACGGTCTCACTATGTTGCCCAGGCTGCTCTCGAACTCCTGGGCTCAAACAGTCCTCCTGCTCAGCTTCTCAAAGTGCTGGGATTACAAGCATGAGCCACCATGCCTAGCCAAGATAATTACTTTAATGGAATGGCATTTCATGAATAGTCCTTATCTGAATATTTACCACTTGTATCCTTAGTGGATTTACGTGAAGAGATGAAGAATTCAAATGTAGGTCCTTGTTTATATATTTTTAACACTGCAGTCCCATTCCTGGCGATGGTTTTCATAGAAGTAATTATTAAAAGTATTTTTCAGTGGTACAAAGATACAGATAGCGTTGATGTAATTTTTATTGGTGAGAAAGCCTTTTCTTAAATGTCTGTTGTGTGGCAGCCACTGTACTAAGGGCCTCGGGGGATTTGCTGTTCACAGTTTACTGCCTCTGTGAGATTGCTACTGTTATACCACTGTGAGGAAACTGGGGCCTGAAGTAGTAGTGAAACAACTTGCCTTGGGTCGAACAGTAAGTGAAGGAGGCAGGATCTGAATTGAAGTGGCTTATCAAGGATTGGAAAAAACACTGAAGAGGCCTCAGCAAATTCTTGTAGCTGTGGTCCAGTGCCTTCATGGGCAAGACTGATTATGGACTTAGTTTGTAAAGGGTGCCTTGCCAAGGGTTAAGGATACAGAAAGATATATTAAATAATATATTTGTATATGATTTGTGGCTGACAAGGGACTTAAGTATATATATGTTTGTGTGTACACATGTTTGTGTACATGAGCACATATATGAAATGTCATGTGAGTGTAACAAACTCTAACAATACGGAAATGTAGAGGTGAGAGTAAACAGCAGAACCTAGGGAGTGATTCACGAGACTTGGTGTGGATGTGAAACAACAATGAGTAAGACCCAGAGGGGTGGCTGGGAAAAGGGAGAAGTCAGGAGAGTGATCTGAGCGGAGGTTCAGTGGTAAGACCGCATGCTTCCTTTAGGAGACAGTGAAGAGATGAGCCTGGCTGCAAGTCGTTTAGAGACAGTTTATGTACTATTCTGAAGGTTAGTCTGTGAAATTGTCACTGCAGCTCATTGGCAGTGATTTTGTTGGTTTTTGAAAAGAGGGGATAATATGGGAAGAACATAGAAATATTTCCATTTAAAGGTCACAGGAGTGAGATGGTTTCCTTGGACACATTTCACATGGGGCTATGTCCTGATTAATTAGCCCCCCCAATAGCAAATGCCTTTGACAAATGGAATATAATGAAAAATAAGAAAAATCAGGCTAATAGTGACTCTCCATTCATATGATGGGTTGCCAGCCTCCCCTTTCATTTGCTCCATTCAAAAAGTATGCACTGAAACCTTTGATTAGAGGCTCTGATCTAGCTCTTATCTGGTCCTCTAATGGGACGTATAGACAGCGTTTCAATGCCTGATTTAAAAGTTCATTAGGAATTTTGTTTACTTTTTTCTTTCTTTCCCTCTTTCTCTTCTTGATCCCTCTACCTCTCCTTTGAATTATCTGGATTCAGCTGTTTCAGCTCTATTTCTTTTGGCTGTAGAGACAGTCAGAAAACTGCCTGGCCCCTTTTTTTAGCATCATATATTTTATGAGTTTAATTGATAGAAAAAATATGCCCAAGTGATGTCATGTCTGAAGGATAAGAAAGAGGAAACCTAAAACCCCAAATCTTGGTTAAAGTTCTATTAGCCCAGACCTTGGAACCATAAAAGACTGGTACAATTCTGCCAAATTCTGTAACATACCTCATTGGTGTTGCATTTCAGTGGGTTGAACCCTTATGTCAGCTTCCGAGGGAGTTCTATACTATTCTTTATTTATAGGTAGATATTAGTTTGAGATCTGAATAGTGTGACAGACTGCATTTTCCTTACAAAAATGCTTTTTGTCAGCGAGAAAATATAGCTTTTCTTTTACTTGTTCCCATTAGGGCTTAGATATTATGAATCTCACAAATGTTGGCATGGAAGCTCCATAGAAGGCTTGTGGAAAACCTTTTTGCTAGACTCCAGGAAAGCCTGGTTAGTTCAATTCAGGAAACATTCTTTCAAGGTTCTGCGGTATTATGTAGTCTGGGTATTGAAGCTCAAGGAGAAAGACAGACATATACACAACTCACATACTAGAATAAGTCTAAATGTCTAGAAATAAGTGTATATTGTTGAGACAATAGATGGGTGATCACAGTTACTTCAGGACATTACTGGGTGAGCAACGGCTTCCATTTTGGTGGGTTTTTTTTTTTTTTTGAGACGGAGTCTCACTGTGTCACCCAGGCTGGGATGTAGTGGCGTGATCTCGGCTCACTGCAACCTCCACCTCCCAGGTTCAAGCAATTCTTTTGCCTCACCCTCCCAAGTAGCTAGGATTACAAGCACTCACCACCACACCCAGCTAATTTTTGTATTTTTAGTAGAGCAGGGTTTTACCATATTGGCCAGGGTGGTCTTGAACTCTTGGCCTCCCAAAGTGCTGGGATTACAGGCGTGAACCACCGCATCTGGCCCATTTTAGTGTTTTCTAAGTGCTTGGTGCTTTACATGTATTAGCCTGTTGTCACACTGCTATAAGGACATACCCGAGACTGAGTAATTTATAAAGGAAAGAGGTTTAATTGACTCACATCTCAGCATGGCTCTGGAGGCCTCAGGAAACTTACAATCCTAGTGGAAGGGGAAACAAACATGTCCTTCATCACATGGTGACAACAAGAAGTGCTGAGCAAAGGGAGAAATGCCTCTTATGAAACCATCAGATCTCTTGAGAACTCAGTATCATGAGAACAGCATGGAGGTAACCACCCCCAGATTCAATTATCTCTTACTGGGTCCCTCCCACGATACATGGGGATTATGGGAACTACAGTTCAAAGTGTGATTTGGGTACAGACACAGCCAAACCATATCATTACAGATATAAATCTCTGAGTAAATCCGGTGTTTGATTTCTTCTAGCTTTTTAGCTTATGAGTAGAGGTCTTTCTCCTCTACTCCAAGAATTTTCATAGACACACCACTTAGTACTTACGTTTACCACCATTGTTATTATTTTTAAGAATGTACTACTTTATATTTTTAAACATGAAGGACTAGCTCAAAATTTTGTAGCTTCCCCCCCCGCCCCAATCTTTTTTTTTTTTTTGACTCCTTTGTGATGGGTAGTGGTTTAAAGACAGCAAAACATGACTTTAACCAGAACACTAACTAGCTTTATACATAATTCAGCCTATGAACATGTATCTGGCAAGAGAAATTCCTGATCTGTGGTTCGGCAGATCCATGAGAGCTGCTTCTCCGGATTTTCTTTGCTGGCCTTGCTTGCTTTTTGTGCTCCTGTCAAAAACTCAGGTTTCGCTTGCTGGTTGGAGCTCACTAACAAAAATAGCTTCTTTCCCTATAGCGCCTGCTGCTGGTGCTGTGCAGGTTGAGGTGTTCCATTTGTGCTCCTTGATAGATTCATTGTTGAGCATTAAGTAGGTGGCTGGGTGCAGTTGTCACCTGAGTACTAAATAGGAAATGTTCTGTGTAGATTTCTTAAAAGATATTTGCTTAGCCGGGCGTGGTGGTGCCACCCGTGGTCTTAGCTCCTTGGGGGGCTGAGGCAGGAGGATCACTTGAACATGGGAGGTCAAGGCTGCAATGTGCGGAGATCATGCCACTGCACTTCAGCCTAGGTGACAAGGTGAGACCCTGTCTCAAAAAAAAAAAAAAAAAGGAAGTTAAAAAAAAAAAAAAGATACTTGTGGCTGGGCATGGTGGCTCACATCTGTAATCTCAGCATTTGGGAGGTCAAGGTGGGCAGATCACTTGAGGCCAGGAGTTCGAGACCAGCCTGGCCAACATGGTGAAACCCCATCTCTACTAAAAATACAAAAAAATTAGCTTGGCATGGTGGCACATGCCTGTAATCTCAGCTACTTGGGAGGCTGAGGCAGGAGAATTGCTTGAACCCACGAGACAGAGGTTGCAGTGAGCCAAGAGTGCATCATTGCACTCCAGCCTGGGCAACAGAGTGAGACTCTGTCTCAAAAAAAAAAGAAAAGAAAAGATATTTGCAAAAATCGCTTAGTTTTTTAAAGTCTATCACTCATACTAGCATTGAGTTATAACTTTTTCTTTTATTAATATTTTATGTACATATAACTATTGGTATCTGCTGGGATATGCATAACACTAATAAAAGGGTTTGGAGTAATTTGTTTGGTTATGATCTTAAGTCAGTTTTGTAATCTGTAATCTGCTTCTTTCTGCATTCACAGAGCTTTGTGAATTCTAACTGGCAGCTCTTCCAAGATAGAATCTCATCTTTGAATGCTAGGGTAACATTTAGAGTTTTAGTTCAGTGGAAAATTAGCAGGTAGTTCTCTTAAGTTTATGTAGAAGAGGGGCTGGGAAATTTGGTGCTGTTAGTTTCCGTACAAAATCAGCCCTAGATATCCCTTCCCTATTGTATTTTTCTACAAATGGCAGGAGCTCCAAAAATTAGACTCAGCTATTTTCTGTCTCTGGGAAGCCCTTCTTTTGTGTACAAGCATCCAGGGCCCCAAAGGCTCTTCTTGCCAGCCTGGGAGAAGAAAGGCTATCAGCATGGCATTTAGATAATCAGCCTCAGTGGTCCAGGAATTGGGTCACAACTTCTCCATATTTCATTTCCTGTTTTTCTCTTTGGAATCTGAGGGAGTCCTTTCCAATCCTCACATCTCAGGGAACCTTCCCCAAGTCACCAGAGAGACCTGATTGTTCCATCACCTTCTTAGACCTGTTCCCATCAACTTGAAAGTTACACTTCAGAATGAATAGGTTGGAAAAGTTACACTTCAGAATGAATAGGTCTCTAAATGTCTGTTATGGAATGCTGGTGAAATGGTTGAATTAAGCCCTCTGAAAATGTTCTCATCCATAAAAGTGATAAGAAAACTGGCAAAAATTACTGGAATAAACTTTTTCAGAACTCTAGAAATTAAAGTCTTGCAGTAACCCAGGGAGCATCTATTCAGGAAAAGGGACTGATTCTCAGAGCAGGAAGTTTTGTGGCATTTTAACTTGTTCTCATTCCCATCCCTCCCTCTCCAGTTCCACAGTAGCCTTGAAAACCAGTAGCTGCAATCACAGTGAAAACCAGCAGCCTGGCAGCCTCTGGCAGGGGCAGGATGGCGTTGGAGTGTCTTCAAAGCACCTCTGCCTCCTCCTTTTCCTCCTTCTCCTCTCCTGGCTCTCCCTTCTCTGAGATTTGAGAACTGCTGGTGGAGAGGAGGGCCCAGGGGAGTGCATTGCTGCTGAAACTGATTTCAAATTTCAGTTTAGGGAACATGCACCATTAGCTGTTGACAGAGTCTGGGATCATGCAAGATGTATTACATGGGACAGGACTAAATAAAGCTCATGTGTGCCAATTATCCATGGGAGTCCATGGAGAAACTGATGCTGCCTCTCACTGGAGCTTTTAAAGTATACCACAGTGAATTGGAGGGACACTCTCCAATTTGGTTCTGCTCAAATTATGTGAAGTTTCATAATAGCTTCAGGAAGAAAATATTATAGTAACCGTTTCACTTTATGTAATTCTGTAACAGAACACATGCCAAGGGTGTTAGTTTGCCACAGAGGTACTCATGCCTCCTACTGAGTCACTGGCTTAATCCCTGCAAAGCTCAGGCCTTTGTAGAAAGTTTATTCAAACAGGTAAACTAGGATGATCAGTGTTTGGAAAACGAAGAAAGTTTAGCCTAGAGGGCTGTGGCAAAGGACCTGATGCAGGCTGCCTTATCCTCTCTTTCAAAGATAGTATATTGAATTGATTTATTTGTGTTAAGATGATTATACAACAGCATCATGTATATACATTATTTTATAGTTATAACTAGTTTCATTTGAGCGGTTTGAATGTTAATTGGTGACGGATTACTGCTGTGATTTTTTTTTCAATCTTAAGTGAATCGGTGTGACATTTATTTAGTAGAGTTTTGGGGCACTAATCAATTAGCCTCATCTTTTTTTCTGTGGAAACTGTTTGCCACTGAATTCAGCCTTATTGTTATCTAGGTGGACATTTGCAACACCAGGTAGTAAGATTTTCAAAGCTGAGTTTTTCTAATGATATTTGGTTCTTCAGTCCTGTGTATTGTGGAGGGATTTGGTCTCATCACAGAAATCTGCAAATGTGCTTCATCGGGTAGATCAGGACCAGCTCTCCATCTAAAAAGGCCTTCTAGGAGACATCCTACAGGGTGACTGAGGAAGAGTGTGATGATCCCCTTATCTAGTTAGCTCTCTATCTTAAGGTCTAAACCTAGACCATCTCAGTAATGTTTAGCATAAACAATAGGTACTTAGTAAAGCCAACTTTGGGGCTTAAAAAAGAGATTTGGTTTGATTTCCTGTGGCTGGTGAGCACCAGAGGCCATTTCCTCTAGATTGCTTACCTTGTCTAGGTGTTCTTGTTGTGGTAAAGTGGCTAATATCTTGTAAATCCTCATTCTGTTGCTGTTTTAGGGTCAGTAAAGCCATCTCCTCAGGGAAGTGGTTATTAGATAGTGTGAGCTTCTGCAGGGCGCAGTGGCTCATGCTTTTAATCCCAGCACTTTGGGAGGCCAGGAATTCGATACCCACCTGGGCAACAGAGCAAGACCCTGTCTCTACAAAAAAAAATTTTTTTTAATTAACTGGGCATTGTCTCTTGAGCCCAGGAATCTGAGGCTGCAGGGAGCCGTGATCATGGTACTGCACTTCAGCCTGGGTGACAAAGTGAGACCCTTGTCTCCAAAAAATACATGGTATCAACATCATGCGTTGGAGCTGAATTCAAAACCTGTTTTTTTTTTTTTTTAAAGTAGTCATTTACTCACATGGTAATTAAAGCAAAGAAACCAAATATACAGTTACAAAAATTGTCAGATTCCATAAAATATGCATGATGAAGAATTGATTAATGTACATGCTAACCCATGGCACAGTCCCTAAAATCTAGTCTTGTATGTTTAAGATCATCCTAAGTTGAGTCCTTTGAAAGTAAATTTTCAGAGGTAAAGAATTATGACATTTCTCAGGGTGCATTTATTTAGTGAGAGGAAATCCTTTTAAAATGATTCTAAAATATAGAGCAAAATTTCCTATTAAGTCAAAAAACATCCTCACTTTCCTAATAAGTGTCATATATAGAATAAAGATTTAAAAAGAGAAACTTGCTTACCAAGGTATTGGCCACTGTGTTCTGTAAGAGATGCCTATATGCTGCTGTTTTTGACAAACTAAGCCTTAATTCACCATGATGAAATAATTATTCAGGGTGAGAAATGACACCTATCTAGGACTGAAGCAGAAAATGCTGCCAGGATGACAGGATGTGAACATTTGATAAAGAACTAGCCAGCACAGACAGCTGTAGGCGGTAGCTTTTTCACATGATCACCCAGCAGATTGTTGATGAGTCAGGTTGATGATGAGCAACTCGTGGAAAGTGACTGTCCTAAATCGCAGTGAGGAGACTTCTGGTTTTGCCTGGTCTCATCTCATCCCTTATTTGCTATGTAGATGTAATGTCTCTGGGCTTCCGTTTTCTTAACTGTATCAAGAAAGGATTAGAGTAAATGATACCATAGCTCTTCAGTGCTATGATTTTGTTGTTGCTGTTATTGGTCGTGATGGAGGTTTTTAAATTTATAATGTTATTATTTTAGACATACAAGTTCAGATACTACCTTTTATTACTACTCTATTTTTATATAAACAAATAATTGGAGAAAATAATTTTTAAACCAAATACCATACATTTTAGAAAAACTTTAGCTCTATTGTTTTTGAGCATAGAATACAACTAATAAACAAGTTTCTCATTTTTTTATTGACATTTATATATTGCGTATTTTCTAAAGTCTTTAAATGTTAATAAGTATGTATGTGTTATGTCATATTAAATGTATTTTAAGTGTTGATCCAGAAAATGTATTTGAGATTAGCTATCTACTGCAACAAATAGAAGCCCTTTGTGTTAATGTTTGGGAAGTAGAATATTATTCTAATTAATTTTGTTGCTTTCTACACTCCATAAAATAATGACAGGGACATTTTAGCTTCTTAGAAAGAGACTATTGCAATATAGATCAAGAACTGGATCAGTAAATAAAAAGAAAGAATGTGCTACATTACTTTACACCTCTTAAGAAACACAAATAAGGCTGGGCACGGTGGCTAACGCCTGTAACCCCAGCACTTCGGGAGGCCGAGGTAGGTGGATCACGAGATCAAGAGATGGAGAGCATCCTGGCCAACATGGGGAAACTCCATCTCTACTAAAAATACAAAAATTAGCGGGGCATGGTGGTACACACCTGTAGTCCGAGCTACTCGGGAGGCTGAGGCAGGAGAATCGCTTGAACCTGGGAGGTGGAGGTTGCAGTGAGCTGAGGTCGTGCCACTGCACGCCAGCCTGGTGACAGAGCGAGACTCTGTCTCAAAAAAAAAAAAAAAAAAAAGAAAAGAAACAGATGTGTAAGGTTTGTCTACTTGCTGGAATAATGAAACTGTATTAATATTTCAAAGTGATGCAGAAATATGACACTGTAGAGAATAACCTCTCCCATTTTCCTTAGAGACTGGTTTTCATTAGTGTATCTTCTCAATCATTGCTGCATATGAATACAATTTAACAAAAGGCAGTTGATTCCATTCAAATTACTCTTTCTTTTTAAAACTTAGATTACTTTGTTTTACACTGGAAGCTATTGCTATCAACTAAAAATGAAAACTCTTTCTAGTAAACAGTCATGTACTTAACAAGTGATTCCATTAAAGAAATTCAAGACTGAGGTTAAAATAAGAAAGATAGAGGAAGGGGAAGAACTTCAGATGTAGATTAAGAAGATGATATATGCTTGGGTCTCATTGGCTGTGTGATTAGTTTTTAAAGTTGTACCAGTCTCTGAGACCTCCAAAAAGTGTGTTAACAAGCATACCCAAGATGGGCTTATGGCAAAGTGACACATTATAAAGCTGTATTTTAGAGGTTGAAATCAATCTTACTGTTGCCATTTGGTGGCGGTTTTAACCTACAATCCTTGTTTTGGTACTGGTGAAGAGTAGTGTCTGTTAAGTGCATGTGCCTATGCTAAGAAAGTAACCTGTTGTTTTATAGAAGTTTCTCTTTTTGTTTGTAGATATAATACATTGCCAAGCAGAAGAACTCTGAAAAATTCAAGATTAGTGAGTAAGAAAGATGATGTGCATGTCTGTATCATGTGTTTACGTGCCATCATGAATTATCAGGTATGTTGGAGCTTCTGGTTCTTTTAAAAAAAACCTGAATTAATCAGACTCAGAAATGACTGCTGGGTGCAGTGTACACCGCTTGGGCGAAGGGTACAATAAAAGCCCAGACTTCATCATCCTACAATTTATCTGTGTTACCAAAAGCTGCTTGTACCCCTAAAGCTGTTGAAATTTTTTTAAAAAAGAAGAAAAACCAACCAAACAAAAAAAAAAACAGACTCAGATTTTGTTCTCTTTGGTTTCTTTGTATTATTTCTATTTGAAGTAAATGCCAGGATTTAACGAGATTCTATTAAAAAAGAAAGGCCTGGTTCATCCTAATTCTCAAGGTTTAATTCTTTGCTCTCATATTTTAATAAATATATATAATTTGTGACGTATTTAAAGGAAAGGTGTTTTCCTCCTATAGAGATAAACTTACCTAGATTGCTTGGTGAATGCTTGTGACTACTAAAGATTGAATAAGCTGCTGTTGCAGGTAGTAATGAAACAACTCTAGAACACCAGGAATGGATAGAGACAGTGGTTCTCAAAGGGTTATATGGCAAACAGGCAAAAAGTTACAATTATTGACAGTTGGGCTCAGTGGTTCCTAATCTTTATAAGAAGCACCTAGAAGATCGTTGAAAATGCAGATTCCTCCTTTGGGTAATTGAGATGCAGGTTGACCCCACTGTAAAAACACTGGAAGTTACGGTGGAACACGTGTGCTGGGTTAATCTTAACAACAAAGTGGAAGTTAGAGCCTGTAGTACCTAGCGTGAACTGGTAGGGTCATCAGTTTAATTAGGTCAGCAAAGCAGGGGTACAGGGGTTCCACTTAGAAAAGTGGAATTCAAATATAGAAATAGGATTTGATTTCCATTAATATGGATGCTACAGTGGGTCCAAGTAGAAGTGGGAGATAAATACATAGGTCGAGGGTTGGTGTTAGAGTTCAAACCAACACAAAAGGTGCTGTGTTAAATTTAAGAAGGGAAACATGCATTTATTCTTTCCATTTTTTTTTGAACTTTGCCAGACGGCCCCTGTTCCACATAGGCAACTGAGAATACAGCATTGAATAAATCTGTGGCCCAGGGAACTTACTTTCCAGGGAGGGGAGACAGATGACCAACAAATAAATTGGTAAAATGTATATGTTCCAGATAATAATGATGAAATGAAAGCTAATGCTTACATGTTACACTTTTCAGGTCTAGTGCTTTTAAACCTCTTAAGTCATGTAAATAGCCCTGTGAGATCAATAATATTACTCTCCCCATTTTACTGATGAAGCTGGGACACAGAGAAGTTTGGTAATTTGCCTAAAATCACATAGCTAGTTAGTAGTGGAGTCAAGATTTGGACCCAGGAACACTTTGAACCCAGAGAACCATTACTAAGTACTGTAGAAAAAATAGGAAATAGGAACTGCTGAAAATGTGTGCGAGTTTTAAATAGGCCAGCTAGGGAAGGGTCACTGAGAGGGTAACATCTAGTAACAACTTGAATGAGGGAGCAAAGGGAGGGATATTAGGGGAAGAAGGTTCTAGGCAGAGAAAAGGGCAAGTGCAGAGACCCTGAGGCAGGAATGTCTGGTTTGCCCAAGGCACAGAAAGGAGGCTTGGCTGGATCAGAATGAGTAAGAGGGAGAAGAGTAGAAGATGAAGTCAGATGTGACAGGGAGTTTGATTATGTAGAGCTTTAGAGGCCGCTGAGAGGACATTGACTTCACTATGAGTGGAAAGCTATTGAATGGTTATAACGACATAATCTGACACTTGCATTTAACATGAGACCATGCTGGCTTCTGTGTTTAGGTTTGATCTTGGCCAGGCAAAGGCAAGAGGGGGTAGACCATTTAGGAGGCTTTTAGCAGTAATTTAGGTGAGCTTTGGTGGTCATATGGACTAGGATCATAGGAGTGGAGATGATGAGAGGTGGTCAGATTCTGGTTTTATTTTGATGTTAAAGGCCACAGCATTGGATATGAGGGAGAAGGTGAGTAGTAGAGGGTGGCACCAGGGCTTTTGTCTTGGGCACCTGTGAGATATATTTGCTATCTACAAAGATGGGAAGACTGCAGGATAGATGGATTTGAGGGAGATCATTAGGAATTCTGTTTCGGGGATTTTAACTTTGAGATTCCCCTTAGACATTCAAATGGTGATCTTAGGTGCATGGTTGGATATGCCAGTCTGGATTTCAAGGCAGTGGTCTAGGCTGGAGTTAGACATTTGAGAGTAATTAGCATATAAATGGCATAGGAAGCCAGGAAGGTGAATGAGATCAGTAGGGGTAGACTGAGAAGTAAAGAAGTCCAAAATATGAACTCTAGGGCTCTCTGTTTAAATGTCAGAGAGACGAAGAAAAGCTGGCTAGAGAGCCTGAAAAATAGCCAAGTAGGAGCCAAGTGAAGGACATATTTCAAGGAGAAGGGAGTATTCAGCTCTGTTAGATGCTGCTAAGTCAAGTAAGATGTGGAGTGAGGATTGGCCATTGGCTTCAGCAAAGTGCAGGTCTTTGGTGATCTTGGCAAGAACAGTTCATTGGGATGGTGGGGGTGAAATGCTTGATTGGAGTGGTTTCAAGAATGAGCAGGAAGTGAGGATTTATACTGAGTGTCTGGAGGAGTTTTGCTGTAAAGGATAGCAGAGAAATGAGAGGCAGTGGCTGAACACAGGTTGTGGTATCAAGAGAGGTTTTTATTGTTACTTAAGATAATTTGCATTTTTTATGCTAATGGCAATGAGTCTATGGAGAGGGAAAAATAAGGGGGAAGGGAGGAATTTCTGGAACATATGATGTTCGTGAGCAGATGCGAGGGAATGGGATGGAGGAAGGACTCATGGGAGGGGTTGGCCTTAGTTTGGAGCACAGAAGAGTTCCTCTTTAATAGGAGGTGAGGAGGTAAGCCACAAATCTGTGTGGATAGATTGATGTGGTATAGGAACTTCTGGATGTTTTCTCTGATGAGCTGAGAGTGAGTTTTGAGGAGAAAGAATATAGTTGACCCTTGAATTTTGTGGGGTGTGAGGGGTACTGATCCCTGGTGTAGTCAAAAATCTGTATATAACTGGAGACCTCACCAGTAGCATAAAGTCTGTTAACACACATTTTGTATGTTATATCTATTGTATACTGTGGAGTCACCCTGGAAGCTTAAAAACTCAGGTGCCAGGTCCCTGTAATTGAGATTCGGAGTAAATGTTTTGTTTAGTCTTCCAGGGGAGTTTAAGGAGCGGCCAAGGTTAATAATCACTGGGCTAGAGCCTTTTTATCATTTTAATAAAGAGAAACATGTAGTTCATTTGTAAAGAATGGGAAGATAATCTTTTGATAATAGCATCATTGCCGATTTTTTTTTTTTTTTTTTTGAGAGATGTGGGTCTTGTTGTCCTGGACTCAAGCTGTACCCCCCGCCTCAGCCTCCTGAGTAGCTGGGACTGGAGGCACAAATCATTGCATCTGGCATTCTTGAAATTTTTAATAGAGAAATATGCTCTGACAGTGATATACTAGAGACATAAGTGCATTTATAATGGTGTAAGTTTCATTAGGTAGATACTTCGGGTTTTTGGTTTTAAATCAATACTGACAGTTCCCTAACTTGTCTCCCAATGCTTTGTGTTTCTTTTTTTTTCCATGTTAATTTTAGTATGGTTTCAACATGGTCATGTCTCATCCACACGCTGTCAATGAGATTGCACTAAGCCTGAACAACAAGAATCCCAGGTAAGCTGCTTTTGTAGTACGCAAGTCTAAATCTATCTAGAGAAAACAGAGGGCTAGTCAACACTTAACCAAGTTTGACTTTGGAAACTTTCAAGTGTTAATCTCTGAAATAAGATTGGCTATAAACTCTTTGGCTGTGTAAGAATTTTTCCTTTTAGCCAAGTTACATTCTTAGATGGGCCAGAGTTGAGCAACTGGTGACAATTCTAGCCCTTCACTGTTCTCCTCAAGCTTTTGTTCTTTTGAGGCCTGGTTTCCAGCATCCTTGCTGCTAAATTTGGAGAGGATCAGGTTGCCAGGACTCGGGGGCCAGGAGAGTCTTGATAAAGATTTACGTATATCAGTTATTGCTGGAAGCTAGCTAAAACCACCATCCTTCGTCTACACTTCGCTTGATAACTTTACATATGTAGCTTTAATTACTGAACGAAAATAGAAAAATAATTGTAGTGGCCAGCCGCAGTGGCTCATGCCTGTAATCTCAGCACTTTGGGAGGCCGAGGCAGGCAGATCACCTGAGGTCAGGAGTTGCGACCAGCCTGGCTAACATGGTGAAACCCCATCTCTACTAAAAATACAAAAAATTAGCCAGACATGGTGGCACATGCCTGTAATCCCAGCTACTCAGGAGGCTGAGGCAGGAGAATGGCTTGAACCCAGGAAGTGGAGGTTGCAGTGAGCCGAGATCGCACCGCTGCACTCCGGCCTGGGTGACAGGGCAAGACTCTGTCTCAAAAAATAAAGAAAGAAAGAAATAGAAAAATAAAATTGTATATGCAGATTTCCTTTCATATTCACCACCTTGTAAAGGCTAGCAGCAGATATAATTCACATCACACGTTAGTCGTAAAAGCCAGTCTTCATCAATTGTAGTTATTTTAATGTGCTTTCCATTTTGGTGAAGTATTCTGTACTTCAAATGTGCAATTCCTTTTCATCCAATACCTCTCTGTAGACAAAATATCTGAAAACTGTTAATTCAAAAATCTGTTTATAAATTAGCCATTTCTGATTTGGAAAATGCAACACGAACTATCAAGTCCTCTTTACTGAATATTATTCTTTCAAACTTCCCCTGATTAAACCTTTTGCGACTGTGCGATTCCTTCCTTCGTTTACTAGAGTCCTAAGTAGCCATGCTTCTGTGTCTCTGCCTTCTACTACAGGGAAGACATTATTTTTTAAAAGACAATTGACATTGTGGAGTATCAGAACAGTTTTTGTTTAGAAGTTGGTGAAAGCTGTTATTCCAGAAAAAAAATGAAATACTTAAGTGGTCTTATGATTGAAGAAACAATGCTGTTTCTTTCTTGACATTGAATTTGAAAACTTAGAGTGTATCTCCATGTTCTCCTTCCAAAAATATTTCAGATTGAGTTTTATTTTCTTGAGTCAAAGAAAATATTCTTGTGTTAGTAAAGCTAGTAAAGCTGTAATCCAGCTCCTTCCAGTTGTCCTGCGTAGGAAGAAGAAAGGACAGAAACTTGTATTTTCGTGGGAGATTTATGGATCTGTCCCTACATGAGCAGATTTGAAATGTAGAACATGAGTTTCAGTTGATTTTGAACTTTTTTTTTTGCAAATGTTCTCTCACTGTCTCTAAAACCAGAGCAAATACTTAATCAATAGTTTGTTTTTCAGCATATTCCCATTCCCTTTGTTTTTAGCGTACCAGTAAACATTTTTCATCTGTATTGTACTGAGTCACCTGATGATAGGTCTAAGAGATTATTCTTCTCAGAACTAGTTTTCATTAGTGAGTGATTTGTCTTTTTGGTAAGTATACCTTCCAAATTTGCCATCTTAGACAAATCACATATGTAGTAGTCAGTAAAGGTTTAAAAATGTACTTTGATTAAACTGTACCTTAGTAAAATTTTTTAAAAATGTAAGGGCAAATGTTTTATTCTCATGTATCTTGGAAGGAAGAAACAGCTGACTCATCATGCCATTTTCACTGATTTGTGTTTTTCTTCTTCTTGTTTTGGCAGAACAAAAGCCCTTGTCTTAGAACTGTTGGCAGCCGTTTGTCTTGTCAGAGGCGGGCATGAAATCATTTTATCAGCATTTGATAACTTTAAAGAGGTAGGCTACACTATAGTTTTCATAAGAATACTCACACATCTTACATTTGGACATCTTTGAACGGAATTATTTACCTTTTCATTTATCCTAGGGCCTAAGGAATATAATAGTTAATTTCTAAGATCTCACTGAGAGGAATGTAATGAACTTAGTCTAAATTTGGTATCTTATTTCTAGGATAAGTTAAAAATAATCACAGTACTCTTTTTTTGTTGTTGTTGTTTTTGTTTTAATTTTTATGTTTTTAGGGAACATGGAATAATCCAGTTTGAAAACCGGTTTTGTTACATGTATGTGGTTTTCATTGGGGTTGATATTGGCACTTGATCGTCCACCATGCAAATTTTATGAACTCTTTCATCACAGTTACTTTATTTTTGCTGGATGCTATGAAAAACCTGGCAAATACTGGCACTGATTCTGGGAGCGTGTAAGCTTAAGTGGGCTTGTCACAGCCAAACAATAATGCAACAGTTGAGCATGGTTGGAAACGGAGACTGTCTGACCACAAAGAAAGGAGGGATTACACAAAGACAATATGACGCCGCGGGCCCTGCCCCAGCGTATCCAAACATCACCGCCGCGGGCCCTGCCCCAGTGTATCCAAACATCACCGCCTAGATAGTAGCTGCTTTCCCACAGGGTAGTGGGCAGTGTTGTAGGACCAAGAAGAGTACCTGTTTGTTCCCCTGGTATATGCCTGACATCAGAGGCTACTTTGAGGTGAGAAATTACAAAGTAGTCCTTAGAGAACAGGTGGAAGCCCAGGTTACAATAGGACCCTTCGCCAAGTTGTGTGTTATGCTAGAAGTCCCATTTAATTCCAAATGCTTTTGGATTAAGACCCGAGCTGGATTAAAATCCAGGTCACAGAGGGACTGTTTTCTCTCCTCTTTCCTGAAAGGTTCTGAACTAGAAACTCTGATAGTATTTATTGAGAACCTACTATATGCCGGGGCTATACCAGCTACATGCATGGCATCATTTGGTTCTATAAGAACATCTTTGAGACAAATATTAATATCTTGATTTTAGCGAAATTGAAATACATAGTTTACCTGTGGTCACATAGCTAGATAAGTGACAGAGCCAGGAACAGGACTTGGTGCTCCTGATCCTGAACTTCCTTGAAATGTGTTGAAGTTGTGGCCTTATTGTTTGTGAATCCCTTGAAGGAAATAAGGGAAATACTGAAATGAGACAGGACTTCGGAGCTATTTCCCCTGCCTCCTACCTCCTTAATTGGATTTACTGCCCAGCTGCCAAATGTTCTAGACACCAGCCTGTGAGCCTCTGCATAGGCTGGGAAGCTTCAAAGATGTGAACAGGGCAGACACTCCTCTTGCTCCTTTATTTGCATTGCCTCCTTACTGCTAGTCCATTCTTTAAGATTTTGATATTATCCATTTTGTAAATGCCAACTGTGGAGACAACCAAATATTATCTTTTTTTTTCTTTCTATTGAGCCCCAAAGATAGTGAAAAAATATCCAGCTTCCAAGAGAATGAAGAAGAATAATAGTGAATCTTTAAATTCATATTCTGGCTTCCAAGACAAATAGATTTTAGAGACAAGAATGTACGAATGCTTGTCTGTGAATGTTTTTATATATCATGTATAAATATATAAATTTTACATTTATAAATAAGGAAGTATGTTTGGGTGGATGGGTTTAATATGAAAGAGAAACAGTATGTGCAGCTCATATAACGCCCAAATCTTTATCATTAGGTCATATTTGAAAATATTGCATGCTGAGTACTTTTCACATTGGAAACATTTACTATATAGTTATCAGTGGCCCTTGTTATAATGACTCATATTATAACAGGAATCTGATTATACTGCAGGTCAGATTATATCCTAAAGATATATTTGTATAGAACAAGAATAAAAGCCAGGAATTCATGAGATGAATGATAATATTTTTTTCTCCTAGGTAAGATAGAGTACCTTTCTTATGCATAGTAGGCCCACAGATACTTGCAGAATTGAGTTTTAACTCTTTGGTGTCAGACTTATATATGCTTTAGCTATTTAGGGTGTAGTATGTGCTTAATTGAAGAAAAATGTAATCCTAAGTCTAATACCTGGACAATAGTAATGAGAACTAAATTACTTTTGACATTGAATTCTTAGAGCTTTAACCAAAACTGGCCTCATTTCTGTAATTAATCAGGAGTGATGGTAGGTCTTCAGGTACTGTCCTTGGCATAGGCATTTGCATCTGATAGAAGGTGATAGCAGTGGGCTAGGGGAGGTCCTCAAATGCTGGTGGGACCCCAAACCCTGCTGGTGTCTAGGCGCTTGACATCCTCACAAGAATGAATTCAAGTATGAGTTAGAAAATAGTGAAAGTGTGGAGATTTATTGCAAAGCAAAAAGTACACACTCAAGAAAGGGGAGTGTGGGCATGCTTGAGAGAGTCACACAAGGTGGTTTGGGGCTGCTACCTTTATGGATTTCTTTAACCAAGGGATGGAGTATTCACGGAGATTCCTGGAAGAAGCTGGAGATTTCTCAGAACTATGGTGCTACCCATTTTTACCTCAAATAACGATGTTCTGGAACTGTCATGGCACTGGTGGGTATATGATTGAATATGTGAATGAGCATAGAATAAGGTCCTAGGAGAAACCTGGATCAAATCCAGCACCATGTTGGACCCAGTTTGTCTTTGCCAGCTTGGCCCACACCCTGTTTTTCAGGGTCTTATCAGCCCCAAGCTTCTGCAGCTATTTCAGCAGTTTCCTTTTGCTTAGTCATGTGAAACTGCTGCCTAGAATTTTTTATTCTGCTGCAACCATCCTGCATTATTCTTGTCTAAAAACCATATAGACAGACCAAGCAAATGGATTATTATCCTAATAGCCATGGGAATGAAGACAAGGTAGCAACATGCCCCCGACAAACTTAGTTGTTATAGATAGGTCAGAAGAGCCTCAACCGATTTATCCAATCTTGAGGTGCAAAAGGTGTTATTCTGTGTTGATCTTGCTTTCTAAAACATGCAATGCCGCTCACAGCTCAAAGTCTCTTA
Organism: Homo sapiens; assembly: GCF_000001405.40. Taxonomy (NCBI): domain Eukaryota; kingdom Metazoa; phylum Chordata; class Mammalia; order Primates; family Hominidae; genus Homo; species Homo sapiens. Next base: position 152,584,090 of record NC_000002.12, read on the forward strand.
AATCCCTTCCTCTTTTTCTCCCATCTTTGCGTGAGTGAATTTTTTTTTTTTCACATCATAGTAAAGTGAATTCTTTAACCTCTTTAACCAAAATGTCATTGGAATCTTCTGGTTTTATAATAATATTCATTATTATATTCTGGCATGCCTGTGCAGATAGGGTTTTGTTCAGTGAATAATTCCTTTTGAGCCACATATGGCAGAGAGAGTACCATACCAGGTACCAGGATACCAGGAAGGAGGACCAAAGAAGAGTCTTTGCCTTCGAGAAGATTGTTTTTAAAGCTTTTCATCTTTTTTAGTAAGTTGGGATTCCATTCATCTGCCTAAGAAGGATGAAAGGATTATCTTTGTTTTTATTGGCAGGAATGAGGGGTGAAGTAGGGGAGTTCAACATCTATTTTTTGCAAATAAAGTAATATGCTTTAGAGTAGCCAGATCCTTTGGGCTTTGATCACTGTTAGAGCATAGCCAAGCGTACTAACGCAATATGGAACCAGATGCTAGAAAGACATTTAAAAGGCCATGTATCTTAAGTAGTTTATGTAGCAGGATTTTTCCCCCTCTACCTCTTGAGCCAATAAATCCATTCTATCTAATTTGACCACCACTAATTAATTAGTTCAGATGTAAATTAAAGGAAGTTATTATTTGGCTGTTGAAAGATTTTTATGTATGACTACATCATTTTCTCATGTTTTGATGAATATTTAGAATCCCAATCTTATATTTTTTTTCCTTAAAAAATCTTGCTACAAATCTTGTAATAGCTGAAGTGCATGTTTTAGGAAGGCAGGGAGCACCTTTAGTTTAATGGTATGTGATGGTGGCAAGAATGTTAACCCAAAGCTTTGCTTATGGTGGGGGTGGGATTGGGGTCTAAGCCTGATGTCACTGAGCAAACACATACATGGCTTCAATGTACATGATGACAAATGAGTCTTAATTACATGAATACAGATAGTAAGCTTATACTGTGCGTGGTTTGTGACATGCCTGAAAACATGAGTGTATTGAGTAGATGAAGACTAAATCATTAACAGTCAACCATTGTGCTCCTTGAATTCTTTTTTCCTTAAAAAACAATTTTTTAAGGGGATTAACACATCTGGTTTTGTGTTGAAATATCTCTTAACGAAAATTTATGGTCTTGAAATAAAGACCAGGGTGAGAAAAAGGAGTCATCTATTTTTTCTTATTGGCTAATTTATTAATAGCCCCATGGAAGGACATATGACCATCTTACCTAAATTGATGTTTTCTTAGTTGTGTGGCAGTGTATATTTTTGAGCCCCGAGACTACCAAACAGAAAAAAATACATTTGGAAGTAAAAACCACCCTTTGGATATTTATATTAGTTCAGAGTCTTCTTTGCAAGAAGCAGAAACTGACTCTAACACATAGAGGAAAGGGTTGATCGAAAAGATGTTGAGAAAAGCACAGACTTGACAAGGAGCCTGGAGAACCAGGCTTGGAAAATGGGCAGGCATTCCTAAAATGTGGCTATACTCTGGCTCTGCCTTTGAAGCTGCGCCACCAGAAATACCATTTGGGGTTCTGGTCATGCTTTTTCTTCTCTTCCAAATGACATGGACCATAGCTAGCAATCTGCTGGCTCATAAAACTCTTATCTACTGGTTAAGGACCTCAACCAGTCCCCACTTCAGATTTCTAAACACTACGCTTCATCTCATTACCAAGGGGAACCTTGAAGTCTTCAACCTAGCTCTTGCTCTCAACTTTTTCTTAGTCTTTTTACTTTTTCCATTATATTCTTTGATATATTTGAGAAAATGGCTTGCTTTTAAAAAGTGTCTCCAAAGGTTTGGCAAAAAAAAAAAAAAAAAATGCTTCCTTCTGAAGTCAAAGAGGAAAAGTACTGAGGCCCTGTAGACTCTACAGTGGAACAGCCACTATGACATGAGTAATAAAATCCTCTGAGGGCTTTGAGGCACCAGCTCTCCCAGGCTGCTGGGAGGTGCACCTGGAATTCATCAGGATTTCGGATCAATTATAACTGTATTCTCATCTGCTTCTGTAATGACAGCATCTGGCTTTAGCAAAAAAGCCTGAGTTTGGTTATTAAAGGCTCAACTCCCTCCCACTTTTGACCTTCCAGTACAGAAAGATGGAGCCTTGTTGAATGAGTCACTCGAGGCCACCAGCACTCTTGTGCACAGCACTCTTGGCAGTAGTTGTTCTTTTTTCTGCCTGTTGCTAGAAGGCTTCCTAAGAAAGCTGATGTGTGGTTTAGCTACTGGGCATCTGAAGGCACTCGTGCTACACATTATTAAGTTGAACTAAGAAAGCCTGTCAAGTTTTATTTATAGTGGACCAAATTGGGCAGGAAGGAGAGTGAAGATTTTGGTGTGCTTCCAGCATCCCTCTGAGTTTAATCCCATGTAATCTAACCTCCCAAGCATTTGAGGGTATAGGATTGTAAATCTAGCATGAGACCATCCAGATAACTTCCTAAGTGGTAAAGTAAGGGTACTCACATTTTTCAGTCTCTCATTGAACTATAAGCAATGTATTCTCTCAAGTCTCAAACTGTAGGAGCCACAGCCGTAGAGCATGTATGTATTTCATGGTATCAGGCCAGAATTAGATTGATCTAATTAACCAAGATTCTTCTTGACTGGTCCTCCTCCTTAGCATTAGGAAGCAAAGTCCTAGTCTTAATGTGGTGTTAGTGCTGCTGAGTAACTTTTTTTGTCTGTTTATCAACTGTTGCAATTTTTTGCTGTGGATACGAAAGTACCCCACACTTCATTTTTTTAGGCTCCTGGCTTCTGTGGGTCAGGAAGCCAGGCTGGCATGGCAGGGATTGTCTCTTCTTTGTTTTGTCTGGGGCCTCATCAGGGAAGACCTGATTGACTGGGGATGCCAGTCCATCTGGAGGCTGTTTCACCCACATACCTAGTTTTTGAGCTATGATACCTCTCAAGGACTGGGCCCAGCTGGGACTATCAACCAGAGAGCCTCCATGTAGAACTCCACGTGGCTTGGGCTTCTCACAGCATAGCATCTGGCTTCTGAGGGAGAGTGCCCCAGGAAGGAGCATCTGAAGAGCCACCATTCAAAGAGCCAGAGGCTGCTGAGTGTCTTCTGAGCTGGTCTTAGAAGCCGTGTAGTGGTCACTTCTGCCATGTTATCTGGGTTCCCAGTGAGGCCCTGAGCCCAACCCGGATGCAAGGGGAAGGCAATGGCTTCTCTTCTTGATGATTGGCCGTCGGGTTACTGTGCAGAACATGTGGGGTGGGAGAGAGAGCTGTGGGCTCATACCATTGTAGTCTGTATACCTCAGTAAGTCTCGTACCTCAGTAACTGTATGAGATTTACCAAAATGTTTATTGTTATTCGTCTTTCATTTTCTCCCTCTTCTTTACTCAATCCAATACTTGGTTTTTCCTTTTGACTGAAAACTTTATAAACTTTTTGATTGGAGATAAAAAAGATAGTTTTTAATTCTTTCATGTGAATCTACTATGGGCAAATGATATTGTGAGAGCCTTCCCTAGAGAAAGGAGCCATTTTCATAGGATGTCCAAGTTTATTTTCTGGTAATGAACTAGTTATTTCTTTACCATTAGTGTCTTTAACATCTGGTTAAGGGAATGAAGGCTGGTATCCTCCTGATTGTTAAGGGATGAGTCATACTCACTTACTGAAAAAAATGTGAGTGCTTTCTATGTGTCAGAAACATTGATAAATATTGGAATATGAAAATGAATCAGACATATGCCCTGCCTTTAAAAGAGAGCCTCCCAGGCTAGTTGAGGAAGCAGATAAATACTTCGACAGTTGTAATACCAGGCTTTATAAAGGTAATTGCAAGATGCTCTGCAAAGAAGAGGAACAGCTGACCAAGACAAAGTAGGGCTGGAGGCAGATGGGGAAAGAGCTCTCAAGGAGGCTCCTTATAGGAGAGGGTGCCTGAACAGAGTTTAGGGTGAACAAGGTTAACCAGGTGTATTCCTTTCCCATTGCTGCTGTAACAAATGACTACAAACTTAGTGGCTTAAACCAACACCAGTTTATTATTCTACAGTTCTGTAGACCAGAAGAATAAAATGAGTGTATAGGGTGGTAATCTCTGAAGGCTCCAGGAGAGATTTCATTTCCTTGGCCTTGTCAGCTTCCAGAGGCCACTTAGATTCTTTGGCTTCCAGCCCCTTCCTCCAGCTTTAAAGCCAACAACATAGCATCTTGTCTCTGTCTCTCTGCTTCTCTTGACACATTGCCTTTTCTCTCTGACTTCTCTGTCCTTCTTCCTTTAAGGACCCTTGTGATGACATTGGGCCCATCCATAATAATCTAAGACAGTCTCCCCTCCTGAAGTCCCTTAATTTGATCATACCTTTGCAGATATCATCATACCTTTGCAGATATGATCAAATTAAGGAACTTCAGATGGGGAGATTATCTTTTTATTGTATAAGGCAGCATAGTCAACAGGATCAGGAATTAGCATGTGGACATCCTGGCGGGTAGGAGGAACACATCATTCAGCCTGTCACACCAGATAAAAAGGAGTGAGGATGTCATTTTATACCAAGAAGGTAGTATTTTAATAAAGCTTCAAGGACTTTAGTTTGCCCCGAATCTCCAGTTTTAAAGAGCTTAGGGCATGGGAAGAGAAAAATTGGGATAGGAAATTAAAGGGAGATCAGAAAAGGCCCCCTTGCTTATCCCAGGCTCTTCATAGTGCCACACAGCCTAAAGGGAGCAAATATGCTCCCCAGTCACATTGGCTGTTTAGATTGACTCTATTAATAAAGAATTTGCTCATATGTTTTGTTCTGAAAGTCAATTAACAGTGGGCTCAGCATGCAGTTGCTTTGATAGAGCAGGGTGTGTTTGGGGTCTGAGATTTGTTTCAGAAATCTTACCATTCATATTTCTCATTCCTTGGGCTCCTTTCTCCACCGAGAGTCATCTGCTTCATCAGCTGCCGTATTCATTTACTTATCACGTCTTCAGGACTGCCCTTTTTTGGTGGTCCTGGGGGAGCTTAAAAAAAAAAAAAAGAGGAAGTACAGCAGGGTAACAGTGCCCAGAGCCAGACCAGATTGTCACATTATCTGTTGTACAAATGTAGAGATGCTTTGCTTCACAACTTGACTTTAATTAGACCCCTTCTGCTCCACGCAAGCCTGAGTACAATTTTATGCAATAGGGAACCTCATCCTCTATTTTAAATGTAGCAGCCACTTAAAAAAACAAACAAAAAAAACAACAAAAAAAAACCCAGGGTGTTAGGGTGTTGCTGCCGTGTTATTTCTATTCCTATAAAAATGCCGCTTCTAAAATGCATGCCCTTTGCCAACTATAAAAGTTGGCATATGTGCCCTTATTTCATATTCTTGGAAGATAACGAGGAGAACCCCAAGAGAAAGCAGTGAGAGCTGAGTGTTATTTTAAACCCTGCAGAACTTGAGACAGAGACTGGTACTGTTCCCTAAACATGAGCTTTCACTTGGGAAGTATTTCTTTGACGTTTTGATATTGTCTGGTTTAAGGTACAGAAGGACACTATGAAGCACTCTGCTGTGAGCTGATCAGAAAATCGGAGTCAAAACTATGACAGCTTTGGCAATATCACCAACTCTAAAAAGCATTTGAATGGAAGTTTTCAGTCTCCGGGCAGGATTTGATTGCCATTCTGGCATTTATTTCGTGAAAGGCCTATTTAAGGATCTTCTTGGTTTGCTCTTCCTGTGTAAAGGAGCTGCTTCCCTGCTCTTCTACTCCCTCACTCCTGGACCTCCTGGGCTCAAGTGGTCCTCCCACCTCAGCCTCCTGAGTAGCTGGGACTACAGGCATGTACCACCACACCTGGCTTTATACATATATATATATATATATATATATATATATATATATATATATATGTATATGTATATGTATATATATATACATATACATATATATATACATATACATACATATACATATATATATATATAATTTCTTGTGGAGACAAGATCTTGCTATGTTGCCCAGGCTCATTTTGAACTCCTGGCCTTAAGCAGTCCTCCTACCTTGACCTCTCAGAGTTCTAGGATTACAAGTGTGGGCCACCATGTCTGGCCTTCTAGCTGCTTTTTAAAGTAGTTTTATATTGAGTAAAAATAAAAATTATTGTTTTTATGTGTCATGGAATTCTTGATTATAGCTTATTTTAGCAGTTATTTAGTCCAGTACTAAGCCCTACACACAGGGTTATATTAACCGTCTTATTAAATAAGCATGTGTGGCTCACGCCTGTAATCCCAGCACTTTGGGAGGCCAAGGCAGGCGGATCACCTGAGGTCAGTAGTTCGAGACCAGCCTGGCCAAGATGGTGAAACCCTGTCTCTACTAAAAATACAAAAAATTAGCTGGGTGGCATGTGCCTGTAGTCCCAGCTACTCGGGAGGCTGAGGCAGGAGAATCGCTTGAACCTGGGAGGCAGAGGTTGCAGTGAGTCGAGATCGCACCACTGCATTCCAGCCTAGGTGACAGAGTAAGACTCTGTCTTTAAAAAAAAAAAACCTGTAGGTTCAACTATAGCTGTTCAAATAGTTATGAAGTGCTGGATATGTTAACCAGGAAGAAGGATAAGATAAATCATATATAAATAATATATATGTGTATCAGTGTGTATGCATGTTTGTCTGTATATTTGTACATTAAATATATGTGTGTGTATAATAGGAGTAAGTGTAAAGATATATGTGTGCACAGTAATAAGCCCTAAAAGGAAGCAAATGAGAGGATTTGGAGTGGCACTGGGACAACTCCTTTGTGTGTGTTTATTTCTGTTGCTTGGACTGTTTGGTAAGTAATAATCCCTCACGTGGCTAGACTATCCCTCTTGTGCAGAGTTAGATTTTCCCTCTGATAACTTTTTTTTTTTTTTTTTTTTTTTTTTTTTTTTTTTTTTTTTTTTGAGACAGCATCTCACTCTGTCACCACCCAGGCTGGGGTGCAGTGGCGCGATCTCAGCTCACTGCAACCTCCGTCTCCCGGGTTCAAGCGATTCTCCTGCCTCAGCTCCCGAGTAGCTGGGACTACAGGCGAGTGCCACCACGCCTGGCTAATTTTTTTGTATTTTTAGTAGAGATGGGGTTTCACCATATTGGCCAGACTGGTCTCGAACTCCTGACTTCGTGATCCGCCCACCTTGGCTTCCCAAAGTGCTAGGATTACAGGCGTGAGCCACTGCGCCCGGCCTCCCTCTGGTAATATTTTATATGGCTAGATTTGTCTTTTCTAAAGATGCTCAGTTATCTTTTGTGTAACATCTCTCCAGACTACCACCTTTTCTTCAAAACTGTGAAACAGAATCAGAACTGTTTGGAATTGCCAGCAGACTGTTGAGCAAATATACTTTTTACAGTGACCCCGTTACAGGGTTAGGGGAGTTTGTTAGAAAATAAAAGGTTTCAGGCCAGGCGCAACGGCTCATGCCGGTAATCCCAGCGCCCTGGGACACCAAGGTGGAAGGACTGCTATAGCCTGGGAGTTCACAATTAGCATGAGCAACATGGTAAGACCCTGCCTCTACAGAAAATACAAAAATTAGCCAGGCATGTTGGTGCACGCTTGTGGTCCCCGGTACTCAGGAGGCTGAAGCCAGAGGATTGCTTGGGTCTAGGGGGTCAAGACTGCGGTGAGCCGTGATCACACCGCTGCACTCCAGCCTGGGCGACACAGCGAGAACCTGTCTCTAAAGAAAAGATAAGGCAGCCAGGTGCGGTGGCTAACGCCTGTAATCCCAAAACTTTGGGAGGCTGAGGCAGGTGATCACAAGGTCTGGAGTTAGAGACCATCTTGGCCAACGTGGTGAAACCCCTTCTCTACTAAAAATACAAAAAATAAGCCGGGTGTGGTGGCACGTGCCTGTAGTCCCAGCTACTCAGGAGGCTGAGGCAGGAGAATCGCTTGAACCCGGGAGGCAGAGGTTGCAGTGAGCCTAGATCGCGCCACTGCACTCCAGCCTGGTGGCAGAGCGAGACTTCGTCTCAAAAAAAAAGAAAAGATAACTCATGATTTCCGTGCCACAGAAGTTTGTATTGCCTTGAGAAAGGTAGGACTGACTTTAATAGGTATTTAGTTGAGGACCAAATATACACTAAGGTCAACACTAGGAGGACAGTAATTTAAAACTTTAAGAATTGTGCATGTATTTATATTTTTATACCTAATTGTAATTTAAACCAAAATGTTAGGTGTTATTGACAATGAATGTGTGTATTGAGCTTGACTCTCTATGTGAGTCAAGTTCAAATTTCATTTGAAATTTAAACTCTTGTAAAACATAAGCACATTTTTTATTGATGTGGGGGTCTCTCGTCAATAAGGGCTTTGTTTGTTGGTTTCTTTTAAACCAGCAATTCTCTTCAGAAAGAAAGCATGAGCAGAGTTCAGAATCAATTCCATTTTCTTCTTTATTGTCAACATTAGTGTATTTATGTCATGTACATAAAAAGGCATATACATATGCAGAAATAGTAAGGCTACTATTAGTTAATTTTCTATTTAATAAAAAATTTGTTTGTTTATTGTTTCCTTAGTGCTGGCAGACTAGTATATATTATTTTGTTAATTCTTAGATGCACCATCTGAGGTAGGAACATAGAGGGAGAGCTCAGAGCAAATGGGCCTACTGACGTCTCTAGTAAATGGCAACTCTGGGATTTTTACACAGATCCATTTAACTCAGAGTTCATATACAGCCTTACATAACATGTCTCACATTCCAGGCACTTTCCACACATGTTCGTATATTGTCCTCAATTTTCCACCGAAAAGCAAACCTAATGGGAATGGTTAGAGATTGGATAGATTATTGGGGTGTTTAAAATTACTGGTAAAATTCAGAACAGACCATACTGTTTGTACAGGGCCCAGTGGGAGAAGTGGGTAGGTCCTGAGCAGGGTGATCAGGAAGGGAAGAGACCTGATTTGATGGAGAGAATTCTGGGAGCAGAGAGATTGGCATGAAATCTGTCTCAAAGGCAGCATAAGTCAGAATATATTTGTTCTTTAACCAGGAAAAATATCTGACCAGGGTCCATGTTACAGAACAAAACATGGCAAGAGGCAGGCATGAATGAGGTTCTGAGGAAACAGTGGTGGAGAGACTGGAAACCTGTGATTAAAACAAACAAACAAACAAACAAACACCTCAACTAGAAGATAGATACAAATAGAAGGGAAAAAAGAGAAAGGGAAGAAATTCACAGTTACATAATACTTTACAGTTTAGAAAATGCTATATATATATATTGCATTTGATTCTGTGGAAATCTGCAAAAAGCCTTTTATGTAATTTGGATAAAACTTTAGGAGTATTGTGTAGCTCTGCAGAAAATACAGTAGAGGGGAGAGATGCTGGAGTCTGGAAGACAGGTGGTTCAGTTGTCAAATGACTCAGCCTTGGACCCAGTTTGTGGCCATGGCAATGAATATGAAGCCAAAAAATGAAAGAAAAGGCAATAAGAGATAGGGTGATCCACCGAATATGAGAATGGACACGAGGAGAATAAGAATCTGTTCAAATAATATACACTTAATGAAGAGGAAAGTAGCCCAACTATAGTCAACAAATACAATCTGGGGATTTCTTTTTTCAGGCAAAGAAAATAAAACTTTTTTTTTAATTTATTTTTTTAGTGGGGGTGTAATGCCCGAGGTCAGATTCTTAGCTGTGCAATGAAGGTAATGAATGAGAGAACAAGTTTAAACAGAGGTGACTAGGGAGAGAGAGAGAGAGAGAGAGAGTGTGTGTGTGTGTGTGTGTGTGTGTGTGTGTGTGTGTGTGTGAGAGAGAGAGAGAGAGAGAGAGAGCGAGAGAGAGCCAAATGGGGATTGTAACTAAGTAACTAAGGAGGAAAACTCCCCCACAGGGACCCCAGTCCAGAAGGAAAAGAGTGAAGAGACAAGGTTAGAATGGGCTAGAAGGATGCTCAGAAGAGACCAGCACAGTACAAAGGGGAAGGTGGTCAAGAGGATGAGAGGATTCCTGGTGGGTCTGGTATATTGTGATGTAAGTTTTTGCTTTAGGTGAGAAGTTAGTCAAGTGGTTTTTATATATCTTCCAAGTCTACAATTTTATGATTCTATATAAAACTTTGTGTACACATGCCTATGTATGTAACATGTATTGTGTGTACCTATTCAAATAGTTCCCTCTAAGAAAGATTAAGTGCTTCTTTGACTGCAGATATGAAAACAAGGTACCTAGATAATAAAATGATAGGTGCTTTCATTTTTCAAACAAGAACAAAAACTGACATGTTTGAGGCCAGTTGGCAGGAGAGCAACAATCCTAAAAGAGATCACTATGACTGCAGACAGTATTGTGACTTCCGGCCTAAGTTCCCTTTTATGACTACTTGGAAGGTGGCTGCGTCAATCCCTTGGCTCAAGTTTCATTTCAAAAATCTGCCATGTGTCTAAGGACGTCGCTGTTTCCCTAGACTGAGAGTGAGCTGGCTGTGCTGGCCATGCTGTTAGTACCACCGCACGAGGTACTGTTGAGGACTTGTCTGTGGAAGAAGCATCCCTGGCTTGTGTAGCTTTTGAAAGATGGAGCTTTTGAGTCTTGATTTAAGCTTTTAGTTTCCCAGCTCCCCTGTCCTACCCCAAACTGTTCTGCCCACTGCAGCTCAACAGCCATTCTTTATTCCTTTCAACACAGTGGTATATGTGGCTACTGCCCAGCTCTTTAATTCTATGTATCAGTCTGCCAAGAATATATAGTCAGACTCGGTTTTCATTCACAATTGACTGAAACACACTCACTAGAAGAAAATAGCCCAGTGGTTCCTACTTATGGTCCAACAGTCACTGTCAGTCACCCTTCATCTTGCAGTTGAGCTCTCTGACAAGATGTTCCCCGCAAACTCTGCGTCACAGGGGAGTGGAAATGGCCAGTCATGGTAACATGAGCTTTAGGCTCTGTGTTGTTTTGGCAGTTTGGTTTTGGCAGTGGAAAATAAGGGCTCCTTCCCTGCCAATAACTGTACTAGCAACACATGTGATATCCCAGATTTACTGGTTCACCACCAAGAACAACACTGAATTTTTCATTTCATTTTCAACTATTTTCCAGGAATAGATGTAAAATTAGTAAATGGTGCTTTCTATGTGGAACGTGTCAAGAACATGTTTAGCACATTGGTAAAAGATAATGATCTTTTTGTTCCTTGTGTATTTGTTCATGATTGATTGATTGATTTGATTGTTGTTGCTTTTGAGGCAGAGTCTTGCTCTTGTCACCTAGGCTGGAGTGCAGTGGCGCAATCTCGGCTCACTGCAACCTCCACCTCCCGAGTTCAGGCAGTTCTCATGCCTCAGGCTCCTGAGTAGTTGGGACTACAGACACGCCACCACGCCCAGCTAATTTTTGTATTTTTAGTAGAGACGGGGTTTTGCCATGTTGGCCAGGCTGGTCTCGAACTCCTGACCTCAAGTGATCTGCCTGCCTTGGCCTCCCAAAGTGCTAAGATTACAGGCATGAGCCACCATGCCCGGCCCATGATTGTTTGATATTATGGTGTCAGGCGTCCCAGACAAATTTGTTTACTTGGGTGGATTCATTCAGTATGAATTTCTGAACTTTGAGGAATGTGTGTTCTATATATTTTTTTTCCCATGCGGAGGAGATCTCTTTCTGTCCCTTTCCCATATTCTTGCTTGAAATCTAACATTCACCTGGCTTTGGGAAAAGAACATCTTCTAGCCTTATAATGAGTCTAATGTGACAGAGTGGGTACATCCCAGAGATAATCAGAGAACAGTTAGGGGCTGTTTCCATCCAACCTGATAAGTACCAGGGATTGTACCTGGCCTTATTAAACAGAAGAATTGCAAGGAAGTCTTTTTTTTTTTTTTTTTTTAGACCAAGTCTCACTCTGCTGCCCAATCTGGAGTGCAGTGGCACCATCTCGGCTCACTGCAACCTCCTCCTCTCAGGTTTAAGCGATTCTCCCGCCTCTGCCTCCAGAACGGCTGGGATTATAGGCATGTGCCACAACGCCTGGGTGATTTTTTTTTTTTTAGTAGAGATGGGGTTTTGCCATATTGGCCAGGCTGGTCTTGAACTCCTGACCTCAAGTGATCCGCCCACCTCGGCCTCCCGCAGTGCTGAAATTACAGGCATGAGCCACTGAGCCCGGCTGTCTTTTTTTTCTACCTTGGAAAATGGTGGAGGGCTCCTTTCTATATGAAGACACTATTGGTCTCTGTGTGATGTGGCTTCATTTTTATGCAGAGATGGTACATTTAGTAGTTCTTTGTATGGTATGGTTGATTCCCAAACAATCTTGCAAGGAATTTTACTATTAGTTATCCATTTATTTGCTTCTTTAGATTTTAGGTTTAAGAATCCATCATCTTTGTAGAAATAGAGGCTATTCTGTAATCCAGTAGTTTCCAACTTTTGGCCCCTGGAGCCCTTTTTATGCTCTTAAAAATCACTGAGGTCCCTAAAGAGCTTTTGTTTATGCAAGTTATATGTTGATATTTTCCATATTAGAAATTACAACAAAATTTCAGGCCAGGCATGGTGGCTCACGTTTGTAATCTCAGCACTTAGGGAGATTGACTCGTAGAAGATAGCTGCATTCTTAGATCTGCTTCTGCGTTTAGTCACTTCTGCTGTTGTTTTTGTTGAAGTAGATGAAGAAAATTTAGCCTCACACAGATATGTAGATGAAATAGAATTATGTCAACAGCATTTTCAGATAATAGTGGGCATTCTTCTTTGATACTATACAAACACTAGACAAGTAGTAATTTCTTAAAGGTTAGTCACAAAGTAGAATCCGAAATCGTATCGATGAACTTTTTCCATACTGTTGCATTAAAATCTATTTGCCTATATTGCACCTTGAATGAATTTATAAATTTGTAACAACATTCAGTGATCATTGGGAAAATAATGGTACACTGAGTTATCTAGATCTTCTAATAATTGGCACATTTCCTAATATACTATTTTAACAAATCACATGCATTATTTTTACCTCCAATCTCATTAGAAAATTCTTTAAATACTGGGAAGCAGTCAGACTCCTCGTGGTGGGTACAGTTTTCATGTGTTTGCTTAATTTTTATCATTGATAACAAATATTGTCAGCTGTTATCTTTAAATTAAAAGGTGCACTTTGTTCATTTTCAAGAAAATACCTGCCAAGTGCATAAGTCTGAATTTGTCAGTCATGCTTTCAAGTAAGAACAAAGAGTGGCTAGTTCATCTTGCAACTGAAATAATCACAGAAATGCTTTTTCCTCAAGACAACCATACTTCAATATGCGGCAGAAATGCTTTATGCAGACTCCCCATTTCATCATCTAGAGTATCATAAAGATGTGTATCTAGGGGTTGAGATGTATAAAATTAATACCTTTTACTGCTTCATCAATGATATTCTTAAGTGAAACTGGCTTTTTAAAACTGAGAATGCGTGGCTGTGGTGAATACAGGGATTACTGGTATAATTTGGTGCACTGCCTTGATGCATGCTATGGCACTGGCAGTATTCACTCATTGTTCCTTTTGTGCCACCAGTGCCAACTGCCAACTCTGTGAAAGTATTAAGTAACATCTTAGTAGTATTATACAAATAATGCTGCCCTCACAAACCTCATAAAAGGGCCTAAAGTACCCTTGGTGTTCAAGGACCACACTTTAAGAACTGGTACCCAAATCCATTCTCTGCTGTCATCTTGGGCTGGGTGGAAGTGGTTCCAATTGGCTAAGCGCAAAATCCTTCTGCTTAAGACCCAGAGGTGACTGTGGGTGTTAGGGTGAACTTGGGGAAAAGCAAAGATGAAAGTAGAAGGGTTGGGAAATGAGAGAAGCGAGCTGTAGACAAACTGCAGGCATTTGCCTGTTGTTGGCCTGAGATATTTGGTCTATCCAAGAGTCCCTGTCTTCAAGGTCTCTGCATTCATGGCACACCATGCACTGATTAGATTTGTAGTGATTTAGGTGTGAGGAGAGCATGGGCTGATAGCTGCCTCTTGCGCAGGCCCCAAGATCTGAAATTGCTGCAGGCTTTAGACAGCTCTAGCCACGTGCTCTTGCTGTGGTTTAGAGAACATGCGATAACCCCTAGAGATGTCATTGTGTCCCTTCCCTTGCTCAGCTTGACCTAATTGGATATGCTCAAAGGATGAAGCTGTGAAGAGAAATGATTGAAAATAAAGAACAGTGTTAGGCTCCTTCAACTTTGAGGGGTCTGACTGGTAAGTCATCCCAGAGAGGACTGAAGGCCTTTGTCATGTAATCCTCAGGTGGCTATTTAAATACCATTCTCAGGCTGGGTGCGGTGGCTCATGCCTGTAATCCCAGCACTTTGGGAGGCTGCGGTGGGTGGATCACTTGAGGCCAGGAGTTCAAGACCAGCCTGGCCAACATGGCGAAACCCCGTTTCTACTAAAAATACAAAAATTACCCAGGCCTGGTGGCATGTGCCTTTAATCCCAGCTACTCAGGAGGCTGAGGCAGGAGAATTGCTTGAAACCCGGGAGGTAGAGATTGCAATGAGCCAAGATTGCGCCACTGCACTCCAGCCTGGGTGACAGAGCGAGACTCTGTCTCAATCAGTCAGTCAGTAAATATCATTCTTTATTGAAGAAATGGAAGGTATTTTGGCTTTCTAGTAGAAATGGGGGTGTATTAGGGCTCTCCAGAGAAACAGAGACAACAGGACATCTATAGATATATCTGAAGATATAAGAGGAAACATTATGGGAATTGCTCACGTGGTTATGGAGGTAGAGAAGTTCCATGCTACGCATCTGTAAGCTGGAAATCCAGAAAAGCTAGGGTGTCATTCAGCTCAAGTCTGAAGGCCTGAGAAGTAAGAGCAAGTGGTGTAAGTTATGGAGTCTGAAGGCCTGAGAACCAAGAGCTCCATTGTCCAAGGGCAGGGGAAGAAGATGGATGTCCCAGCTCAAGATGAGAGAGAATTCACCCTTCCTCCAAATTCTTTTTGTTCTGTTTGGGCCCTCAGTGGATTGGAGACGCCCAGCCACATTGGAGAGGGACGTCTTCTTTACTCACTGTCACAGACACACCCAGAAATATTTCACCAGCTCTTGGACATCACTTCACCGTCTCAAGTTGACGCATAAAGTTAACCATTACAAGTAGCCTTGAAAGACTCTATGTGTCCTTCCTAATGACCAGGAGATGTGAGTCTTGCATTGAAGCTAGAGAGGTTCAGGCTGGACTTGAAGCATATTTCGGAAAGAGATCATTTATGACCTATTGTAAGGAGGAGTTTTACTCTCTAGAATTTATTGAAGGTCATCTTTTTTTTTTTTTTTTTTTTTTTTTTTTTTTTAGAGAGGTAGTAAAAAGACATTTCTCATTGAAGGGGTGATGCGTCAATGAGTCGTCCTTTGGGGATTTTACGATCCTTTTGCTTCTGTCTTTGGGTTCTTTATTCAGTACAGCAAAATATGGGTGTGGAAAGTAAGACAGTCATCTGGCTGCTCTGTGTGCCTCCTGCCAAACATCTGGATATCTGGAAACACCTGGAAAAGTTACTGAAGTTTTCACAAGGGTGTTTAGCATTATGCGAATGAAACCTCAGGCTCATAGTCATCTCCTGGTCCAGGATTGATACAAATGTTGTATTTATGAAGGAGGAGAGTTGACTAGGTTATAGAATACATTTAGTTGCTTAGCTTTCATTAGTTTTTGTTTTAGCGGAGTGAGATAAGGTTGTTCAGTTTCAGAGCATTTCAGCTGGATGAACATATTCACAGTTAAATCCCAAGGAGACATGAGAGCCAGCAGCAGGTTGGAGTGATCTGCTTCTGTCATGGCTGCTGCATGGTGTATGTGTATGAAATGTCCAATCACTTCAAGAGACAACAATAACAGACCATTGACAGCCACAGAACACCCCAGAAAAGTGGTTTTGTCAGGCCATTATGGCCCTCATATAGCCCTCAGACTGCTGGTGCACTCAGTAGATGGTAAAAGATGGTTTTCACCTAGGACTAACTATGAAATAACTGTTTACTTCACAAGGCCCTGAAAAGAAAACAGAACTTTTGTTCTCAGGCAGGCCCCGAGAAGGGTCGTCTAATCAGTCATAATAGAGTGTGCCTCTAAAACGGTGCCTTCCTGCAGGGAGCCTTGCAGATCACAGGGGCCTATTGTAAGAGGAGAAAAAGAAAGTATTGAGGCAGGCGCCAGGCAACAAGGCAAGAAGGAAACACTTAAGCAAAGGGCCTTTAATTTTTATATAACTAACCCAGAAGCATATTTTATAGCCATCTCATAAGAGTCAGGCCTCAATTTGGCTACAGACTTTGCATGGTTCCCTGGGAGCTGTTGCTGGGGAAAGCCAGAGACTGTTACTCACCTTGAAGAGGGACAGAGAGGTGGCTGAAGTCTGGGAGTGTGTTCACTTCAACATCTGGCTGGCAAGATAATACCCAAGGTTTTTGTAAAACCATCTCCTCTCCACTATTAGCCTTTAGGGAAAGCATCCCCTAACCGCCGCCCACCCTTTGAGATGCTTTAAACTATAGCCACCTTTGCCTCCAGGGTCCCAGATTGATCCAAATGGTTTGGGACACTGTTCACAAATGTCTTTCACAGATGTTGGAGAGCATAGTTGGAGCTTTTTTTTTTTGGCAGAAGTTTTGCTTTTGCTTCAATTCTCCTTTACATGAAAATGAATCTTGCTTGTCCTGGGAGTGGCCCACGTTATCTGTGCAGGGTATGGGATTTCATAGCTTCACAATCAGGAGTGAACCAGATGGGGCAAGAGAGTGGTTTGACCTTTATGTTTGGTATTCAGGGCCAGCACAGCCAAGTGCATTCCTCTGAATTTGTTTCTGTGGAGCTTCCATGCCAGTCAGCTTGGCCATATCATGTTCTATTGCCATGCTAGATGAGAATTTTAGACGTTCAAGAATACTGAGGGAGAGAATTTTTTTCAAATTTTTTATTTGCAATGAAACCTTTTTTTCCCCTCAAAAGCAATCTTATCAGACAACTAAGTAAGTATAAGAAAGAAGATCTGGATAGTGAGGGTAGAATTCTCAAGAACCTTACTTAGGCTTTCCCTTTCTCGGCCAAGCCCCTGACTTGGAATTCCCCCTTACTCCCAAAGCTCTGTAACCCATATAGTTTCTTCTCCTTTATTTCCTCTGTAACCCTGATGGCTTTCTTTCTTTTCTTTTCTTTTTTCTTTTTTTTTTTTTTTGAGATGGAGTCTCGCTCTGTCACCCAGGCTGGAGTGCAGTGGCACGATCTCGGCTAACTGCAACCTCCATCCCCCAGGTTCAAGCAATTCTCCTACCTCAGCCTCCTGAATAGCTGGGATTACAGGCGCCTGCCACGACGCCCAGCTAATTTTTGCATTTTTAGTAGAGACTGGTTTTCACTACCTTGGCCAGGCTAGTCTCGAACTCCTGACCTCAGGCAATCCGCCCACCTTGGCCTCCCAAAGTGCTGGGATTACAGGCATGAGCCACCGCGCCGGCCGATTGCTTTCTTAAAGTATGGCTTGCAAACCAGTAGTATTATCTAAGGCTCTCTTTTCTTTTCTTTTCTTTCTTTTTTTTTTTTTTTTGAGACAGAGTCTCACTCTGTCACCCAGGCTAGAGTGCAATGGTGTGACCTTGGCTCACTGGAACCTTCACCTCCCAGGTTCAAGTGATTCTCCTGCCTCAGCCTTCCTAATACGTGGGATTACAGGCGCCCGCCACCATGCCCAATTAATTTTTGTATTTCTAGTAGAAACGGGGTTTCACCCTGTTGGCCAGGCTGGTCTCAAACTCCTGACCTCAGGTGATCCACCTGTCTCGGCCTCCCAAAGTGCTGGGAGTACAGGTGTGAGCCACTGCACCTGGCCTAAGGCTCTCAACTTGATAGATGTGAAAACTGAAGTCCAGGGTTGTTTGCTGAATGGTCCAAGCTAACAACAGGGTAGTGGCTGAACTGTGACTTATAACCCAGGTTTTACAGTCTTGTCTAATGTGCCACATAGTCCCATTTCTACCCTTATAGCCCTTTACCCCCATCAGTCTTAGAGCTTGAAGGTGCAAAGAGAGGCAGTTGTATTAGGCAGGACCCCACAGGGATGGGCAGATAGGTGGCTGTGTTAGCAGACTGAAGTCTCTGGTCCAGGATTGGAGCCTGATCATTTTTACATTAACTGGGATCGTGAATTTATTCACTTGCAGCCGGTTTATAGATGATTTATAATGAAGATGCCTCTTGGTTTTCAGTAGGGTACATACTTTTCCAGGGCATATACTTTTATTTGTCTGCTGGTTTACTTAATTGCTGGTAGCCCCAGCTGCTAGCAGTAGTAGTCTAATTCCTGATAGGGCAGTCCAGTGCACAGAAGGGCTCCTTGCCGCTCTGCTCGGCTCAGTTTTTCTGTAGCTCTTAAACTTTCTCCCCACCCCACTTAATAGAGTACATGTTATTGATTTGGAAACTGGTATCAAAGCTGGTGGGAGAACGAGATATACCAGTGAATATAAAAGTCAAGAATGACACGTTTCAGCTGCAAGAATATAGCTTTTTTATTAAAAAGTTTTTGCACCGTGTATTATCTGGCCTTTGTGGGCAGATGGAAGTGATGCCCATCAATATAGAATGTGTAATGATGTACACGTGCAAATATGCTCCTGGCTCTTAGAAACGTTTTGATGAAGCGCTCGAGTTCATTCCCATGCAGGCCAATGCATGGATTCTGAAAATAACTGAAAATTAGTGTCTCGTTCCTTTCATCCTCACCGATTTTCTAAAGAGGCCACCGCAAAGGAGAGAGCATGTTCCACCATGATGGTCCTGTTTCACCCAGTGCGTGGGGGTGCTCCAGATGTGAGCAGTATGAACGAAGACAACTTTCCTTTGATGTGGGACACAACTTTTACCAACCTTCCCCAAACATATCTTCCTGTTTCCTGTGGGATTGTAGTGTACACTTGTTTAATGATTGCTAAAGTAATGGAGAAACAAATGTGAATCTGGCCTGCATGCTTCCTTTCCTTCCTCAGAAACAAAGTGGGGCTCTGGAATCCTTGCTGTGCCTGTGGAATGTGTCAGGAAACACAACCCTGAGTTCATTAGTTGAGATTGGCAGCAAAGCAGCCTTGGGTCTGGTGGAGCTGTGGTAGTAGGGGTCCTTCTAGTCCTTACCATGGAGAGTGGTCACTCTGTTGCTTTCAAGGTTTCCCAAAGCCGGCATTTGTATTCATAATGTCATTTTGTGCATTTGGGTTATTTTCGCCAAGTTCATAGCAGCTGTAAATAAGAAGATATTTAAGTCTGTTTTTTTTTTTTTTTTTAAGATTAGAGGTATTTCTCTGTTTTGTAACGCACATGTTCTCAGTAGGGATTTGTCTGTTGACAGAATGAGGGCTCTCTAAAGAAACACATATATTCAAGGCTCTTCTTAACATCTACTTCAGGTCTATCTGCCAGGCTAGTGATGTGTTTTTTGGGATCCTTATCCACCATGAAATCTAGTGTTGCTTGTTCTATATTTGATGCCATCTTTTAAAGTAACAGGCTATGAGTAGTTTGTTGCCGTCCACATGTGCTTTTCCAGCCATTCAAAACCTTTTTTTTCTAAGACCCAACATGCACCCCTTGATTATTTTTGGGTTACCTTATTATTCATTGCACTTATGCAGGGGCAGTGGGTCCATTCCTGCGGCATTCCTATGATATCCAATTATAGTAACTGTGTTTGTGTTGCTCAGTTAGAAGTTGAATGAGCTGGAGATTTAATGATCTAGTTAATCAGTTTATAATTGGTAATCAGAAAGACTGAGGGTTTAATCAGCCAGTGTGATATCATATGAGCCATTGGTTCCCAGATGCTGGTCCAACAACCACAAGTATTCACAGATTTCTAGGCCCATCTGGGGAGATTCTTATTCAGTATGTCTCAATATAGACTCTAGGAATCTATCATTTTTCGAGGTTCCATGGAAGTTTCTGGTGCAGGGATGTCAAAGTATGCATGGTATAATGACTATGTCTTTTAGTGATAATGTTTTTCATCTCTGTGTGTCTCAGATACTGCTGGAATGCCTTAACTACCTTCTTTAATGGAATATGTTTATATGGGCATTCTGGGCTATGTGGGAGAAGGAACCTCAGGCTGGCCATCGGGGACCTGGTTCTAGCCTTGGTTCTGCCACTCTCTCAACCTTTCATCAGGTTAGAGAAGTCTAATCTCTGTGTAGGTCTAATTCATAAATTGAGAGCATCAGATTATGCAAAAGGCATTTTTCAGCTTTCTAACATTCTTCGAAGAGCTTTGCCTCCCTAGGAATTGCTTTTGTTGTCACTGTTCACGAACAGCTGTTGCCTCATTTAGTTTAGCGTGTGCCTAGCCCCTCAACCAAACATGAATCACGGTCTGCTTCTCAGGAGAGCTGGTAGCTCTCCCCGAATTCAGGATGGCCTCTTTTCCTCTTCTGTTACTGCCACTACCAATCACCCACAACAAGACCAAAGTACACTGTTTTTTTTTTGAGACAGAGTCTCACTTTGTCGCCCAGGCTGGAATGCAGTGGTATGATCTCGGCTCACTGCAACCTCTGCCTTCTGGGTTCAAGCAATTCTCCTTCCACAGCCTCCCAAGTAGCTGGGATTACAGGTGCATGCCACCACTCCTGGCTAATTTTTGTATTTTTAGTACAGACGGGGTTTTACCATGTTGGCCAGGCTGGTCTCAAACTCCTGACCTCATGTTATCTGCCCACCTCGTCCTCCCAAAGTGCTGGGATTACAGGCGAGAACCACCGTGCCCAGCCTGTATTGGGGTTTCTGCTAAAGAAAATTCACATTGCAGTTCTGACCTTTCGTATAAAACCTCAGGGTTTTTTACCCACAGATCCCTTTTTGCAGGCAAGAGATGCTTGTCTCTTTGGGCGTAAGATGTGACTGATGTCATAGTCTAGGGAGCTGGGCCTGTACTGCCTCACCCCCTTCAACAAACCTTTCATTTCCAGGAACTTGCTGTAGATTGTCTAGGGGGGCCAGCTGAGGAGGGGGGCAGAACATGGTAACCCCTTAAATCTCTGGTTGTCAGCCATTGTGGAGCATCAAAATGATCCATAGTGCTTTTAAAATTGTGCATGCCCGTGTCCCCCCAGCACCACCTGGGCCAATTGAATCAGACTCTCCAGTGTGGGACTGGTCATGTGTGTGCGTCTGTGCGTGTGCGTGTGTGTGTGCGTGTGTGTGTGTGTATTTTTGAGACAGGGTCTTGCTCTGTTGCCCAGGCTGGTGTATGGCATGATCATGGCTCACTGCAGCCTCGACCTCATGGACTCAAAGTATCCTCCCACCTCAGTCTCCTGAGTAGCTGGGACTACAGGTGCGTGCCACTGCACCTGTCTGATTTTTTAATTTTTATTTTCAGTACAGACATGGTTTCATTATTTTGCCCAGGCCAGTCTTGAACTCTGGGGCTCAAGCGATCCTCCCGCTTTGGCCTCTCAAAGCCCTGGGATTACAGGTGTGAGCCACCATGTTAGGCCAATTTTAAAGACTTTACTTTAGACTCTACCTTCCATGCACTGTCCCTCTGCATTCTGAAATTATTTTTTGTTAAGTCAGGTATAAATAAATTTTCACGGAGAGTTGTCATGAAAATGCAGTAAATGGTGGTCTGAATCTGTTGGAAATACTGCTTTGAGACTAGGAGGCCCTCAGAGGCTGAAGGCTGTTCACTTTAACGTTCCCAGCGTATGGTTTAGAGATGGCCACCACTAAGGATTTACCCCCGGTGGTGCCTGTCTACCATGGTTTAATGCTTCATCATGGAGAACAGGAAGTCATTCATCGTTTTGTGAAGTGAATTTTAACATAATTACTCATTTATCTTCTATTCAGTGCAATTTAACAAATACGATTGGGAACTTACAATGTACTAAGCATTGATGTAGATGCTATGTAGTGAACTAAACAGAATTCCTGCCTTCGTGGGAATTTCTCTTCACCAAAATATATATATATTCACTTGGAGTTTCACACGACTGAATTAAATGGCTGCATTATGAAATAACATTTTAGAAGAATTTTTGAGGATTGACCTGAGTTATCCCTAAGATCACAAATGGAATCAGAAAATTTGGAGTTTAGCATGTGAAACCTGGATTAAATTAGCAAAATGTTAACCAAGGGACTGTGTCTTACTAATGCAGCAAATAGTCAGGAGTGGTTTGGAGAAATATTTTCTGAAGGTGAAATGAATAAACCAGTGGGTATAGGACTTTGCCCCAAAAAAGTCAACCAAGGACATTGACAGAATTAAAGTTTGTCCTTTGACTTTAAAAATAAGTCTTCAGAGCTGGGTATGGTGGTGCCTGCTTGTAGTCCCAGCTACTTGGGAAGCTGAGGCAGGAGGATTGCCTGAGCCCAGGAGGTTGAGACTGTAGTGAGCTATCATTGTGCTACCACATTCCAGCTTGGAATCTAAAATTTAAAAAAAAGAAAGAAAAAAAGTCCCCAGAGAGTCATTTGATAGAAATCTTTTTTGACTCTTTTTTTTTTTTTTTTTTTTTTTAGCTCCATGTATTTTATTTCATGTATATGCAAATACCTTTGGGCCCTGGAGTTACCAGTATTTTATGTTTGTTTCATCTGATCAATGAAAACATTAATTAGCTGAATGCATATGTTTCAGGATTCTGGGATGCTACTTCACAAATTACTGCAGATTTCTATACTCACCTTAAATGGGTTAATATAGCTTCCACGGTGTCTATTTCTGTATTGTAGTTTATGCACTGAGATTTTTTGATTCAGTTATACATATGAACATTTTAAATGTGCCTTTTAAAGAATTTAAATACTCATATCTTTTTGCATGTCTTTTTTCCTTTTTACAAAAGGAAGCTATGGTCGTTTTTTTTTTTTGTTTTTTTTTTTTTTTTTTACCATGACTGCATTCTTGGATTCCAAATGTATGCTAAAAAATTCGTGAGACTGCAAAGGCAACCAATGAAAGAAAAACACATTTGATATGGATTTCAAAATATCAAGAGAATCTGGAAAGGAAACCAAGATCAGCTTTTGGTTGCAGCTCATATGGCTGTTTGTGAGTTAACTAGCTTAGAAGGGAAGTAAATAGTTTATGAGAGAGAAAAAGATAGATATTCTGGAAATCATTATTAAGCTGAAATTTCTGCATCTAATTTTGGAATGTTTATGTTTAGAAAGTCACATGCACAATGAAAATGTGTGTTTCAGGTTTGTGGAGAAAAACAGCGCTTTGAGAAGTTGATGGAACATTTCAGGAATGAAGACAATAACATAGATTTTATGGTGAGTTATTTCAGTATTCAATAAAGCAAACTCAGTTTCAATACTTTTTTTCTAAATACACACACACACACACACACACACACACACACACACATATTTATATTACAAAGGACAGGGAATTGCAATTAATATGCTATAGATCCAATCTAGAATGTCCCTCTTAATCTGTATTTCTCTTTGATTTCCATTTTATTCCTTACATACACGGTATAGTAAAGACAAAAGTACTAATCATAGCAAATAAAGGGGAAGCCGTGCAGTTGGAAACAGCCATGCCTGGTGCAAATGCTGCCATTGTTTAATTGTTGATGATGCTGCATAAGAATCCTTAAGGTAGAAGCAATCTTGACCTTTTTTATTTTTGCAGGCCCCTGCCAGTGCCCTTCTCCAGACTATATTCTTAAAAATTAAAGTGCTTTGGTTTGTAGAGTTGACTGTATGTATCTCCAAAATGAATATGCAGCAGTGATTTTTTTTTTCCTCCCTGATCTCTTTCCTGCTTTGGTAATTCTGTGAGGGTATAATCATATTGGGGCTGTCCTTGGCAGGTTAGGTGACATACAAGAACATGCGGTTCCACAGCAGTCCTGTCATTCTCGGGTAAGAACATCAAAGTGAGTTGCAGCACTTCTGCATTCATACACGTAAATCTTAATCTGGAAGGAAGATAGAATCTACCATAGTGAATTTCTCCAGAAGTTTTACGCTTGAGTGCACCCAGATCTGTAGGCGTTGACCCAATCCAGTTGCCCTAGGGAAATTCTAGACCCAGGAGATCCTAACCGGGCTGTAATTTCCCAGATCACTTCTAACCTGAAGCAGACGTACCAATGACTCCTTACCTTGCAGAGCCTATGCTTAGGATGCCAAGTGAATTTTTCATTTGAATTGCTTCAGTGATTATAAAACATGAAACATAGCTTTGCAGATTTCTAACCCTTTTTGTGAAAAAAAAAAAGAAAAAAAAAAAAAAAAAGTTTGGAGTCCTCAAGTTTTATATGCGTCTTAGCCCTCAGCCCCTTCCAAAACCAGTGAGAAAGATGAAATCCTTTATAGAGAAGATTTTCTGTTGCATAAAGCATGTTATTTGCTTTTCAAAGTGTGTGTGTCTATATATATATACTTTATATATATACATATATATGTATATATATGTGTCTATATACTTTATATATATACACACACATATATGAAACAAGGGACATTTTTACACTGACTTTTAAAATCTTGTTATTAGGATTTTTTAAAGAAGTTAAGGCTGATGCTGGCCCTGGTGATAAATACGTAAAGAGATTGGTGCCTTGTCTCATGATGTGAGTTTCTTTCTTGTGCCTTTTTAGGGGAACTTATTCATTCTGTTAGAGTTGAGGTTGCAAACTGTAGGCTTTCATGCTAAAGCCAACCTACAGGCTTATGAGTTCAGTCTGACAGTGATGACCCTACTTAAACAATTTGGACATGATGCATAAAAAATACACATCTGATTTGCTTGGAAACTGAAAATATTTGAGAACACTAGGCCCCTGTTCCTGCAGAGTGTCAGCTGCTGGAGCCAAGCAGCCCCTATTGCTTTAGTCCAAAGATGTCCTCTCTAGTTTGTCACAGTCCACACCATTCCCTTTGCGTGACACACAGCCCAGCCTGCTCATTTATGATACCTGCCAGACCTCCTTGCCATTTGAGTTTCTGCTGAAATTACAATTATATAAAGCCCTTTAAAACACCTGTACTATCCATACACAAACTAGGTTCCATTTTCTGTCAGTTCGTTTATTCACATATACATGCAATGAGGTACCTTATTTAGAGGCTGCTATTACACAAGTTCTATGTGCTAGATTCATGTGTCACCTTCAGATAGTTGCCTCTTAGGCATATCATAAAACTCAGTAGATCATTTAGACCTGTTTTCCGAAGAGAAATGGAAAGATGCCAGAATCTAACCATGTTTTCTCTCCAGAATATGAGGCTTTTGATAAACTGCCTTGGGAATGCAATTAGGTTGCACAACCTCTGAAACAACATATTCCTCATAACATATAATATAAATTTTTCTAATGTAGTATAAGACATTTCTACCCTTTTTCTGTATTTTTTTGTGGACAAAAGAAAACAAAAACCATTTTGTTTCTTTAAAAAATATTTTTCTAGTTTGTATTTTGTACATGCCTTTGTAAAGATATATTTTTTAAAGCTCATTTAGTGATAGAACCCGAGATGATTTTTATTTTTTTATTTTTTTTTAGTAAGTTGCAGTAGAGTCCTTTTGTAAGCTAGAGAGGTTACACATCTTCCAAAGATATCCAATGTATACCATATCTTCAAAGAAGAATCTAACTTGATAAAAAAATTTTTTAAAAGATAAAGGAAATTAGGTTTGGAGAGAGACAAGGAATAAGGTGGTTCTCAGGATAAGTGTGACTCTGCATCCCTCAATCATATTCCCTCCTTGCCAGAGACTCTCCTGGGTGACAGCCATGGAGGGAAAGCATTAGTAAGATGTTTCCACCATAAATAGACTGATAGTCACTGTGGAAAGCAAAATAGATCTGTTGAATGCTGTCCTTTTATTTACCAAACCAGGGACAGGTTTTCTCTTTGGCAGGTCTCAGGGCCAGTGGTGAAGTTGTGGGGAGAAAGCAGTAAATCCCAGGCTTTTAGGGAATGCAAACTCGTTGATTATATGGAAAGATGGGTCAAGGATCTGTTACTATCCTGTTGATAGGGAAGAGTTCACAGGGAATTTTTAGATGTGGTTACCTTTTGGTGAGATTGTAGGTGATTTAAATGTTCTTCTTTAAAAAATGTTCTTTGTAATAATTTTCACATTTTGTACAACATAACTATAATAATTTCCACAGTTTATCTTATATACCTATATGACTTTCACTGAGATATAATTAACATACCATCAGATTCATCCAATTTATTTATAATCCAGTGCCTATTTAGCCTATTCACAGGGCTGTACAATCCTTACCACAATTTAGGACACAGCGTCACCCCCCCAGAAAAAAGTCCTGTACCCATTGGCAGTCCCTCCCATTTATCCCACCCTCAGCCCTAGGCAACCACTAACCTGCTTTCTATCTCAATAGTTTAGCCTGTTCAGGATGTTTTGTATGAATGGAATCACACAACATGTGGTCTTCTATAACGGGTTTTTATCATTTAACATGTTTTCAAGATCACGTTGTAACATGTGTTGGTAATTTATTGGTTTTTATGGTTTCATAATATTCCATTGTTTGGATATACCACATTTTGTTTATCGATTAATGGACATTGGCTTCTTTCTACTTTTTGGTTGTTATTAATGATGTTACTCTGAACATCTGTGTAAAGATTTTTATGTGGACGTATATTTTCATTTCTCTTAACTGTATATCTAGAAGCGGAATCGCTGGGTCATATGATAATGCTGTGTTTATCATTTTGAGTAAAAGTCACACTTTTTAAAGTGG
Organism: Homo sapiens; assembly: GCF_000001405.40. Lineage (NCBI taxonomy): Eukaryota > Metazoa > Chordata > Mammalia > Primates > Hominidae > Homo > Homo sapiens. The sequence goes on from NC_000002.12 coordinate 152,610,878, forward strand.
CCACCCTTTTTTACATTACCACCAGCAATGGATGAGGGTTTTAATTTCTCCATATCCTTCCCAACTTTTGTTACTGTATTTCTTTTTTATTATAGCCATCTGAGTGGGTGCGAAGTGGTGTCTTATTGTGGTACCTCTGTGACTTTTGAATTTAAAAATAAGTATAAAATATTTTTAAAGAGGCCGGGCGCAGTGGGTCATGCCTGTAATCCCAGCACTTTGGGAGGCCCAGGCCGGCGGATCACGAGGTCAGGTGTTTGAGACCAGCCTGGCCAGCATGGTGAAACCCCATCTCTACTAAAAATACAAAAATTAGCTGGGCGTGGTGGCACCTGCCTGTAATCCCAGCTACTCGGGAGGCCGAGGCAGGAGAATCGCCTGAACCCAGGAGGCGGAGGTTGCAGTGAGCCGAGATCATGCCACTGCACTCCAGTCTGGGCGACAGAGCAAGACTCCATTTCCAAAAAAAACCATATATATATTTTTAAAGAACCAATGAAATGAAGGAAAAGGAAATCGGTAAGTGAGCCTTTTTTATGAAATTGAAAGCACATGTCTGCAGTTAAACTGAGAAAAAAGTTTGGAGCCCATCTAACCCCTTGACAATTTCATTTCAGGTGGCTTCTATGCAGTTTATTAATATTGTAGTCCATTCAGTAGAAGATATGAATTTCAGAGTTCACCTGCAGTATGAATTTACCAAATTAGGCCTGGACGAATACTTGGACGTGAGTATAGCTGTGACCTTTGGCTCCAATATAAGAATTGACTTATTATTGCCTGCCCTCAAAGGTACGCTTCCATAGCAGCTAAAGAATGCCTAAAGCTCTATGCAGTCAACTACTGTAGTGCTAGTTAAAGGGAACTGAGCTGAGTGATGTACTCTGCCAGAGATGCTGGATTCTTGCAGGGCTCCTGGGATCTCAGGTCATCTTCTGCTAGCAGCCTTTTAGTACGGGAGTCAGATAACCTCTTGCAGCCTTGCTGCAGCTTTCCTCTCCTTTTGAGCTTCATCTGGGTCAAGTCTCATTGCATCCTTCATCTGGGCTATTGGGCAATTTGTGTTCTTGGTTACTCCGGGGACCCCATCTGGGCAGAGAAAGTCAAGCCAAGACTGTAGAGTGATGAGTCAGTGCTTAGAGCATAAAAAAAAAATAATGAGGAAATGGACACCAGAGACTTCCTCCTGAAGCTGCTAAATTCTGCTTCAAGTGTTTGTGGCTTTAGAAGTTCCACTTTTAGTTCTTAGGAGAAGGAGGTTTAAAGTTTCCCTTTTTCTCACTCCCTTGCAGAAGAGTTTAGCCAGTTCCCTGAAGTTCTTCAGTTAAGAAACAGAAACTTGTGAAAATCAGAAATGGTCTTGAAAAGGCTGATGGCTCACACCTGTAATTCCAGCACTTTGGGAGGCTGAGGTGGAGGATCACTTGAGCCTAGGAGTTCAAGACCAGGCTAGGCAACATAGTGAGACCCCATCTATACAAAACACCAAAAAATTAGCCAGGTGTGGTGGTATGTGCCCGTGGCCCCAGCTGCTTGGGAAGCTGAAGTGGGGGGATCATTGGAGTCCAGGATTTCTAGGCTGCAACAAGCTGTGATTGCACCACTGCACTCCAGCTTGGGTGGCAGAGCGAGACCCTGTGTCTAAAACGGAAAAGAAGTGGACCTGAGGATCCAGGCAGTTTTGTTTTCCCTTTTGTATAGGAATGGTCTAGTGATAGAGCAAGAATTGTTGACCTCAATTTCCTTCCTTTTTTTTGAGACAGGGTTTCACTTTGTCAACCAGGCTGGAGTGCAGTGGTGCAATCTTGGCTCACTGCAACCTCTGCTTCCTGGGTTCAAGCGATTCTCATGCCTCAGCCTCCTGAATAGCTGGGATTACAGGCACTATGCCTGGCTAATTTTTGTATTTTTAGTAGAGACTGGGTTTCACCATGTTGGCTAGGCTAGTCTCATACTCCTGCCTCAAGTAATGCACCCAGCCGGTGACCTGAATTTCAAGCCTGTTTCCAGCTGTGAAGAATATAGAAGTACTTCCTTTGGGCATCTCAGGAATTCAGTTGCCCATCTTTGTTAGAGATAAACCCAAGGGATTGCACAGACTGTACCCTCAGTTTATTAGGAGACGGAATCACAGAGGTGGTTACTCTCAACCTGAAGGCCTTGCTTCCTAGACTGGCTGGGCTGCCCTTGAATAGATGGGCCTACTGTTGTCTAAAGACTACTCAGGGAGAGGCGTAATAGATTTCCATTAAAATGTTGTTTGAATTGCTTTCCTTTTTATTTAAAGGCTCATTTATATCACTGGCAGAATATTGTACAGAAAGACTCTTTCTTACTTTGAGATCAAGGTTTGTCTATCCCTTTTTCTCCTATGCTCTAAAAGTATCAGTATTTGAACAAAAATTGGATGTATAAATTCCTAGCGGTGTTTTGGGTTTGGTTTTGTGGTGTCTGAGCAGAGCTTGTTTATGCTGTAGAATATAACGGCAGGTACCCACTTATCACTGAACACCTGTTATTCATTGTGAATCTCATGAAAAATCCCATTAAGCTGCTTCTCCTTTTGTTCTAGCCTTTGCCCTTATTTAGAAGCCATTCTCACTTGTGACTCATAAATGAAAACAGAACACTCTCTCTTCAGAATAAGCTGTATTGTAGAATTCCAGATTAAACCTAGGGGAAAATCCATTTTTCTGAAAATTTATGTAGAGTGGAATTTCTCTTAAAAATGTAAGATTTTTTGTCAAAACTCTGTATTTCTTTAACTTCATCATGTGTTGACTCTGGAACCTAATAGAGGTGGTTAGAAGAGTAATGTAAATGTATGCTATATAAATGCTTCACTAGTTTACAAAAACCCAGCCTTGTAAGTAGCCATTGATTTGTTCAATAAATGTTGATTGGCATCATCCATGCACCAGGTATTATTCTAATCACTCATCTGTTCCCCAGGGAAAGTCATGACTTATGTTACTTGTAGGGAAGATTCACTGATTTATTTGACCTCTAATTTCCAGAGCTAGCTGAGTCCCTGCAGGATGCCTAGTTTGGGAGGCAGTGAATTGGGGAAAGCTTTCTGATCTGCCTTGGGGAGCCCTGAGCTGTTCATGCTGTATACTGACTTAGGGAGGGATGTGTGGAGGTTGGGCTCTAGCAATTTGTGCTAAAATAATCCCCAAGGCTAAGTATAAACTCTGTCAGTGTCTGCCCCACCTCTCGCCTAACCTTCTTCCCCTACTGGAACCACTGTAACTAACCAGGTAAGATACCAAACACTCCAGTCTTTTCCACTACACAGATACCCCTCAGGTTTTATGTGGCCATGACTATAACCTGTTAAAGCTGCTTTTAATTTTTCTGTTGTCCCAATTTCATGTATATCAAAATGTTTTACATAGGAATATAACTACATGGGGCAGTAAGGATTTGGGGGAAAATGTGTGTGCATTTGGGAGAGCGTATTCACCCGAAAGTCATCTGATGATACTGCTTAGGCAGTCACTCCATAATTCTCTTAAGGAAGATGACATGTTAAGCTCTCTTGGAAAGGGCTGGACTATTTGTCGAAAAGAAAACACATAGACTGGCTGGGTGTGGTGGCTCACGCCTGTAATCCCAGCACTTTGGGAGGCTGAGCCGGGTGGATCACGAGGTCAGGAGATCGAGACCATCCTGGCCAACAGGGTGAAACCCCGTCTCTACTAAAAATACAAAAATTAGCTGGGTGTGGTGGCGCGTGCCTGTAATCCCAGCTACTTGGGAGGCTGAGACACGAGAATCGCTTGAACCCAGGAGGTGAAGGTTGCAGTGAGCTGAAATCATACCATTCCACTCCAGCCTGGGTGACAGAGTGAAACTCCATCTCAAAACAAAACAAAACAAAACAAAAAACAAAAAAGACAGACTCTTAGGAAATGATGTTCTATTTCCATAGATGAGCTAACACCACGTTCTCTCCTATTCTGGTTTTTAGAAGCTGAAACACACTGAGAGTGACAAGCTTCAAGTCCAGATCCAGGCTTACCTGGACAATGTTTTTGATGTAGGAGCTCTACTGGAAGATGCTGAAACTAAGAATGCTGCCTTGGAGAGGGTGGAAGAACTGGAAGAAAACATTTCTCATGTAACTATATCTCAGAAAAGGAAAAATTGCTTACATTTCAGCTGGTTGCAAAGCAGAATTAATGTCAGCTTTTATGGTGGTAAATTTAAGGATTTGGAGTATAGGAATAGGCCATACCCTGCAAGAGAGAGCTATCAGAAGCTGTTCTGTGTTTTTTCCAAAAAGCAGATGTGTTATGTAAAATGAAATAGAATCTGTTGCTTTGCTTTAGCTCACTTACCTGCTCAGTTTCTGCTGAGGTGCATTTCCTGGCAGTCTTGCTTACAGGCTCAAGCAGAGTGGGGGTGTTTGATGATTGGCATTACGTAAATGATTAGAGGGAAATTAAATATGAGAATTTGGCCTGAGGCGAAGAGGTATCTTCTTATCAACTATGTCCACACAAACCCATGGACAGGATTAGCTGGTGTCTCTGTGATGCATGTCTGAACATTCCTGTCTTACGGTACTCAAATTCTTAATAGAGTCATTTCAACAATAGGCATTTTCAAGGACATCGGTGTGCTTTCTCATATATCCTGTTCTTTGAAGAATGTCCTCAGTATCGTTGTCAGCTCTATCACAGGACAGGGTCTCATTTTTCTTTGAGGGATTTTTCTTGCCATAGACTGATTTGAATATGACTCTAAGGGCCTTTAGAGATTATTTGTTCATTCATTAACCACATATTTCAGTAGTAAAAGAATTAACAGAAAAATGGTGCTTCTCAAAAACCCAAGCATTATGAAGACCAAATTCTTTTGGTGAGTCTGGTGAGCACTTTCCTTGATTATGAAATGAAGTGTCTCCTTTTGGAGGATTATTATTTTCTCCTTTGAACAGTTCATTTATTTTTCTCCACATGTTTTTTAAAGAGTGCTGCATATGCTCAGTTTCCTTCACCTTTCCCCATCACTGTGAAAATGGGTCTCTTCATGGCTGTGGGTAAGCCAAGTTGGTGAGCCAAAAACCCTCCCTTTAAAAGTGCCGCTATGACCCAGCTGGCATCCGCTTAAAAAGAGAATTTTACAGGCCCAGTATATCTTCCCTTAGAAGATTTGTGTTATATGCTGAACCCAATCAGTGTAAATCTCCACTCTTCCTCCTTACCTTGCCTCCCTGGTTTTCTTTACTTGTAATGAATTTAAAGGAGATGTTAGAAATCAGAAGTTGCTCAGTGTTAGAGCCCTATGTGAAAAGCAGCTGTTTAACACATGGCTCACCCTGTCTTTCTCCTGAAGCCTCAGCCAACATTGCATGACCATACTTACATGTCCACTTTTGTAGCAGCAATCTATTTGAATGGCCTCCCCCAAATAACTTTTATTATTATTATTATTTTTGTGGGTTTTTTTTTTTTTTTTTTTTGGAGATAGAGTCTTACTCTGTCACCCAGGCTGGAGTGCAGTGGCGCGATCTTGGTTCACTGCAACCTCTGCCTCCTGGGTTCAAGTGATTCTCCTGCCTCAGCCTCCCTGGTAGCTGGGATTACAGGTGTACTCCACCACACCTGGCTAATTTTTGTATTTTTTAGTAGAGATGGGGTTTCACCATGTTGGCCAGGCTGGTCTCAAACTCCTGACCTCAGGTGATCCGCCCACCTTGGCCTCCCAAAGTGCTGGGATTACAGGCGTGGCAACCAACTTTTATTACTTGCATAGTTTGGTCAAACCAAGCAGTAGTTGTTTTTCAACTGGCTACCTAGATTGAAAGAACCAAGTTTACTGTGTTACCAATTTTCAAAAGCTTTAGGCTGATGGCCCTTTCTTGGCATGGAGTGGGGGATGGAGGTGGACTTTCCCTCCTCTTTCTCCTTACTTTCCTCTACCCTTGCTAGCCCCTGCAGAAATGGAGGGAGGCACACTGTGTATGTTGAACACTAAGGAGCAGACATGTGGGTCTTATTAAGAATCATGTCTAAGTTATCAATTCCTGGTAGAAGCAAATATGTATTCAGAACCATATTATAAACATTACCATTTCCAGAAAACAACTTGCGGAACACATGCAGGGCCCTGGTCCCTAATAATCTTGGAGCTGCACTTTCTGAGAACTGAGGGCTGATCAAGATGATCCTGTATTGTGACAGCTTTCTTTTCAAAATTTTACAGTTATCTGAAAAACTGCAAGACACAGAGAATGAAGCCATGTCCAAGATTGTGGAACTGGAAAAGCAACTCATGCAGAGGAACAAGGAGCTGGATGTCGTTCGGGTAAGTGTAATGATGACAACTGCCCAGATGGGCACGGTAGGGAATGTACTCCAGCTTTCGTCCAGTGGAACGCAGAGTACCTTCATTTCAGAGGAATGCATTGATGCAGCATATTTATTGGAAACCTTTGAGAGGTGATGCTCAGTTGAAAACTACACATAGTCGGCGTTATGTATACACATGTGTGTGCAATCAGATACTGGGGGTTCAGTATTTCCTTATCACAGATTTTGGGAGCAACAGTGTTTTCCCATCTGGAGGAGGCTGAGTTAATTCTGTGGAACACCCATTTGGTTGGAAATAAAAACACAGCATGGATTTAATTCATGCCACTTATTTATTTTTATTAGGACTTGAGCTTCTTTGTATTTTTTTGCTTTGCTTCCACTCAAAACCAGATTTGGTGGTTGCTGTGTAAACAGTGAAATACAACACAGGCTAGGCTTAATGGCATTCACCAAAAAAAGGGAGGGGATGTGCAAAGCAAACCCAATCCATTTTATTATCAGCTAATCCCAGCTATTTTATTTGGCCTTAGTATTGTTTACCTTATGTGCCAGGTATTTATGGAGTGCCATCCCTGTGCTTGGAATTGTGCTGAACATAAGAACACCAAAATGCCTGGAGAGCTTTAAGGCAAATGGCTTGCCTTTACACCACTGCTAATGAAATTGCACCTTTTATGTGATGGTTATCGTGTCTGTGTGTGTCTGATATCCTGACATGTCCTACAGTTCAGTCCAGGAAATATATTTTCTGGCACGCCTTCGAGACAGAGTTGTAGCATATGGACTCAATTCAACTTCAGACTCTTAGATTATTAGTAATAGACAGGGTGTGAAGAATGTTTCCCTGCTTGCTGGAGGTTTGTGGTGAGAGATCGCTTGTACAAGGCCCAGCAAGGAAGTTCAGTTCCATAAAACCCTTTCACTAGAACCTCTATGGGCCCCCCCCTTATAAAAGGAACCAGGACAGTCTTTGAATTGAAAATTGTAACTTCTTTGTTTTCTGCTAAAAAGCTAGACAGAAATAAGTAATTAGTGAAGGGAAGCTTTGGCCTGTTTTGTTAACCGCATTACCGATGGGAAAATGTTACAACAATCGCTATCCTGAGCTTGGTCAAGGGGGCGTTGTGAGGGCCAGAGAAAGCCATTCAGAAACAGTCAGCCCCTGGTTACTCATGAGTAGATTATTCCATGCTTTGCAGATTTTTAATCCCAGTCTGATTTGTATCCAAGTCTGATTTAGGGCCCTTTTGTCTATTGTTAGCTGATATGTGTATCTAAGAGTTACAAATGAATGTTAAAATAAAAGGAAGGAAAACATGCACCACCAGAACACCCTCAGGAGATTCCAGAGTCAGCATTCCGGGTCATTTCTGCTCTGTTTCTTTCCACCTGCAGGGAAAATTGAGTTAGCTGCATTTATTAAATGGAAAGAACTTCATTACCAACAACAATAGCTAGAATATATTACATGCATTACTAGCATACAACTAATAATTAATGGGACTTTATAGGTTCTAGCTGAATTCCAAAGAATTCCCATTCATATGAGTATCTTTTTTTCTCTTTATCCTCAGTTTGCCAATCTGATGCTACTAAGTATGAATGTTATGTGAAGATAAACTCTTGACCTTGGACTTTATTGCAGGAAATCTACAAAGATGCAAATACTCAAGTTCACACATTAAGAAAAATGGTCAAAGAAAAAGAAGAAGCAATTCAAAGACAGTCTACCCTGGAAAAAAAGATTCATGAGCTAGAGAAACAAGGGACCATTAAAATTCAGAAGAAAGGGGATGGGGATATCGCCATACTGCCAGTTGTGGCTTCTGGCACATTGTCCATGGGGTCAGAAGTGGTAGCAGGTAACTCTGTGGGACCCACAATGGGGGCCGCTTCCTCAGGACCCTTGCCCCCTCCTCCACCACCACTGCCTCCCTCATCAGACACACCTGAAACAGGTAAGAAGCCTTGGCAGGAGGACTGAGGAAGTTTTGGAATATTTGTATTTCTTCTTTTGCCAACTGTCCACTTCTGTCCTTTGTCCGTTTTTGTTGGCATGTTCTTTAAGAATTGGTTTTCTTGAGTAGTTCTTAACTGTTTACATTTTGAGATTAAATTTATAAATCCTCATTTCACATATGTTGAAATATTTTTCCCACATGTCAATGAGGACATTTTTTGGTTTTTGAAAACAGTCCTTTGTCCTTTTAAGTGTGTTGTTTTCAGATGGCTTTATATGCACATGGCTTATTGCAGGAAAGCCATTCCCGTATTTTCAAAGTCCATCTGTTTCTTTTTTCTTTGCTAGTGCAAAATGGTCCAGTAACACCACCTATGCCACCGCCGCCGCCGCCCCCTCCTCCACCTCCTCCTCCCCCACCGCCCCCTCCGCCTCCTCCTCTCCCAGGCCCTGCAGCTGAGACTGTACCAGCTCCTCCCTTAGCACCTCCCCTTCCCTCTGCACCTCCGCTGCCTGGAACATCTTCACCCACAGTGGTTTTCAACTCAGGATTAGCAGGTAAGAGCACAGAATTCAAACCCAGGTACTCATATCAGAAATGCTGTCTTATCTCGGAGAGTTGAAGCTATTCTTTCAAAGTCCAGGTCTCTTGCAATGATGTGTATCTCTTCCTAGTATAAGAAATTCCTGCTGATGTAGCCGATAGAGGGAACATCATCACGCATGGGAGGCACTTTGCTCTGAGTAGTCTTTGTCACAACCACACCCCACAATGGGAGGTTCTGATCTCCTACACCATCTTCCTGCCTTCCACTGGCCCCACCGAGAGAATGGAAGAGAGACAAGCTACCTGCTTGAGGATCAGTGCATTTTTGTGGGTTCAGCAGATACTTTCTGGACACCTGTAGTATTCAAAGCTCAGTATTAGGCACAGACATTGAGTGCTTCTGGATCTTTTTTTTTTTAAATGGTATTTTTGATGTCATCTATAAAAGGGAAACATGCTTTTATGTGTAATTGCCTGACGTAGGCTTCCAGGCATGTCTTCTGAGCATTCGAGAACATCAGAATTTGCTAGAGTGGATTTAAACTTCAAGGAGGAAGTGCTGCCAACAGCCGTATTATCATGCCTTAAAATGCTGCCAAATAATTCATGTCCTCTTGCCAACCAGAAGATAGAAAACAGCATCCTCACCTCACCAGAAATAAAATGGGAGGTAGGGGTTAGAGCAGGAGGAAGAGTCACTCTAATGCCTTGAAATCTAAGCTCTTTGTTTTGACTCACGGAAACAAAGATGACGCTACGAGCCGTTTTCTCAGTCCTGAAGTGTTTCCCTGGCATCTGGAATTGCTCTAAGCTTTGCCATCCCTGTGACGTGGGGTAATTCTGCCTCCTCATTTACTTCAGCCTGTTCATGAGGTCTCTTATTTACAATAAAGAACTACCACTCTAATAGCCTCCATTTCCAAGGCTGTGATAGTTCTCAGAGCCTTTTGCCCAAAGTCTAAAAGCCAGTCTTAGCTGTAAAGATTTCCCAATCTCCATCCCTTCCAGGATCCCATCTGCAGCTCTGCCAGCCGGTCACTGGGGCTCATTCATCCCAATGACTGGAGCCCTTTTGGATGCCCCAGAGTCACCTAGAATAAATTCACTCCACATCAAATCCATGGTTTTACTTCCACCCCGACTTCTATATAAAACTGTCAGGGAAACAAGATTCCAGTTCACAGTAAGGTCCACAGTAAATCGGTGACTTATTTCTACCCTTCAAGATCTTCCCCGTCTACCACTTTCTTCTAGAACTTTTATTACTTCTGAAGGAGAAAAGTTGGAGCAGAGTCATCGTGGAACTGATGGACTATGGAATATAAACAGACAAACAAGAAACCTCATATCAAGCCCCGGGAATGTGTTCCATCACCAGGCTGTTGTCAGTAACTGGGTGTGGAAACCCATTATCGTCCCGTGCACCTGGCCACCCTGATTAGGCACTCTTGGTAGCCCCCAAGGCGCACTTGCTGTGAGATGTGTCTGCTGTGGTATCTCATTTGGGGCTGCTTCCTTTGTCTCTGACAAACGCTGATGTGTGATTTAGCACCCACTTCCACGCACCTGAGCACTAACATAGACCTCAGAACCGCCTTAGCCGAGTGAGAGCCCAGAGGCTGAGATGTGTCTAGAGCTTCCTTCCAAGGGGCCATGTCCTGTGTGATTGATCTATTTATTAATTGTTTTGCTTGGGTTCTTCCCACTACTTGATTTTAAAAATGTGTTGGCTCTGTCAATTGCCTCAATATTTTAAGGTGTAGAGCTCTGTGCTTGGCTGATAACCAACTGCTTTTAGGGTTTGCTATACTTGGAAGTGGTCCCTGTTGTGGCTCATGCAATTTAGAGGACTGTAGGTGGGAATACAGGAACTCTTTATTTCCATAAGTGTCCACTAAATGATTGTGAGGGATGTCTTGGAAGCATTATAAGATCCTTGTGAGTCTTTGATAGCTCGAGATCAGGCAATTTCTCCAAGGCCTTTAATCTTTCTTTATTATTCATCCTTATTTAGACTGTTAATTCTTAGTGATTGAAGCCCATTTGGTGAGATGTTTTGCTAGTGTGTTGAGTAACTCTCTCTCTCACTCTGGAACCAAGAGGCCAGACAGAATCAGGATGCCCAGTAGAATGAAGAGACAGAGCTGAGCTAATATTCTGAAGCCTCCTGGGAAGTCAGAAACCTATGACATCACTTGGCCTCTGGACCCACAGGCAACACGAGGGTCTTATCTCTTCAATGGGCAGGTGTGTTCTTGGAGACCAAGACAGAAGACCAAGAGGAGAGCCCCATAGTTTATCTAGTTGAGAGTTTTCTTTGTATTTTATAGAGAAAATAGTAGTAGTGTGAAATATGCATTTGAAGAAGAAGGCTTCCTTCCTCTCAAGTCTGTGATAGAACAACCTGGCTCCCTTTCCCCCGGTAGGTCACCTGAGACAGGCTGCTGAGCAGGTGGAACCTTTGCCGTCTGTCTGGGAGGATGTGCTCGGATCCTCACAATGCGAATTTGGACTTTGGTTGATTGTTTTTCATGTAAAAATTATTCCTATCCTATGGAATGCCTAGCACAGTTCAGTATTGCTGTTTGGTACCACTACGATGAAATAATTTTTTTCTTCCCTCTTCTAAAAAGGATAATTTTAAAAATGAAATAGTTGAGTCTTGGAGGCAGGCCTGAATGGAAATGAATTTTTGGCTCTGTGCCGCCTTGTGAAATGTGTCCAAGAAGCATGAAATTCTATGCTGAGTGCGTGAACTGCTGAGCCACTTGACTCTAACCATATCTAATTTTTTTTGTATTTTCTCTGTTCTTTCTGCTTCCACAAAAGATGGGCCAATCAAGCTTTTCTGTAGGTTGCTCCTCACTGAGTGTGTTGAGTATTTGCCATGTGTTTCTGTTGGTCACACTGTGCCTTGACATCTTTCCACTCCATTTTGCTTTGATCCATTGCATTTTGACTTTGTGTCTGCGGGAAGTCTTGGTGGTGGCTGATGATGATTCCAGGTTTGCCCACACATTCTAGTTGAACCTACATAAGAGACTATTGTCCTTGAAGCAGACATCCTGGATTCATATGCCCTCTTCCATTTCCTCTGAGAAAAGGTTTTTTTTTTTTTTTCTTCTTCTTCTTTTAATTTTTATATTTGTATCTGAGACTTCAACTCTAAGAACAAAAAAAAGGTGCCAGGTGCCCCTTTTCCATTCCCTCCCTCATGCTGGTCTCTGGCCCACTCCAGGGAGCACTCACCCGCCTTTAGCCCGAGCCATGGGGACACAGTGTGTCCAGTGGTCACCTATGTGCTTTCCTCCTCTTCCCACTCCCACCCTGGTTAAAGCCAGGAAAACCTTTCCAAGGAGGAGAACTTTCTTGCCTGTGTTCTGATCTCAGGCTTATTCCTGACCTTGCTAAATAGTTAGAAGGGTGGTTGCAAATGGCAAACTTCTAGCGAGCGTCATGAGCCTACCATGTCTGTGGGAGGAAGGTAGGACGCCATTGGCACCAACCTGTCACCTCAGGTTATGAAAAGACTCCTCTGCGGCCCTTCTGCTGCTCCCCAGATCCCTAACATTGCCGAAGTGCCAGAGGCAATGCTAGGGCAAGTGCTAGAGGAAAGTCTGTTCCTTTGTCCCATCGAGAACATCTGTTTTCCTGGGTAGCGTAGACAAAATGCTGTACGGTGAGGAATCTGACACTGTGGCGTAGTGGGGACAAAGGTGTCATGTTTGGTGGTGGAGAGGCCTGGTTTGGCTAAAGCTGTGTCTGTTTTTCTGCATGCTTTTGTGTGGATTTATCAGATGACATTCCTGCTGTTTAAATGGCCTTTGTAACTCTGGAGGAATGAGAGGCACTGTCTGTCTCAGTTAACGCCAACTGAGGCAGGCAGGCAGGCAGCCAGCTACAAGCTTAGTCGTGTGTTGCTTTTATTTTGTTCTGCACTGAAGCGCTGAAGTTCTCCTCCCTGTCTTGCTAATAATGACAAATAGTGAAGCTCCCAAGTAGTGTGGTAGGCTACCCAGAACAGACTGACGAAGCTGAATGTGTATGGCTAAATGGTTTGGGAAGACTTCTTTATGATATATAATAGATAAATATAATTTTAAATGGATTACCTTTTTTGGCATATTCCCGCACAGTGAGAGGAGTTGGCACTCCCCATAGTCCCTTAAAGATACATCCCATTCTCTCTATTAAGAGGTTTTCAGTATTTTTAATGAGTGTGTAGATACCTCCTAGTCAAACACAGCTGACTCCTGGGAAGAACTTGCTTTTCAAAATGAAGGGCAAGGGACTGTGGCTATTTCTGAGTCTGAGAATCCATACAATTCCTTCCCTTCCCTCCCCTCCCCTCCCCTCCCCTCCCCTCCACTCAATTCCCTTCGCCTCCCCTCCCCTCCCTTCCCTTCCCTTCCTTCCCATCTCAAAAAAGAGGAGTTTCCTCCCTTCCTCCCTTCCTTCCTCTTTTTTGAGATGGAGTTTCGCTCTTGTTACCCAGGCTAGAGTGCTATGGCGTGATCTCGGTGCACTGCAACCTCTGCCTCCCGGGTTCAAGCGATTCTCCTGCCTCAGCCTTCCGAGTAGCTAGGATTATAGGTGCACACCACCACAACTGGCTAATTTGTGTATTTTTAGTAGAGACAGGGTTTCACCATGTTGGCCAGGCTGGTCTTGAACTTCTGACCTCAGGTGATCCACCTGCCTTGGCCTCCCAAAGTGCTAGGACTTTGAGCCACCACGCCCAGCAATTTCTTTTCCTTCCCCCCCGCCCCTTTTATTTATTTATTTTTAAGACAGAGTCTTGGTCTGTATGTACCCCTTTTTTCACTCTGTTGTCTTAAACATTTTCTTAGGCTGGGCAAGATGGCTCACGCCTGTAATCCCAGCACTCTGGGAGGCCGAGTGGGGAAGCTCGCTTGAGTTCAGGAGTTTGAGACCAGCCTGGGCAACATGTGAAACTCTGTCTCTACAATAAATATAAAAATTAGCCAGGCATGGTGGCACACAGCTGTGGTTCCAGCTACTTGGAGGCTGAGGTGGGAGGATTGCCCGAGCCTGGGAGGTCAAGGCTGCAGCGAGCCATGATTGCGGCACTGCACTGCAGCCCGGGTGACAGAGCAAGACCTCAAAACCTATTTTCTCATTTAGGCCATTCATATCCCTTAGTCTGCTTGAAATAACCCAGCAGCCAATATATCTTCATTATCGGAATCACCCACAGGAAGTCAGCCTTCATGACGTTGTACTTCTGGTAGTCTAGTCAGCCACTGTCTGCAGTCCCTGATCATCTTCTAAGGTTTGTTTGTAAACATGTGGTCTGCAACCAAGAATTTAGGATGTCCAAATATGGCAAGTTTTTGCCCTCTCTGCTATCTAGTAACATGAGTAATAATCTTTGCTCTCCAACACTTTTTATTTGTCCCAACCATTGTCCTAATATTGTAACTGTAATGCAGCAAATTAGTTGCCTGAGTTAAAAGAAAAAAAAAAATCAACCCTTGGCCCTTAAGACGTCTTTTAATACAATGATGTGTTAGTCAACCAAATGATGACCTCAAATGGCTCTGGCCAAGGCCATGTGTGTTGTTTTCCAGCTTTAAAAACCTACTTGCGCGCCTCTTGCCAACCTTCCTCCAGTGTCAAAGTGTCATCTGCAAGGACTGTTGTCTGATTGTTCCTGAGGGTCGTAGGCTTTTGGTGGGATCTTAATTCCATTCTCTTTGATGTCTTTAGCTGTGAAAATTAAGAAGCCAATCAAGACGAAGTTCAGAATGCCAGTGTTTAACTGGGTTGCTCTGAAGCCCAATCAGATCAATGGCACAGTCTTCAATGAAATTGATGATGAGCGAATTCTGGAGGTATTTTTCTCATTGGTTAGAAACTAGAGGTGCACTCTGTGCAGCAAAGCCGGCATGGGTGTTCTGTTAACCTGGAAGTGTCAGAGATAAAGTACTAGTGTTTTAAGTCCCCTGATGTAAAGAAGAAACATGTATGTAATATTGGAGAATAACATTTGACACTGTTTTGTAAGGTGGCTCTAAAACTGTTCAAAGAGTTATGTTAAATTGGAATAAATGCTTTTGAGCATCTTTAGTGTATGCCACAGAATATAGATCTGACATAATAATTCCTTCCCTTAATTGAGAGAAAGACATAAAAACTTTTGGACTGCAAGTGAGCTCAATTATCACACTCACTGCCTTATCTGATGGATAATTTTAATCTGTGGCAGCTGTCTGTGCAAGCTAATTATTGAAAAGTAATTGAATTAGTGGGTTAGAATCGGTAGTCTAATGTTCACTTATTTTTTTATTTTATTTTATTTTTAAATTATTATTATTATTATTTTTTGAGACGGAGTCTCACTCTGTCGCCCAGGCTGGAATGCAGTGGCGCAACCTCGGCTCACTGCAACCTCTTCCTCCTAGGTTCAAGCAATTCTCTGGCTTAGCCTCCCAAGTAGCTGAGATTACAGGCACACACTACCATGTCTGGCTATTCTTTGTGTTTTTAGTAGAGAGCGCATTTCATCATGTTGGCCAGGCTGGTCTCAAACTCCTGACCTTAAGTGATCCACCCGCCTTGGCCTCCCAAAGTGCTGGGATTACAGGCATAAGCCACCACATCCGACCTATGTTCACTTTTGTGTATGTGCCAGAAGTTGTACTATAACAAAAACAAGAAAAATAGAGGAAGCCATGGCCAAAGACAAGTACTTAATAGAAAAAGTGACGTTTTTGCTTAAGAAACTAACTGGTGGCTTCCGGACTTCATTTTTAAATATAATCCAATTTTCCATGGTCATTCCTCTCTATCTTAGGATTTAAATGTGGATGAATTTGAGGAAATATTCAAGACAAAAGCCCAAGGACCTGCCATTGATCTTTCTTCAAGCAAACAGAAGATACCACAGAAGGGATCAAACAAAGTGACATTACTAGAAGCAAACAGGGCCAAAAATCTTGCCATAACTTTAAGGAAAGCTGGAAAGACTGCTGATGAAATATGTAAAGCTATTCATGTGTAAGTTCAGGAAAATTATATTCTAGTTAGTTTATGATAAAATGAAAATGAGAAAGTTATGAATTAGTAGATGACAAATATTTCAATAGTGAGACAAGACCTAAGATAAAAGCTGGAGCAATTTTTGATATCCACACTTGAGAGATCTGAACTCTGTGTGTGCTACTTCAAAGTTGAATATGATGCCAACACGAAAGAGGTAGACCAGAAATCACCCTGGGGAGTGTTGTATTAGAACCAGTAACTAATTGTTTTAGAAGAATAACATCTGGATTGTGACATCATTTATTATCTGGGTCTACTCTCTTATGCGGGCCTCCAGCAATGCTTACATAAAAGGAAAGTTGAGCTGAGCGTGGCAGATGTTAAGAAAAGGTAGAAAATGTCAGTTTTCTCTGGAGTATCTGGATTTTATCCAGATTTGTTGAATACAAATTTGATGGCATTTGTGGAATGATACAGTTCAATGCCAGATGCAAATATGATACAGATGCATATTTTAATTCGTAACAACAGGAATGTGAATTGTTTTGCTTTCAGTACTTTCAGGACATTTTAAACAAAGTTCATTTTTTACTCTTGAACTGCATAGAAGGCATTGGTTTTACTCCTCTATTAGAAGAATCCTTCTATTCTTCTTGTGGCCATGGTGACTTTCAAATGTGATGAAGACATTATTAAATGTTTTAGGAACTAATTATTTATAAATTGATTATCTTATACATTTTGGTTAGAGGCTTCGAGGTGTAAATGACCCTAAGAAATCCTTTGTTCCAATTTTGTGTCCTCAACCAGGGTCATAATCTGGTAGTCCAGTGCCTCCTACAGTCTGTTCTGATTTCTGTCATTGAATCCTGAAGTGCAGCCTGGCTTTAAATCTTTATATATCTTGTTTGTCATGATGATTAAATGTAATTCTATTATTTAGCTGAACAAAGATTGTCCAGAGAATAATAGAGAATAGAGACTGTAACAAATACTTCATTTGTTCAAATTAAGCATATATCCAAAAAGAACTTCAAGGAATGTATGCACTTAACCTAAAACATTCAATAATACAGGCATTTGGATGCATTTTTTTCCAAAGAAGAAAAAATACTACCAGACTATTGGTTTAATTGAAATATTTTACATAATTCACCAGATATTCTGTACTAATGTGTACAGTGTTAATCTCCTGAATTAGCTGTACTTCACAATGCCTGTCAACTATGTGCTTGAACCATGAAACCATCAGATGCTTTGGCCTTGGTTCTACCTCTTCCTATTTTCATTTACTCCTGATTCCAGAGGCTTAGAGCTATGCCAGTACCCTAAAAACTGAGGATGGCAGTTGTGACAAGGTCCACGTTTTCAGGAAGAACCAGTTAAGTTACCTGAGGCATAGTCAAGAACCAGCACCAGGGTGGGACTTCACAGGACAGCTGGAGAAATCTTAGACTCGTTGATTTGGTGTTTGATGAGCTGTACCAGATGGATGATGGATGGATGAACCTGAAAAGATGGATGAACTTGAAAAGGGGGTAGGAGGTTTTTCTCTCTAATGCTAATCTCTCCACATCTGTCTTTAGATTTGACTTGAAGACACTGCCTGTGGACTTTGTGGAATGCTTGATGCGGTTCCTACCAACTGAGAATGAAGTGAAAGTGCTTCGGCTCTACGAGCGGGAAAGGAAGCCTCTGGAAAACTTGTCAGATGAAGATCGGTTCATGATGCAGTTTAGTAAAATCGAGAGGCTCATGCAGAAGATGACCATCATGGCCTTCATTGGGAACTTTGCTGAAAGCATTCAGATGCTGACTCCTGTGAGTGGACTGACTCTGGCAGGGGAGGGGGTCCAAAGAAATGTGGAATCGTTATTTTTTAAAGTCTCTCCCAGAATCGTACTCAGTGTGATGGGTTCTAAAGACTCCTTCCCAGAACTTTCTAAATTGCATTTTTATTTCAACCATCTTTTCCACATTATGTATGCAAAGTAAATTTGAAAAATGGGGAATGTTCATATTCCATATTGCCATTCTTCCGAAAGAATGCCATTTTTTGTGTCTACAGATGTTCTCTAGATTTCAAAAGGACAGGGGACAAAGAAACTTGGTTCTTTTCTCAAACTTGGTTCCTCTCTGAAGATACTAGTCTTCTGGCAGTGTTGGCAAGACTGAAAATAAGACTTTCATTTCTAAAAATGTTGCCTCATCTTTAGTGAGCAGACTTACAAGCTTTTGCTGAAAGCTTTATATTTACCATAAGAGTTTTCTTTCTTGGAAGTTTGTTATAATAAACTGTGGTGATATAGACATAATAGCCAACCATCTCTCATTCCCTTGTGTTAATCTGGTGGAGATTTATGAATATCATAAACTTCAGTTCTCTCCCAATTCTGTTTCTAAATAGACTTTGTTACTGATTATAGTAGTCAGTTCTTTCCCAATTCTGTTTCTAGATAAATTTGTTGGTTTCTGCTTATAGTAGTATGTCTGTTGAAAACATGTTCTGAGAACTTCTGGAGGGTGTTATATTCCCCTCCCTTTTTTTTCATTTTTGATGCCTCCTTCATTGATTTAAAAATATTAATTGTATGACATGATTAGAGGTGGTAGGCAGGAAATTGAGTTCTACCAGAAGCAGCTGTGGACTCTTAACTCTGAGTCTTAGTGGTTGTAGATTGGTTACAGATTTTGTGATAAGCAAGTTCCTATGTTACTTGCTATTGTGAACAGTTTCAGTAAAGATCGTGCATGTAACAATATTACCTGAGACCTAGCAAGACAATTAAATTTGTTATACTTAGAAAAAGTAGACTCTCACCATGAAGCCTGTATGCTCTAAATGCAGGCCTGTTTTCTTCTGTCTTAATATTTACTTGCCAATTAGTTTCCCATTTTTAACATGTCTTTTTTCCCCTTTTTCTTTCTTTGATTGGAATCTAGCAACTACATGCGATTATAGCAGCATCTGTCTCTATAAAGTCGTCCCAAAAACTCAAGAAAATTCTGGAGGCAAGTGCAGTTTTTCTTGTAGGTATGAAGGACTACTTCAGCTGCGTTCAGTGCCTGATGTGCTGTACTGATGGGCTTCTGTTTTCACCTTCTTTTGCAGATCATCTTAGCCCTTGGAAACTACATGAATAGCAGTAAAAGAGGAGCAGTTTATGGATTTAAACTTCAGAGTTTAGATCTGGTGAGTGGACTAAAAGAAATTTGAGAGCTGTTTGAAGGACAGATGGCTGGCAGAGATGAAGTTAGGGTGGTGGAGGATGTTTTGATGAATATTTTCTGCTATGGGAGGATCAACTGGTACTAATTTTCTGGAACACCATTTGACAGAGAGCACATAGAACCTATAATTACTCATACCCTTTGACTCAGTATTTCCATTTCTAGGAATTTTTTCTCAAGTGTCTGAATTTTGAATCCTGTATTTTATTTATAATTGCAAATTAACAATCTAAAGGTCTAACTGTGGGAATGATTAAATGTGCTGTAACACTAGTTAATACAGTGAACTATTATTCTTCCACCGTTAGCATACTGATGAAGAGTGTCCCAAGAAAGATTTGTGTTTAGAAAAGAAAGCAGGGTATGCTTTGCATGTACAGTTGAATCTCAGCTAAGTAAACTATGTGGGGAGAAAGACTGAATGGAAATAGGTTAAAATATTAGCAGAGGTTGGATGGAATCAGGAAATTTTTTCAAACTGCTTTTTGTAAGTACTTTTCTATATTTTCTTAAATTTTTGTTGTTGTTGTTGCATGCAGGGTGCTCTAATTTTCAGAGTCACCTAACTAATGTGAATAAGACTAGAGAAAATCCTCCGTGGACTCCCTCCAGACTGTGCAGGCCTAACGTGATTGTCACATGAGAAGGCTGGGCAGTGGGTTGAGTCCCCCGACCAGGGAGCTAGTTATTTAATATGGAGTGTCTAGTCAGTCACAGTTCTGGCCTCCAGCAGATCATGATCAGTTAAGCATGTCTGTTTCAGGTCTTCACAGGCTAGGAAATAAGGGAGGGCCTAAGCTAAATGTAAAAACTGGAGCATAGGAGCCCTGCTGTGTAGGAGGCACCTGCATGCACCTGCTGGCTGTACATCCCCATTTCTCCTCTGGCTTTTTACTTTGAAGAGCACTAAAATTAGAGCCGTCCTGCTTTTAAGGCAAGGAAGGTGGGATAGCAGATGCAGGGCTGGGAGAGTTCATGTAATCAGTGTCCCCCTTATCCATGGGGGCTGTGATCCAAGACCCCCAGTGGATGCCTGAAACCTCAGATAGTACTGAATCCTATATATACACTGTTTTTTTTCTAGAGATGCATATCTGTTATAAAGTTGAATTTATAAATTAGGCACAGTGAGAGATTCACAATAACTAAAAAATAAAATAGGCCAGGCCTGGTGGCTCACACCTGTAATCCCAGCACTTTGGGAGGCTGAGGCGGGAGGATCACCTGAGGTCAGGAGTTTGAGAGCAGCCTGGCCAACATGGCGAAACCCTGTCTCTACTAAAAATAGGAAAATTAGCTGGGCTAATTTTTGGGTCACAGGCACCTGTAATCCCAGCTACTCGGGAGGCTGAGGCAGGAGAATCGCTTGAACGCAGGAGGTGGAGTTTGTAGTGAGCCAAGATTGTGCCACTGCACTCCACCCTGGGCGACAGAACGAGACTCCATCTCAAAAAAAAAAAAAAAAAAAAAAATAGAGCAGTTAAATAAAACACGTTACTTGAACACAAACACTGCAATAGGCGGCAGTTAACCTGATAACCCAGATGGCTACTAAGTGATTAATGGCAGGTAATGATTACAGCGTGGATCCACTTGACAAAGGGGTGATTCTCGGTCTAGGGTGGATGGGAATGGCACGTGCGAGGTTTTATCATGCTGCTCAGAGTGGTGCGCAATTCAAATCTGATGAATTGTTTATTTCTGGAATTTTCCACTTAGTATTTTTGGATACCTGAAACCTGTGGGTTTCCTGAAACCATGGGAAGTAAACCTGTGGGTAAATAGGAACTACTGTAGAGGAAAGCTGCGAATCATTCTTAGGTGCTTAGAGTCATCCCTATAGTTAAGCATGTGCCCTGGTTGGAAAGTCCTTGAGCCAGTTAAGCATCAATGGACTGGTTCACTAAGGAACAAATGGAATCCTGACCCTCCTCTGGGAATGCTCCAGCCTGTTGGGCGACTGTTACTCAGTTAATGACTCTGGGTGGGAAATCGTCACCTGAGGGGTAAGTGTCTTGTTACCCTTTACTCTTGTACCTAACCCACGTTCCCTTTTGTTTTCAGCTCTTAGATACAAAGTCAACAGACAGAAAGCAAACACTGTTGCACTATATATCCAATGTGGTGAAAGAAAAATATCACCAAGTGTCCCTGTTTTATAATGAGCTTCATTATGTGGAAAAAGCTGCTGCAGGTACTTGATTTCAGCTATTACCGTTCGTCTTGGGTATTTAATGCCTTTAATTGTGGTGGAGCCATTCCCTGCTTAAACACTTTTCAGAACCCATTTAAAAAGCCAAGGCTAAGAAGTCAGACACACTGAGCTGGAACACATCGGCCGTGGTGTTGTCCACCCCTGAGAGCAGAAGAGCACATGGGTGTAAAGGTGATCTCTGTGTCCTTTCTGTAAGACACAGGCCACTGAGCGTCATGTCCCTTCCCTCTTTTATTCACTGCCCTTTTTATTCTGCTGCTATTGTATGAAATGTGAGAATGAGAATCTGAGAATCATCACCCAACAAACACTTTTAATTTGATTTTGTGCCATTCTACTTGCTCAAGTGTGGCAGTTGTAAACATTTTGCCTTTGCCTGGACACTAGTTAAATTATTAGCACTTCTTGGTTGCTACTTTGCTAAGACAGTTATACATTTTGTCATTTAAATCATCTGTGACTCTAAGATAGCTGGGATGTACAAGGTAATAGTATCTCCATTATTATAGGTGAGAAAATTGAGATTTTTCGAGGTTAAATGTCTTGCCCAAAGTCACATGAGTAGAAAGTGATAGAAACAGGACTAGAAACCTGGTCTTACTTCTCATGAAGTGTATTATCCAATGTACCATGTTCCCTCAAAAGCATATTCGATTAGCAAAAGGAATGATATGCAGATTGACCTTACAGTCATTTATAGGCTGTGATTCTCAAATTGTGATATCGAACCATAAGCAGCCAGTGTTTATTATAAATTCAGATTCCTGTGGGGTACCTCAGGCATCTGGAATTTTGGAGGGTGAGGCCTTCTCTAACTCAGCCATGGTAAATGGCTGCTGCTTCTGTGTTCTCACTAAAGAACACTCTGGTCTACCCTCTCGTACAAGATTTCTCATACTGTATTACAACAATTTGCATGTCCATTGCAATCTGTGCTCTTCTTTTTTTTTTTTTTTAGACAGGGTCTTGCTCTGTGGCCCATGCTACAGTGCAGTGACATGATCACAGCTCACTGCAGTCCTGACCTCCCAGGCTGAAACGATCCTCCCACCTCAGCCTCCTGAGGAGCTGGGACCACAGGCACACACCACTATGCCCAGCTAATTTTTAAAATTTTTGTAGAGATGGGGTCTCCCTGTGTTGCCTAGGCTGGTCTTGAATTCCTGGGCTCAAGTGATCCTCTCGCCTCAGCCTCCTAAAGTGCTGGGAGTACAGGTGTGAGTTACCATGCCTGGCCAATCTGTGCACTTCTTAAGGGTATATCAGGTTTTATTTATCTTTCTATTTCTCTCAGCCCCTGAAAATTGGATGTTGGAAATAAATGAATGAACAAGTGAACAAATGAATGAATGAGATGATGCACTGTTACAGGGACAAATGCTGCAGAAGCTGTGGTGGAGACTGAGAGGCAGATGGAGATGACTCTCTGACTATGAAGAACTATATGACGCAGGCTGGATAGACCTAGAGCAAGTTCGGGGCTCACTTAGACAGTAGGCAGAATTTCTGTTCTGACCAAATGATTTTCCTCCTTTTAAGTTTCCCTTTGCCTAAATTAATTACACCTCACAATTCTAATTAAGAAAAATGTTAAAAAGCTATTATAATTTCTACCTGACCAATGGGTACTAATTCATTTTGTTTGGTCCAAATGGTGTCATTTGAAAAACATCGGTGGGGAAAATGGGAGACTGGGTTGCTCCCTGGCAGAACTGTTCTTTCTGTTTGCTCTCTGGTGCCCAGGTTGCCCAACACAGATTCTGTATTCCTTCACTCATGTGTTCACTCACTCCTTCATTTATCCAGTGAACACCTTTGAGTGCCCTCCATGTACTTGGCACTATCATAAGTATTAGAGAATCAAGGATGATAAGACAGTGTGAGTCTACTGAGGGAAAAACCTACTGCACTGTTTTAGTAGGTTGGTGCAAAAGCAACTGTGATTTTGGACCGTGAATTATCAATCATTATAACTAGGCTCAAACATCTTTATTATGGCCGGGTGCGGTAGCTCATGTAATCCTAGCACTTTGGGAGGCTGAGGCGGGCGGATCACTTGAGGTCAGGAGTTTGAGACCAGCGTGGCCAACATAGCGAAACCCTGTCTCTACTAAAAATACAAAAATTAGCTGGGCATGGTGGCACATGCCTGTACTCCCAGCTACTTGGGAGGCTGAGGCAGGAGAATTGCTTGAACCCGGGAGGCAGAGGTTGCAGTGAGCTGAGACTGTACCACTTCACTCCAGCCTGGGTGAAAAGAGCGAGACTCCGTCTCAAAAACAAACAAACAAAATACATCTTTAGTAATCAAAACAGGAACCATTAAGATCAACACATTTTTGCCAATGAGAAATAAGTTTGTTTATTCCTGTAGTGAAAAAAATCTGTGCTTCTAGATTCAACAACTCTTGGAAAGCATTTTCCGCATCCTGCTGGTTGTGGAAGCATTTTCCCTGCAAAAAGTTGTCGAGATGCTTGAAAAAGTGGTAGTCGGTTGGCAAGAGGTCAGGTGAATATGGCGGATGAGGCAAAGCTTCATAGCCCAATTTGTTCAACTTTTCAAGCGTTGGTTGTGCAATGTGCAGTTGGGTGTTGTCGTGGAGAACTGGACCCTTTCTCTTGACCAATGCTAGCTACAGGCGTTGCTGTTTGGGGTGCATCTCATTGATTTGCTGAGCATACTTCTCAGATGTAATGGTTTCGCTGGAATTCAGAAAGCTGTAGTGGATCAGACCAGCAGCAGACCACCAAATGGTGACCATGACTTCTTTTTTTTTTGATGCAAGTTTGGCTTTGGGAAGTGCTTTGGAGCTGCTTCTTGGTCCAACCACTGAGCTGGTCATTGCTGATTCTCATATAAAATCCATTTTTTGTTGCATGTCATAATCTGATTGAGAAATGGTTCGTTGTGTAGAAGAGGAGAAGATGACACTTGAAAGCAACGATTTTTTAAAAAGTTTTCTCTCAGCTTATAAGGCACCCACTTACCAAGCTTTTTCACCTTTCAAATTTGCTTTAAAAGACTGTAGAATGGTTGATGTTGAGTTCTTCAGCAGCTTCTTGTGTGGTTCCAAGAGGATCAGCTTCGATGATTGCTCTCAGTTGGCCATTGTCAACTTCTGATGGCCGGCCACTAAGCTCTTCATCTTCAAGGCTCTCGTGTCCTTTGCAAAACTTCCTGAACCACCAAATGCATTGCCAAATGCATTGTTGATGTTGCGAGTTGTCTTCACTGCTTTACAACCCGTTTTGAACTCAAATAAGAAAATTGCTTGAATTTGCTTTTTGTCTAACGTCATTTCCGTAGTCTAAAATAAATACAAACAGCAAGTTAATACGTCATTAGCAAAAAAAGTGAGAAGTGTGCATTAAAATGATGTATAACATAACCACATTGATTTAAGAATGTATTCCAATATCAAACAGCAGATTTCAGCAAATACTGCAGTTACTTTTGCACCAATAATTTGTCCACGTGCAGAGTTGAGTCAGGCAAGGGGGCCCAGAGCTGGTACTCAACGTCCTAAAGAAGCTGCTCAGGAGGCTGTGGGGGAGTGCCTGCCCCGGGAGGGGCCACACTGCAGACAGAAAGGTTCACACTAAACCTTGCTGAATAGGGAGGGGTTGTTAGCTGTGCAAGGCTGCTTTGGGTCCTAGTAATCAATACAACCTATGGTCAACCGACAAAAGGCTGCCCCCTGCTGGAGAGTCAGAGAAATGCAAAAAGAGTTGTAATCCCAACACTTTGGAAAGTCGGGGCAGGAGTTTGAAGGTGCAGTGAGCTATGATGGAACCACTGCACTCCAGCCTGGATGACATTGTGAAACCTTGTCTCTAAAACACACAAAACCTTAGGCTTGCTGCAGATAAGGACCTCTGAGCCTACGGGCCCACCCATAGGCTATTCTTGTAAGAGAAATGGAATAGTTTTGTGCAAGTGTGGGATTTAGAGTCCACATTTGTTACCTGAACTCCTCTGCCACCTACTAGCAGTGTGACCAAGGGCAGGCCACAGAACCTCTTTATGCTGCTTTTGCTCATTGACAAAATGAGCTAATGATGCAAATGAACTAGTGCATGCAAAGAATGTAATGTAGTGCTTATAATGCTTCTTTGCATTAAAAGATCTCTGTGCCAAAAGCTGGAAGCTAGGTTTAGGGCCCTTGAGTAAGCCTAAGAATCTCCTGAGAACTTGGCCCAGCAGCCAGATTCGCTGTGGTTGTGACTTCCCCATTGAGTTTCACTGGGATGTTCTTTCTCTGCTTTAGTCTCCCTTGAGAATGTTTTGCTGGATGTCAAGGAGCTCCAGAGGGGAATGGACTTGACCAAGAGAGAGTACACCATGCATGACCATAACACGCTGCTGAAGGAGTTCATCCTCAACAATGAGGGGAAGCTGAAGAAGCTGCAGGATGATGCCAAGATCGCACAGGCAAGTATTGGTGCCCCTGAAACCTGTGAAGAGGCTGCATCCATTAAAGCTGCCTGTGGTGCAGGCCCTGTATTTGGGGAGAAATGTTCCATTTCCCTCTGTTTGTGGAGGGTAGCTTTCTTGTTGTAACTATTATTTATTACGGGGGGACCATTCCCAGGGTTATTCTTGGAAGGGCCCCGTCCTCATTGTCCTTTTCTAATCTGGGGCTCTTTACCCTGTCCCCTCCCCCTCCCCTTTCACTTCAATACTCACTCCAGTGTGGGTGCTGTATTCAGTTCAGCCCACATGCGTCAGGCCTGTGCTCGGCAAAGCAGTGTTTCCTGTGTAGTGGGTTTCTGTAGATCTTGTCCTTGAAAATCTTACACTATACTGGGGGTTGCTGATAGATAGGCAGGCCTGCAAAACAGAATGAACAGTACGCTATCAGAAGAGGCAGAGGCAAAGTTGGGGGATGGGGACTCAGAAAGCAGATTCAGTGGAAGGGCCTCTGGTTTGGGGCAATCTTGTATCATGGAAGAGTTCAGGCAGAGACTGAGTGTCCCCTGTGTGAGGCTGTCATAGGGAGTGTTGAAGCAAGGAAGTGGAATTTAGGGTCAGAGTGACCAAGATCCCTTTTGACCTTGTTGGTTTTAAGGGGTTCTGCCACGGCCTTTGGAAACTCCTGTAAGAAAGATTTCCTTGTTTTGTATGTGGGGTGTGTGCGTGTGCATGCATGCATGTATGCCTGTGTGTAGAAGTGGCAGGAGGTCCTGCAGATGAATTCCTGTGCCCCACTATTGCATTCCTCGGATTGCCTCTGCTGAGGCGTTTGGAGGAAACACGGAGGCGTTAGGCAATCTTGGGAGGTAAGGGAGGTGCAGCAACGCAAGGCCATGGGAGCCTCTGTCTTGTGGCTGCTGCTTTGCATCAGCGTTCCCCCTAGAGCATCCAGTTCAAATGCCTAACTAATGAAACTCAAGAAAAATTTGCTTCTTCACAGGATGCCTTTGATGATGTTGTGAAGTATTTTGGAGAAAACCCCAAGACAACACCACCCTCTGTCTTCTTTCCTGTCTTTGTCCGGTTTGTGAAAGCATATAAGGTATATGTTAAGGCCCTCCTTGCCCTTATTTCTCAAGCAATTGCCCTCCTTGAGATGTGTCTGAGTCCCAACTCTCTGCAGAGGCCTCCCAGTTCCTGTGGACAGCAGATCTGGGTGGCATTCACGAGATAGCAGTCCCTAGCTCTGTGGAGGCTGAGGGACATTATGGTCCCTTTCTCCACCTAGCCAGTCCTCTGCCTCAGCCAGAAAACAAAGCTCTTGGCAGCCCCCTTGGGGCAAGGGAGATGCTCAAAGACATTGCTGCCCCATTGACTGTTCACCTAGGCAGGCAAGGTGAAGTACTTGAAAATCCAGGCCTCTTGTGGAATTCTTTAATGGGTAGAAGTGAGCTGTGGGCTGTGGTGAAGGTGCATGATACAGCTGAAGTTAAGGAGAGCCTGCTTGTGTAAGTCATAGCACAGGGCTTAGGACCTCTTAGACCAGCATTTCTCTAGTATGGACTAAAGGATGGTGCTTTTAAGGATGGGCACTCTCTGTTTCTTTGTGTGGATCAGTAAGTGGCCCTTCCTTTAAATGGGAGGCCCTCTTGGACATAATCCAGGGCTGTGGTCTTGAAAAAGCCTATGACGCAAAGAGACATGTATCAGAAGGATTTGTCCATTTGAGAAATTACAAGAAGGCTGTTAGAAGATTTTAGCTGACCTTGGCAACACCTCAATCTATATCCTCCAGGCGTATCTTCATGTAGCACTGATAACACTGGTGGAGGTAGGAGGAATGTTTATTGCAGAGGGGAGGAGGGATGTGGCAGGGTTCTCCACACTTTTGAGAAGTCCTGTTGGAAATAGGGGGACACTTCCCTAACACCACTAGGGGCTGAAGGCTCTGGAAAATCATTATTGGGCCTTTTACTAAAACTCAGAAAGTCAAAATATTCTTAGCCCATCTTCCCTCAGCATGGCTTAATGTAGCAGTAGAGCTATAAGCTGCTGGTAGAAGGAACGTCTGTGGCAGTCAGGGTGAACAGAAACACAGCACAAACTCCGTGTGCCAGACTCAGGATTTGCTCGTGATGAGAAGGCTGCGGGCCACCAACTGCTGCCGTCTGCAGTGCTTGGTAGCCCAAGCCCACTGGCTGGCTGTGTTTATGTGCTGTAGAGATAGTCTGCGATGGCCCTTGTCATGTGCTGTGCCATTTTTTTCACATAAAAACATGTAAGTCTAAGGTCAAAAGAGAAAATATATTTTAAAATCGGCTAAGACAGGTTGGGAAGTGGCTGGGGTTTGTCTCAAAGCCTGAGGCATCAGCAGGGATATGCGTGGAGCAGAGGAAAAAAGAAGCTGCCCTTGGTGGTCTGGGCTGTGTTGGAGGTCCCAGCCTGTCCATCAGCGTGCTCCTTCCACCTCACTGTTCCTCCCTGTGATTTTTCACAGCTGATTCAGTGAAGCATGTGCCAGGCAGTGATGTGACTGCCAGGATGTTTTTCTTGCCCTATACGTGATGAATAGCCTCCTAGCCTGGCACTCACCTAGGGACTTTGTAGGCAGAGGTTGGGGTTTTAGGACATCATCCCTCTCATATAGACCAAAATGAAAACAAAAGCAATGGAGACCCAAATGTAAACTTTATTACTGATAACAGCTGGGCTGGAGGATGTGGTGTCTGTGACCTTCTGCTTCAGCTGCAAATTAGGTAGATGACCTGTCCATCAGTTCACAGCTTGACAACTAGAGGTCTCTTCGGGGAGGCCGGCTTCAAAAGAAAGAGTGCCCAAGAGGGCTGAGCTGAGGTGAGCCTATTCACTTTCTTCTAGATTCATCAGACTAGTCACACTGCCTTCCTTGGGAAGGAGCAAGGCATGGGAGAGTCCAAGAGTGTCACTCTGGTGAGGCCCCGAAAAGAAATGAGGGTTTTCCCCTAACAATAGGCAGAAGGCAGAAGAATCTTAGATCCTGCTATCAGAGGAACTCTAGGTAGGCAGACTGTCTCTGAAAGGAAAACAAAATCACTGAGCACAGCTGCCAGGATGGTAGGTGCCCACCAGTGTGTGGGACAGAGACTAAGAGAAAGTTCAAACAGGGAGCGATCATCAGGAAAGGACTTCTGGATGAATTGAATCTCAGCTCCCAGCTTTTAAAGAGATGTGACAGGTAGCGAAGCCCAGAAGCAGAGCTAAATACAGGCATAAAGTGTAGATCTTCTCAACCTTCCATTTATTGTAATTCTCAACTCACTAAGGATGCTTGAAGAATGACTTTAAAAAATCTTGGCTGCTCTCATTTCCATTAACATCATCTTTCTGGTTCTTTTGATTTACCCAGCAAGCAGAAGAGGAAAATGAGCTGAGGAAAAAGCAGGAACAAGCTCTCATGGAAAAACTCCTAGAGCAAGAAGCTCTGATGGAGCAGCAGGATCCAAAGGTAAGAAGTGCCGCACTCATGAGACAGGTCCGTGAGGAGAGGCTGAGAGGGCTCTTCAGAGCAAGCCATACAAAGGACCAGCAAGCCAGGTGTGCCCAGGATCCTGACCACTTCCTTCTGGTGCCTGGACACTTGGCAAATGGAAATATGCTCATTGATTACTTTGTTCTGCAACCACTGGAATGAGGCTAAGAGCATGTTTGTGTAGCATATCCAAGCGTATAGACATCTGGAACTTAGTTGGATATACAGAGAGGCCACACCAGATGACCCAGTGACCAGAGGGCTTAGCATCCAGAGAAGGCTTTATGCAGATGCCCATTGGTGCTGGCCTTGATAGCTGGAGGGACTTGCTAGCAGGAATGGAGGGAACATTTCATGGAGGGCAACCTCGTTAGTAGGTAAAGAGCATAAAGGCTGGCAGTCCAAAGTTTTCTTCATTGTGATCCTTGGCAACACAGTTTAAGACATCTATGGTCATTACCAGTTGCCTCTTGTTGCCGTAGACTCCAGCCTTCTTGTTGCTGCCAGGTGAAGTTTTGTGTGTTCGTCAGTGGAAGTTTTTGTTTCCTTCCCAGAAGCTTGAGTTCTCTGCAACTGAGCAGAATGTGGGATGTGTGTGTGTTTTTGGCCGAAGCTGCTTATTAGTAACATAATGCTCAGGCACATTTTGGATTTTCACAAACTCCTAATGGGTGCTGGCCTCACTAATCTCTGCCCTTCTTTCTTCTCAGTCTCCTTCTCATAAATCAAAGAGGCAGCAGCAAGAGTTAATTGCAGAATTAAGAAGACGACAAGTTAAAGATAACAGACATGTATATGAGGGAAAAGATGGTGCCATTGAAGATATTATCACAGGTAAAAGATATTTCTTCACTGTGGCCCATGGAGATCCCACTGGCCTCACCTAGACTGGGATGCATGCAGATTTTGCAGCTTCTTTTGTCCAGGGTTGTCAAGTTCATTAGTTGACTTTATTCACACCCAGAGTGATGCAGAGAGGCTTTGAAGTCCATTTACAGCAGCATGTATACTGCCCCAATACTCTGCATTGGAACCCTGTAAGTTTCAGCAGAG